>NW_025791771.1:0-300000 GCF_000001405.40 Homo sapiens | reverse complement strand
CGTTCAATATTCTCAGGGTTTCTTGCTGAAGATTACAGAAGATTCAATTAAAAATTTCTACTACCATACAGATAGTCCCTGACTTATGATGGTTCTACTTAAGATTTTTCAACTTTCTGATGGTGTAAAAACAATAGGTATTCAGTGGAAAGTGGTAGAAAGCTGTACAATACTCTCAAGATGCTGGCCAGCGCAGCGAGCTGTAGCACCTCGTCAGCCACATCATCACCAGGGTAAACAATCGATACTCTATGGAGGGCTGTGTTGCCAGATGATTCTGCCCAACTGTAGGTTAATGGAACTGTTCTAAGCATGTTTAAGTAGGCTAGGCTAAGCTATGATGTTTGGTAGGCTGAGTGTATTAAATGCATTTTCAACTTATGATATTTTCAACTAACTATGGGTTTATCAGGACATAACCCCAACATAGTTCAAGGAGCATCTGCACATTACTCTCAGGATCAGGAAATCATCAGTTAACATTTTTAAAAACACAGTGATGAAAAGCACACTTGATTTATGCGTACTCATTTCCGTATTCTCAGTGTCTGGCACCGAGCCTGGCACTTAGTAGCTCCTGAGTCTGCATTTATTAAATGAATAGGCCTTGGCTTATGGGAGATGCCAAAGAAGGGGCTGCAAGAAGCAGCTCATTTGCTGGTCTGCCTGGCACAAGAGATGCTTGTCTTGGCAAAGACCTTCTCTCATCCAGACATACCTTGCCTGTCCCAGCCCCGGAAGCTTGGCCAGTAGACCCAGGCTACAGCCCTGTTTGTAACGTGCAGTGGTTGGAAGAATCGAATAATGAAATTAGTGAGCCTCTTTGGCCTTCGGGCTCCTTCCTCCCAATCATACAAGCATTTGATGTCAGTCTAGACTCTGGCCTTACTTGACCACGAATATGGTGCTCTTTGGGAACAGAATATCTTTGTGGTCAGTGACCTGCTTATGCTCAATGCTAGGTAGAGTTTGAAGTCTCACTTCCAACTTTCTAGTTCTGACATGTGTTTGTTAAACTGAAGATGACCCTGGTGTCTCCATATCTGACTGTCAGTCTGGCAATTTGTGTTCCTCTAAGACCCTTTCCTTCTTCCAGACACAACAAGCGTGACCCTTGTGGGCTGGTAAAAGCGGCTTCCACGTTAACTCACTTAGTTAATTTAGAATTCAAATAAATTTTGGAAGCACTTCATCCCAAATTCCCCAATCAACTGAGGTGTCAGAGGTGAGCACAGGTTCTTAATAACCTGGCTCAATGAGTTAACAGAAAACATTCTCAGCAAACACTTTATTAGCAGCACTCAATGATGAGTCAGCTTGAACCTTACCAGAACAGTCGTATTCCCAGAGGGGAATCCTTCGGGCTTGAGCCATAAAGTTCCTACCCATGAAGAAAAACACCTGAGCCTGCAGCATAGAAATTGTAAAACCTTTGGCATTAGTGTCCCAATTTTGATTATTGGCTCAGATATATACCAGCAATGTGTTGTCAGGCAAATTAACCATCCTTTCTCTAAGCCTCCAGTTCCTTACCAGTAAAATGAAGTCATAACATGTGCCTTATAGGAGTATTGCTGGACTGCCACTGCTGATGCGTGTAGGATGGAGTACATAGCCTCTACTTAGTAATGGTTTACTGTGTGCCAGGTAGTGTTTTAAATCCATTATCTAAAAACTCTATGTACACCTTCTCTTTATTTCCATTTTTATGAGGAGGAAACTGGAATGTGAAGTTATATCACTTGCCCAGGGTTTCCCAGTTGGTAAATGATGGAGCCAGGATGTGAGCCGGGCACATTCCTTCCCAAAGCTCCTCTGCATGTTCTCCTTCAATCTTAACTTCCTTCTCCTGACCCAACTCCCCTGCCTATCTCCCTACAGAACATGACATGGTGCTTTGAATACACACAGGTGTGGGGAAAAGGCCTGTCATTTGAACAGCATATGAATTACAGACCCCAGCTGTCAAGACATTCTCTTCCATGTACTAGATTCACACTATACCTTGTCTCCTGCCACTTGCTCAGGCCCTGATGATACACTCTTGGCTGAGGGTTACTCATGGATAGTCCTGGAGTCAGAACAAACACAAGTCATGGTACTCTTGAATCAAGGAAGACTACATGATACATAACTAAGAAAATATGAACCTCCCACTGGAATGAAGCCACATAAGCAAGCACTCCTGTTGATCCCTGAGCAGAGATGCAGAGGGTGAACTGTTTTGTTGATTTGCTAGTCAAACTTCTGAAAGAGGCTCATGTAGTCAATCCAGCAGGGGTCATGAAAGATCAGAGGCAGATGGGATCTGAGAAGTCACAGAGAGGGTGCTTTTCTTTGTATCCAGAATGTTGGCAACATTCTGGATACAAAGATCAAGTATAAGCCTTCCTGGGGTCTTAACATACTCAAAGTTTCCCTCTGAAAGGACTTATACATCATCCATCTGTACATTCATTAATTCACTCACCAATCATCTAACAAACACCTACAAGATGTCAGACACAGAATGGGGAGAATACAAATGACAGGTAAGAAGGGATTTTGACCGGGCTCAGTGGCTCACGACTGTAATCCCAGCCATTTGGGAGGCTGAGGTGGGTGGATCACCTGAGGTCAGGCGTTTGAGACCAGCCTGGCCAACATGGTGAAACTCCGTCTCTAATAAAAATACAAAAAATTAGCTGGGCGTGGTGGGCAGATGCCTGTAATCCCAGCTACTTGGGAGGCTGAGGCAGGAGAATCGCTTGGACCCAGGAGGCAGAGGTTGCAGTAAGCCGAGTTTGCACCATTGCACTCTAGGCTGGGCAACAAGAGCGAAACTCTGTCTCAAAAAAAAAGGAGACAGCATTTAGTAAGCAAAGACTCCAAATTAATGCATTTTAATAGAGGGGGAAAAACTATTGGTTGAATACGATCCAGGCTATAAGGAACTTATAAATAAATTGTTCCAAGAGCTCATAGCAGGGTGCCACCCTCTTTGCCTGGTGGAGTAAATAAAAAAGCAAATATATCAAAAAAGGTGACTCTAGGGTAGGTCTTGAAAGGATAAGAATTTGCCTCATTTGGGTGGAATACTGTGATGGGAGAGGCAGTGACATAGTAGCAGAGAGGGTGAAATGAATGGGGTAGATGTTTCGGGACAAGGCTAGTATAGGGTAGCACCAAGAGAGACAGCACCAGGGGAAGTTGCAGCTGTGTGCCCAGAGGCTGAGTGGCATTCCCTTCCTTGATGTGAGCCCGAGGCTTCCAGCTACACAGGCTCTGAAGCCAGCTTCTGAATGATACAGCAGATCCAGCTGTGAAGAACTTCCATCCTCTGCTCCTGGGAGAAATACTGAAGTCAGAGGGCAGACATGTTAATTTCCAATGAGTGACATAGTTGCCCTGTGCAACATGGGGCTCCTGTCAGCAGGGCCAGAGAATTCCTGTCTTGGAGGCCAAAAAGGGAAAGCAGTTGCAATCAGAAGGTTGCTTAGTGAGTCAAGGAAGAATTTTACATTTTGAGAACCACTTTGTTTACTAACTCACTGAAGAGCTATTCACTGACCGCTGCCCTATATCACGCCCTGTTCTAGGGGATGGGGCTACAATGGCAAACACAGCGCTGCCGTCGCAGCACATGCAGCCTACACGGGGAGATGGCAAAAACAAAAAATTCAAAAGGAAATGAAAAATAACTGGCAGGGCACAGTGTCTCATGCCTGTAATCCCAGCACCTTGGGAGGCCAAGGCAGGTGGATCACTTGGGGCCAGGAGTTTGTGACCAGCCTGGCCAACATAACAAAACCCTGTCTCTACTAAAAACACAAAAATTAGCCCAGTTGTAGTAGCACACATCTGTAGCCCCAGCTACTTGGGAGGCTGAGGTGGAAGGATCAATTGAACCCAGCAGGCGGAGATTGCAGTGAGCCGAGATCGCACTACTGCATTTCATCCTGGGTGACACATCGAGACTCTGCCTCAAATAATAATAATAAAAATAATAATAATAATTACAAAAGTAGCAAAAAAAACTGGATAATCTGGATATCATCAAAATTTAAAACTCATGTGTTTCAAAGGACACCATTAAGAAAGTGAAAAAATCCACAGGATGAGAATATTTTAAATCATATGTCTAATAGGAACTTTAGGATACATTTTTAAAAAGTCTTGCAGCTCAATAATAAAAAGATAAGTAACCTAACTATCAAATGGGTAAAGGATCTGAATAGTTTTTCCAAAAAATACATACAGATGGCCAATAATCACATGAAAAGATGCTCAACATCATTAACCTTCAGGGAAATCTAAATCAAAACCACAAAGAGATGCTACTTCCTACTCATTAGAATGGCTACAATCAAAAAGACAAACAATAACAAATGCTGGACTAGATGTGGACAAACTGGAACCATTACATACTACTGATGGGAATGTAAAATAGTATAGTGGCTTTGAAAAGCAGCCTGGCAGTTTCTTAACAGTGAAATATAAGTTACCATGTAACCCAGCAATCCCACTCTTAGGTATGTACCCAAGAGAAATAAAAACATGAGCCCACACAAAAATGTGTACACAAATATTGATAGCAGCATAATTTGTAATAGCCAAAAACTGGAAACAATCTAATGTCCAGCAACTGATGAATGAATAAACACAATGTGGTATATCCATACAATGGAATATTATTCAGCCATGAAAAAGAATGAAGTATGACATATGCCACAAACAAATGAACTCTGAAAACATTACGCTAAGTGACAGAAGCCAGTCACAAAGGACTGGCTCCATTTCATATAAATGATTCCACTTATACACAATGTCCAGAATAGGCAAATCTAGAGAGAAAGAAAGTAGATTTCTGGTTGCCTTTGGCTGGTGGAAATAGGGGAAGGGGTACGACAGCTAAGAAGTATGGTGGTTCTTTTTGAGGTAATGAAATGTTCTAAAATTGACTCTGGCAATAGATGCACAACTCTGAAAATATACTCAAACCCACTGAATTGTATACATTAAAAGGGTTAATTGCATGGCATCTGAACTATATCTCAACGAATCTGTTTAAAGTAATCACAGCCTGTGAGAGGCATTCTGAAGGAGGCAAACAGCATTATACCTGGTATAGGTGGAGGGAAGGCCCTTTTGAGGAGGTACCATTTAGCTGAGACCTGCAAGCTAAGAAGGGGCTAAGCACATGAAGGGAGAGTGAAGAGTGTCCCTGGCAGAAGAACCAGCATGTGTGGGGAAAGGCATGGTGAGTTCCAGAAACCAACCAGAGGCCACACGTTTGGGAAGCAACAGATGAAAGGCCAGGCCATGCGGAGCCCTGCTGCTCATCAGGAGTTTGGACTTGGTTCCAAGTACAGAGGGAAGGCACTGGAGGGTTCTGAGCAGGGGAGTCATACCATCTGATTCACATTTTTAAGAATATTTTTAGTTGTGATGTAAGAATAGATCAGACGGGGCCTGGGGTGGGGAACGCGCAACAATGAGCAGAAAAGGTTTCTTCCTCACCTCTCCCAAAACATTCATGGAAATGGAGTCTGAAGAGGTGTGGAGCACAGATCAGATAAACTAAAAGTATCCTTAAGGAACTGGAGCACACAGTGACTCCAGCGCAGATGCCAAATGCAGACAATGGGCTGGCAAGGCTGGGAAGGAGCTGGCCACGAACACTCCGAGGGAACCAGAGGTGATTACCCATGCACTTGGGGAATTTGGAGAAGCAGGACAAAGAAAGCACTACAAAGCCAGTTGCTTCCTTGAAATTTTGTCAAAACATCCATGTGGAAGCCAAGGCCTACACTATTCTAAGTTTGTTCTTTCCAAGCTTAAAAAAGTGAAACAAGCAAAAGCTAGAGTCAAAACAAATGTTTGAGGCAGATGAACCATGTAACTGCTAATGCAAAATTCCTCTCCCAAGTTAGGTAGTGAAATTTGGAGGCCAGGTATGGATGGCTCACACCTGTAATCCCGGCATTTTGGGAGGCCAAGGCAGGAGGTTCACTTGAGGCCAGGAGTTCAAGGCCAGCCTAGACAACATAGTAAGACCCTGTCTCAACAAAAATAAAAATTAGCCAGAGGTGGTGGCACACACCTGTGGTCCCAGCTACTTGGGAGTTGAGGTGGGAAGATCACAGGCCCAGGAATTGAAGGTTGCAGTGAGATATGATTGCACCACTGCACTCCAGCCTGGGTGCCACAGTGAGATTTTTTCTTAAAAAAAAAAAAAAAAAAAAAAAAAAGGCAAGAAAAGAAATTTGATTGAAGTGCACATGAAATAACCCTGTGCCAATCACTGGCAGTTGCAGACTGGCTGGCATCAGAAGCAATTATGTGATCAAATGGAGACGGCGAGGTCTCCTCCCAAAGAGTCCACTTGGCCCTGAGGAAAAAAGTGCTTTGAAAGATTTAAAATAAGTAAAAATAATCTTACATTTTAAAAAACCAATACAAATTCAAAAGCACTTGAATAAGCTGTCTCGTTCCTAACGTGTCCCTCTGTAGTGCGGTGAATCAACCCTGCTTAGGACTAATCTTTACATTTTTCCAAAGTGAATAAAGACAAAAACACTCCCCTAAATCCTGGTGATTGTCCTCTTCAGGACCACAGGATATGAAATTAAGAAGCTAAATAAACAAATAAATCTAAGTCAACCAGTCGTAACAGAAAGCCCAAAGTACAAAGACTAGCAAGCCATCCCTTCTGAAGCCTAAGAAGTAATTAAAGTATTTGATGCTCACTCAGGAAGTTTTTCCTTCTGTTAAATAGTCACAAACGAATTATTTTCAGATTTTTAAAAATTAGTTTTTCTTCAATTAAAAAAAATTTCCTCGGAGGCTGCAAATTCTTAGTCAACAAACTAAGAATTCAAGTTGAATTCCATCTAATGAATCAAGTTATTTTTATTTTCTATCACTCTTTTCCTTTGCCTTATAGGCTGACGGAAAACTCAACAAGTGGGGACCTCCCCTGAAATGATAGGAAAGAATTTAACCTCATGGCATAAAAACAACTCATGAATGGTGTTTGGATGAAAAGGTTATGCGGGAGTCAAATGTTTGAAGGGGCTCAGGTACTTACTAAAATCCTGGCCAGAAATCTTCATAGAAATGTACTCATGGTGAAGAGTTCCTTCTCACCTGCAAACCCCCTTCTACTCTGCTCATTCAAAACTGGTTTGCAACTTGAAGCTGTGAAGGTCTTGCTACTCAAAGTGTGGTCCCTGGACATGCTCACTGTTAGAAATGCAGATTCTCAGGCCCCACCCTAGACCTGATGAGTTAGAAGCTAACCTCTGCGAACATGGACATTTGAGAAGCACTGCTCCATGTCACTGAGCCCTCCCTGGAGGAAACATGATATTCACCCCACGAAGACCACCTTCCTCATGATGCCCTCTGCCCTCCAGAAAAATAACATATACACTGCCCATGTTATTTGAGAGATATTTCCTGTGTGAGTATACACTTTTCTGGAACTGAAGACCTGTCTATTCACACGGCCCTTATCTGAGCAGACTTTGGGACAAGCATTGGGGTGCAATTAGTTTGTATGGGCAGTGATCTCAGGGAGCTCCAGGAGAGGGTAGTGAAGTGTGTCATCAACGGGTGAGAAAGCTGGGGCATCTATCCATCTCACCGGTCTCTCCTTGGTAGAAAACTGTACTGGGGACGTTAACTATCCTGCACTTCCAGCCCTCCTGACTCGGGTGCAGCACACTCCTGTAGCCAGAGAAAGTTCCTAACCAGAGAAACAGTTCGCCTATGGCGAACTGTCATAGGCGGCCTCCAGGGTGGGTGGAGGGGACATGGAGGGTGTTGACAGCATCTCTCCCACATCCTCTCCCTCTGCACAAGCAACTGGGCTGGTGGAGCTGTGGACTGAGAACAGAGGCCAGGGGCAGCTACTGCTGAACTTCCTTTGGCTGAAGATGAAGGGATGGGGCCTGAGAGGACCTCTTCCTAGTCTAGCACCTTCAGAGTGTATCTCCACAGATCAACCTGTCAGCTCATGGAGCCCTGTCTCAGGGGGCAGCAGCTTACTAATCTCTTCCCTCGGGTTGGCACATCCACTTTGCTACTCCTGGGTACATCTCAGGACTCTTCTTAAAGAACTGGTATCCACTTCTAGGATGATCCTTCCTCCCTTTCTCTTTGTTGCTTCAACAGGTCAGCTCCAATCTCCTCTTACCTAGACCAGCACAAAACGGCCTCCTGGTGGATGCCTTGCACACACCTCTCTCCCCTGATATGTTCTGCAAACTGCCACAGATGAATCCCAATATGACACTTTGTTTTTGCTAAAAAGCCTTCAAAGGTTGTTAACAAGCAACATTCTTCATTGGTTCTTAACTGGGGGTGTGCACTGGAACCACCTGGGAGCCAGAGATGCCACACCCAGCTGTGCAGGCTGATCACTGCATAGAAGACCTGGCTGCTCTCACCAAGCCCTTCACCTTGGCATGAGTCTCTCCAATTTGCATAACAGTGCTGGAAAGGTGACGATGACAATCCTATGAAAAGCTTTGTAAAAAAGACCCAGATGCAGGCCCCTCTGTGTGGCCGCAGAATCAATGCATGTGGCGTCGGCATGCATTTGCTGAAAGCTCCCCAGGTGGTTCTGATGGACAATCAAGTTAAAAACCCTCAAAAGTGAAACTGCATTGAAATTCTCTGGTGGGCTTGTTAAAGATGCAGATTGCAGGCCCCAGCCTCCAGAGTGGGATTCTTTACAGCAGAAGCAGAGTCAGGAAACCTGGATCTTGAATCATCTGAGGCAAGTGTTCTACACTAGCCTTTGAAACACTGGTCCCAAGAGCTAATGTAGCCACTGCCATTTTTGAAGTTAAGAGATTGAGACCTAGAGTATGTGAGAAAAAAAATGCCTTCTCTGGGATTCTTATGCTGGTGAGGACTGAGGAACCCTGGTATTATGGTCCTCTCTGTCTTTGAGTCAGTTGTCTGGAGCCTCCTATGTCATGTGCCTCTGGGGCAGGGACTCAGAGAAATGAACTCTGCAGACCATGGCTGGCTCCAACATGGGTGCCTACCTGCTGTGCTCCCAGAGGAAGCCCATCTACTCGTTCAACAAGTGTTTCTTATTTTGTCTCAAATGGGAAACAGCTTCTACACAATAATTCTCATGTGTGAGACACGTATGTTTTCTGTTACATCTTACATTCCTTTGTTCATGCTCTCATTTAATAATTACTGAGTAGCCTCAGTGTCCTTTGTTGGGCCATATGCCTTTGTAACACAGTTCCTGCTGTCTCCAAGGAGAAGTTCCCAGCCTAGGAGGAAGAAGAAGAACTGGTTCAAGGAAAGACACTTATCATCTCACATGATGAATGCATGGGGGTGCTGTTGCACCAGGGGCTGAAACTGGCCTCCCTTTACCAGAGAAGCATTGGCTGTCCCCATTCCCACCCCACAGGTCGTATTTTACAGCTCATTGTTATTACCATTGTTTTACCTTTCAACTAACTAAAAAGTCTACTAGTTATTTAAATTATGGAATCCAATACTGGACTACCATAGTCATACTATGTACCATACCAGTGCTTACTTTAGTGGGAAAATTAGCTCATCATTTGCACACTGATATGGTCTGGATTTGTGTCCCTACCCAAATCTCATGTTGAATTTAAGGAGGGATCTGGTGGAAGGTGACTGGATCATGGAGGTGGATTTTCCCCTTATTGTTCTTGTGATAGTGAGTGAGTTCTCATGAGATCTGAAGGTTTAAAAGTGTGTGGCACTCCCCCACCAGCCCCCTTCTCTCCTGCCACCATGTGAAGAAGGTTCTTGCTTCCGTTCACCTTCTGCCGTGATTGTAAGTTTCCTGAGGCCTCCTAGTCGTGCTTCCTGTGAAGCCTGTGGAACTGTCAATCAGTTAAACCTCTTTCTTCATAAATTGCCCAGTCTCGGGTAGTTCGTTATAGCAGTGTGAAAACGGACTAATACAAACACATAGGTCAAAAGCTATTACAAATGACAGTAACAAAAAACACCATTCATAAACTGCCTGATGTAGCTAAGGGTTTACTTATTCAGAACTTCATCAGGCTTAAAGACTGTGAATAGGCCTTTGTGGCTGCAGTAGAACTTCTGTTCTGTCACGAACTTATTCAACAGATAGTGAGCTCATCTACTGTGCCAGGTGTGGAGGTATGTGAGTATAGCCCTGTCCTCAGAAGCTTTTCCATTAAATATCAGATGTAAAGTAATTGCCTTGGCAGTTGATGTAACAGAGAAACATATACCAGCTTAGGGCTGAAGCTTTAGGAAATGCCCACGAGGACAGGAAGGAGCACACAGGCTGTCTCTTAGTGTGTTCTGATCATGCACACATCAAAGAAAAGCCCGATGCCAAGAACCTCGGTGATCAATACGCAATTAGAACAAGGGCAAGACAGTTTTACAAGAGCACTGAATGACGGACCTCCTAATATAATTAAATGATGAAGTTATGTGTCCCTTTTGTATTTTTAAGAACAATATAGGGAGACAGGCTTTGCCTTCCAAGATTATCTTACTTTTCTCCTATATTTGTTTTTGACATTTTTCAGTTAATGGGCCAGCTGTTTAAAACGACTTGCACACACAAATAGTAAGGGTTGCTTTTGGTTATGGCAATGGATAAGATCTAAATTCAATCTCAATAGAGTCATTTTTTGAAAATTAATTTCTTTGAAAAAAAGGATGAGCTGCAGGGCCATGAGATTGCCTTAAGATCTAGTATGCTTGTTCTGAACTTGTTGGAATATATTAAACTTCCAATTATGTTAGGAGTTGGCTTGGCTGTGAGGGAGAGATAAATTGGCCATTTACTGATTACTTCCCATGCTTTGAGCCTGCAGAAGTTGTTGACTGAGCAACCTTTTCTGTGTCTGTATATGTCATTTTCAATGTCTCTCTCCTCTACAGGATAGTTTTGCTCATTCTTTTTCTCCCTTTGAAAATTTTTTCAGGTGCCTTGCTTTCCATACCATTTTTTCGTTCTGCTTCAGATGGCTGGACTGGCTGCATACCATCTCTCTCACAGCAGAGTATGGGCGGGATGTAAATCCCACATCATGGAGCTCCATCCAGGGGTCTCTACCATGCACAACCATGCACATTGACCCCCCAGATGCCACCACCTGTGTGTCTTTTGTGGGAGGATGGCCACGGGGCTCCTGGCACCTTCTTTGCATGAACATGGAGAGATGGAAGTGCTTGAGAATTCACATCCCCTTGGGGGAATCCTCAGCCATGCTCTTTTGTCCCTGATTGGGACAGTGAGATGTGACCTATACTTTAGACGGTGCCAAAGTCACCCACCTTCTTTCTGTCTCCTGGGGACTTTGCTTGATATCACATCCTTGTTTGGCCTCCTTCCCTTTGAAGCTCTACTTCCCATTCCCCTGAGAACACTTCCTAACAAATTATTTTTACATGATGTCTCATCTCAGGATTTTGTTTTAGGGAACTCAGCCTAAGATAGCAGGAAAGAGACTATCACACAAAAACATCTAGTCCCCCTCTTCTCCTTTCTGGTATAGAGATGCCAGTCAGAGGCAGTGTAAACATTTCAGACTCTGAGCAAGTGGTCTTCCAGGTCCTGGGAATCTCTCGTCCTATCTCATGCTTCAATGGGGCAGCCAGTTTCAAGCAAACCAGGATTTTTTAAACAAAGAAATCCACCCGCCAAACATTAAGGATGGCTTAGCAGACTTATGTGACTACATATTGATTTTAATCCACTTAAGTGTCCCTTAAACATGGACTCATTTAATTACCATTCCCATGTGTTTTCTCTTTGTCTGCTTTGGGAAGGATGCCTCTCACACTGTCCAAACCAGCCTCCAGGGAATGAGGGCAGAGGCCCTGAACAGCAGGTTGAAGCCACTCTCCTCTTTACAGATTCCTAGGGGATGGAACTGGGACCCTGAAAATGTCTCAAATTGTCATTGCACAATGATTATGTTTTTTTCAAACTGACTTGGCTCTACCACTTATCAAGTGGTGCCTTAAGTACCTCCCTGTAAAAATACAGATAGTAACTCCTAACCCACAGCGTTGCTGGAATGATATAATGAGTTACTCTGGTGGCTGCCACCATGGTAATGGTTATTGCTATTAGGCTCTAAGAGAAACTTTTCAAGAGTTTTCTTTGCTCTGTCACCTACAGTTGTAGATTCTCAAGCTGTCCAAAGCCACTCTCAGAATGAGACCCTTAACCTGGGTGGGCTGCCTCAACATTAACAGGATGGAGCTAACCTGTCCTGAGCTCTGAACACGTGGCATTTTGCTAAACATTTTGCTAGGATGAACAGATTGATGCTTCTCATCCTCAATCCAGTATTATGATTGTTCCATTTTGCAGATGAGGACACAGAGACCCAGAGAGGGTGAGGGAACTTTCCAAGGTCACACAACAGCTATATATGGTAGAGTGATCAGGTCCCATGCTGCCTCACAGATGCCCGTATTCAGTGGGGCCTTCAGAGTGCATTGTGCAGAGGAGGTTTTCCTTCCTTTGCTCTGGGATAACCTGCCCGTAGCACAGTGGCTCTCCAACTGTGGCACACATTCGAGTCATGGAGGCTTGCTAAAACACAGACTGCTGGGACTACCCCCAGAGTTTGACTCAATAGGTCTGGGGAGGAGCCCACGGTTGTTTTTCTGACCAGGCCCCAGCTGGTGTGGATGCTAGTGGTCAGGAGACCACGCTTTGAGTGGCACTGATGTAGATTCTAGAAACACTGGTGGCTTCCTTCCCTTGGGAGGGAAGCAGCTTCCTGGATGGGACCCACATGGAGGATGGTCTCATAGGAGAGGGGAAGAATCAGCCTGCTGAGCCCATGGACTCTGAGAGCCCCTTCTGAGCAGGGGATGCTGAGAAGTCTGCAGGGCCCGTTGCCCCTGACCTGTGGACTCCTCACCAGCCACCAGCTGTCACTGCGACATCCAGATGTTACCTCCCTCCAAGCTGCCTCCAGTTCCCCTTCTAAAATAAATGGGGCTAGAAAACTTAAGAATGGTGCTGTGGTGAGGAAGTGCTGAAAAGGAACCCAGAGGAGGAGGAAGGAATGGACATACATTTACAGAGTACCTTCATCATTTTGCCCTGTCTTATTTAACACTGACACCGTGAGGTAGGTCTTATACTTCCCACCTTACAGATGAGGATATCAAGCCTCTGAGAACTCAGGCTACTTGGCAATATCCATGTAACTATTAAGTGGCTGAAACTGGGATTCCAACCCAGTTCAGTTTGGCTCCATGGCTCCTGCATTTGTTCCACCCCTGTGACTGTCCTGATGGGGGACACCCTGCTAGGCACATCATCATGCAGCCACTGTCCCCTTGACACTGCACAGGCTGCAGAGGGAGGGCTGTGGCTCAATGCAGCATTTCTACCAGGGGAGGAAATGTTTTGCATGCAGCCTTTTAAACCGTGAGACAGACACTGGTCTGTGTAGGGTTTCCCAACCAGAAATAAAAAGATTGGAGGGAATCTCAGCCACCTGGAGGGTCATCCTCAGCTCAGAAACAGCCGTGTGGCTGTAAGCAGAGCAGCCCGGGCCTTTAGGGCTGGCCAGGAGACCCTTGCTGGCAGGCAGCATGCCCATTTGTGAGTCCCCACCAGCAGCTCCCTTGTGAAGAAAGCTCGACAGGCTTTTTACAAAAGGCAAAGCGAGTTTTCTTTGGCAGCAGGTTCAGATTTCCTGCCCTGTTCCATGATCTCACGAGGGAGTGCTGAAAGTACCTCCCGCACCCCCTCCCCAGCTCCAACCAGCTCAGTTCCACGCTCAGACTTTCTGCTTATTTGGGGAGATTGTTTGTTTCTTGTCTTTTTAATTTGAGACCCTCCTCCCTCCTCCCTCTGTGGCTCAATCCATGGCCCCAGTCTGCATCTGGAGACAGCATCAGTCCCTTCCACTGAACCTTTTAGCTGAGGGTTGGTGGAGGAGGGAGTGCCAACTTTGTGTGGCCTCAGCTGATGGATTTTTAACTGCTGAAAAATGACACATGGGAAAAGAATGCTGTGCTTAAATCTTACACTTAGGCAGCACTAAAAGGTGAAAGGAAAGGTCACATGAACTTCTAGACAACAAAAGCTCCCACTTTTGTTGTCCAGACAGCTGAGTTCTTCAAAGGGCTTCTGACAGGAGAGACAGAAATTCTGTCTCCCATCAGCGAGCCATCATCCCACGCCACTGTCTTCAGTTGGTGGGGTTTTAATCCAGTCACTTCCAGAGCTGCTGGTCTGTCCTAGAGCTTTAAGTGGAAGATGGCCACAGAGCACTCAGGACCAAGGACTGGAAAGGTGAGACCCTCGTCCTTCATCAACACTAGTGGGGCAGGAGGATGACGGTCTGCACCTGCTATTATCTGTGAGACTCTGGCCAAGCTACTTGCCTGCTCTGAGTGCCAACACTTCATTGGTAAATGAGGATAACAATACCATGGCAGACATGTTTCTTGCCACCCACATCCATCTACCCTTCCCTCTGGGGAGCCATCCCCTCCCCACTCCACCTCACTCCCAACCCGTTAGGAGGTGGGCATGCGACCCAGGCTTAACTCAATTGGACCAATCAGACTCTATGACATTTTTGCAAGAACTTTTAGGAAATGAGATTATTTATTTACTGTAGCCTGGCAACCATTTTGCCACCCTGAAGGGACAGAGAGCCTGTTTGAGAACGAAGCCAAAAGGAGGAAGAGAAGCTGACAGATGGAGAGAGAGAAAGAGACACTATGACAACTTCCAGAGGTCCAACCAGAAGCTGTGGTCGAAGCCAACCCCAGGTACTTTCAGTTTGCAAAACCCTACATTCTCTTTTACCTACACCAATTTAGGTTTTCTATTGCTGTCACTAGAAGAGTTAAAACAAGTACAGATACCTCACAGTGTTCAGAGAAGCAAATTTAATCAAGGCCCTAGAAAAAAGGACAGCCCACAGAGTAGGCCTCTGAGCTGTAGTTCTGAGGCCTGGTTCCCCTAAGTGGGAAGGACAACCAGCCACCATGGCTCCAGACACCAAAGGGTGGGTGGGGATGCTCACCAGAGGGTTTCAGGAGGACACATGGAAATGTCCACACTGAGGTGGGACCCTCTGTGGTCACCTGGAAACCCTTGAGGAGTGTCCCACATCTGGGGGAGGCTCAGAGCCTGCTCCACAGGGCTCACATGAGTTCCCTGGGATGACACTCGTGGCTGTGCCCAATACAGCTCCTGCCGCATAGGAGGTATGTTCCTCCCCTCCCTGGCACATTCTAAGCTGAATATTTGTGAAAATAAATCCAGAAAAGTAAATACAACACTGAACTTGTCCGTGAGGAGTGTCCCACATCTGGGGGAGCCTCAGAACTGACCTAACTTCCTCAGGCCCCAACTGTACAGGTGACTTGGGCTCATCTGTATTTGCAGGGCTGCTCAGGCTTACTGGACATCAAACCCCGTCCGTGCCCACCAGCATTCAGAAGTGCAGCTGCTGGACTCTGGAGGGCCAAGATTCTGTTTTTAATGGGTGCCAGGTACTGCTGCAGGCACTTTACACATGGTACTTAACTTATAAGTGTAGAACATTGACCCTAAGTACAGTGGTTTTAAAATATGTTCACAAATTATTTGACACTCCTCCCTTTGAAAGGTGAAGCCTAGGCAAGGTGCACTGGCTCACACCTATAATCCTAGCACTGTGAGAGGCTCAGGTGGGAGGGTCACTTGAGGCCAGGAGTTTGAGGCCAGCCTGGGCAACACAGCAAGACACCATCTCTACGAAAAATTAAAAAATGAGCAGGACGTGGTGGCACGTGACTATAGTCCCAGCTACTCCAGAGGCTGAGGTGGAAGGATTACTTGAGCCCAAGAGTTCAAGGTTACAGTGAGCTATGATTCTCCTCCCCTTGAATGTAGGCCAGACTTAGTGGCTCGATTTTGAAAAACAGAATGTGGCAGAAGTGATGCTATGTGACTTCTGAGAGGTCATGGAAAGGCGAGCTTCTGCCCAGTTCTTGCTCTCCTGGATGGTTTCATTGGGGAAAGTCAGTCACTACATGGTGGAACACTTGAGCTACCTGTTGGAGGGACCCATATGGAGAAGAACTGAAGAACTGAGGCCCCCCTGCCAACAGCAGGTACAAACCCTCATCCTCCTGCCCTGCTTGTGTTAATGAAGGACGAGGGTTCCACCACTCCAGTCCTTGGTCCTGAGTGCTCTGTGGCCTGTGGCCAACAGCCAGCCAAGCGAGGGGCCACAAGGGAAGCAGATCCTCCAGTGGAGCCTTCAGACAACTGCATCCCCAGCCAACATCCTGACTGCAGTCTCATAAGAGACCTCGAGCCAGAACCACTCTGGAATCCCCAACCCACTATGAGGGCTAATCAATGTTGTTTTAAGCTACTAGGTTTTGACATGTGATTTGTGACACAGCAACAGATAACTAATACAGTGGGTGTTAGGGCTGCTATCCAGATGAGGAAGCAGAGACCCAGAATCAGACAGTGGAAAGAGAAGCGCTCCCTCAGCTGGCTGCGAGGCCAGAGCCTTGCCCCTCATTCCCTCTTCAGGAAGCTGCGGAGACACCAAGCCTTCCTTGTATTTTGGCCATTAAGTGGGGTCACCATGCATCTTAACTGCCTGGGGCAGTCCCGGTTTCTGCCTGTTGTCCTAGGGCTAATTATTCATACTGTCCCTTTCAGCTCCTAAAGGATCCCAGTCTGATAAAATAAAAAATAACAAATGGTTAAATTATGTAGTCACTCCCCAGATAAAGAATCTATCTCCGATGTTCAGGACTCAGAGCACCTCTGAAAGGTTACTGTGAAGCCAGGATAACTGTCATGTTCAGCGGACAGCCCTGCGAGCCCAGGATCAAGACATCCTCCCACACAAACCACGCTCGTGGGTTCATCCTCCGACGTTATCTTTTATTGTTCTCTATTTATGTGTGTGGGGGGGGGGATATTTATTTCTTGACAACACCGTCAGTTTCTCGATGTCGGGGATCAGGTCCTACTCCATTTAATTGTGAGGCAGAATAGCAAAAGAGGAAGCATTGCCATTAGACGGACGGGGGTTCCAATCTCAGCTCTGCTACTTACTAGCTTTGTAACGTGGAGCAAACTGCAAGCTTTCTGAGCTAAGCTGTCACCCCTGTAAGATGGGAATAACAATTCCTGCTCCACAGGGCTCACATAAGTGTCCCCTGGGATGACGCACATGGCTGTGGCCAATACAGCTCCTGTGTTCCTCCCCTCCCTGGCACATTCTGAGCTGAATATTTGTGAAAATAAATCCAGAAAAGTAAATACAACACTCAACTTGGTTTGCTCTATCACAAGGAGTCAGCCAGAGTCTTTTCCTCTTCCTACTGTCAGAATGAAAGTTTCACAGAGTTTCGCGCTTGTCACCCAGGCTGGAGTGCAGTGGCGCTATCTTGGCTCACTGCAACTTCCGCCTCTTGGGTTCAAGCGATTCTCCTGCCTCTGCTTCCTGAGTAGCAAGCATGGAGAGGGTATACTTTAGAAACCCTGGATTCATGCTGTCTACTCCGGACTTTCCAAAACCTATCTTCTCACAAGAATGTGCTGTTTCCTTCCACATAAGCTTCTCAAATTAAAGACAAAGCGTGAAGGTGATGATGTTCCCATACAAGGAGGTCTGACGCCTTCTTCTGAAAGCATGGGGTTGTGTGTGAGGGCAGGCGTCTGCTCAGTCCACCCATGGTGAGCCTCAGTCACACCCGCCCATCTGCCAACCAAGGGAGGAAGAGCCCTCCCGCAATGCTGCCACTCAGCTCCTGGCTCTCCCCTTCCTCACACTCTCAGGTCATCATTTCCAAAGCATGGACTCACTTATTTGGTCCCTATTTAGTCCCCCATTTTTATGCCCTTGCAGAAGTTTTGAAAGAAAAACTGATGGTAAATGAAGGCTTCCATGGTTCAGGGTTGGCCTTGGGACACTTAAGAGAAAGGATCTGTCCTGTGTGCCAAGCTCCCCAGATGGATGAATGCTTGAGAGAGCCTGTTTACTACTTTGCTGGGAGAGAAAAATCTCTTTCCTCCCAGCCAGCTTCACATGCCAGGTCAGCACCATGACTGGGGATTTATGGTGGGCACTGTATCAGGGAAAGAAGAATTAGACAAAAATAACTAAAGGCTACTATGTCTCAGGTATGGTCCTAAGTGCTTTACATGAATGTCTAATTTAATCTTTGCAACAAATTTATAAGGTCAACATTATTCTTAGCTCAGTCTCACAGATAAGAAAACTTAGGCATCTGTTCTGTAATTGAGGCAGCATTAAAAAAAAGAAGAAGAAAACTAAGGCCAAGGCAGAGACATCATTGAACTTGCCCAAGGTACAACACATATTAAGTGGTGCTGGGATGGGAGCAGATTTAAGCCAGAAAGTCTGGTGACAAAACCCTACTCTTAACCACTGTATTGTGCTGCTTTGTAGACAAGCTAAAACTTAAACGCCATCATGCTGAAGTGGCTTGACGTATTCATACGCCTGAGAGGGATACTAGCACAGTGAGTGCTGAAGAGTACGGAAATGGGATTAAACCTAGGCTCCACCACTTAGAAGACCTGTAAGACCCTCATCTCATGTGTAAAAAGGGATAATCCAGGGTTTCTCAGCCTCAATGCTGTTGGCATTGGGGCTGGATAATTCTTTGTTGTATGGGGAGCTGTCCTGTGCATTGTTGGATAATTCTTTGTTGTGTGGAGAGCTGTCCTGTGCATGTTGGATAATTCCTTGTTGTGTGGGGAGCTGTCCTGTGCATTGTTGGATAATTCCTTGTTGTGTGGGGAGCTGTCCTGTGCATTGTTGGATAAATCCTTGTTGTGTGGGGAGCTGTCCTGTGCATTGTTGGATAATTCCTTGTTGTGTGGGGAGCTGTCCTGTGCATTGTTGGATAATTCCTTGCTGTGTGGGGAGCTGTCCTGTGCATTGTTGGATAATTCCTTGCTGTGTGGGGAGCTGTCCTGTGCATTGTTGGATAATTCCTTGTTGTGTGGGGAGCTGTCCTGTGCATTGTTGGATAATTCCTTGTTGTGTGGGGAGCTGTCCTGTGCATTGTTGGATAATTCCTTGTTGTGTGGGGAGCTGTCCTGTGCATTGTTGGATAATTCCTTGTTGTGTGGGGAGCTGTCCTGTGCATTGTTGGATAATTCCTTGTTGTGTGGGGAGCTGTCCTGTGCATTGTTGGATAATTCCTTGTTGTGTGGGGAGCTGTCCTGTGCATTGTTGGATAATTCCTTGTTGTGTGGGGAGCTGTCCTGTGCATTGTTGGATAATTCTTGGTTGTGTGGGGAGCTGTCCTGTGCATTGTTGGATAATTCTTGCTTGTGTGGGGAGCTGGCCTGTGCATTGTTGGATAATTCCTTGTTGTGTGGGGAGCTGTCCTGTGCATTGTTGGATAATTCCTTGTTGTGTGGGGAGCTGTCCTGTGCATTGTCGGATAATTCCTTGTTGTGTGGGGAGCTGTCCTGTGCATTGTCGGATAATTCCTTGTTGTGTGGGGAGCTGTCCTGTGCATTGTCGGATAATTCCTTGTTGTGTGGGGAGCTGTCCTGTGCATTGTCGGATAATTCCTTGTTGTGTGGGGAGCTGTCCTGTGCATTGTCGGATAATTCTTGCTTGTGTGGGGAGCTGTCCTGTGCATTGTTGGATAATTCTTGGTGGTGTGGGGAGCTGTCCTGTGCATTGTTGGATAATTCCTTGTTGTGTGGGGAGCTGTCCTGTGCATTGTTGGATAATTCCTTGTTGTGTGGGGAGCTGTCCTGTGCATTGTTGGATAATTCCTTGTTGTGTGGGGAGCTGTCCTGTGCATTGTTGGATAATTCCTTGTTGTGTGGGGAGCTGTCCTGTGCATTGTTGGATAATTCCTTGTTGTGTGGGGAGCTGTCCTGTGCATTGTTGGATAATTCCTTGTTGTGTGGGGAGCTGTCCTGTGCATTGTCGGATAATTCCTTGTTGTGTGGGGAGCTGTCCTGTGCATTGTCGGATAATTCCTTGTTGTGTGGGGAGCTGTCCTGTGCATTGTCGGATAATTCTTGCTTGTGTGGGGAGCTGTCCTGTGCATTGTTGGATAATTCTTGGTGGTGTGGGGAGCTGTCCTGTGCATTGTTGGATAATTCCTTGTTGTGTGGGGAGGTGTCCTGTGCATTGTTGGATAATTCCTTGTTGTGTGGGGAGCTGTCCTGTGCATTGTTGGATAATTCCTTGTTGCGTGGGGAGCTGTCCTGTGCATTGTCGGATAATTCTTGGTTGTGTGGGGAGCTGTCCTGTGCATTGTCGGATAATTCCTTGTTGTGTGGGGAGCTGTCCTGTGCATTGTCGGATAATTCCTTGTTGTGTGGGGAGCTGTCCTGTGCATTGTCGGATAATTCCTTGTTGTGTGGGGAGCTGTCCTGTGCATTGTTGGATAATTCCTTGTTGTGTGGGGAGCTGTCCTGTGCATTGTTGGATAATTCCTTGTTGTGTGGGGAGCTGTCCTGTGCATTGTTGGATAATTCTTGGTTGTGTGGGGAGCTGTCCTGTGCATTGTTGGATAATTCCTTGTTGTGTGGGGAGCTGTCCTGTGCATTGTTGGATAATTCCTTGTTGTGTGGGGAGCTGTCCTGTGCATTGTTGGATAATTTTTGGTTGTGTGGGGAGCTGTCCTGTGCATTGTTGGATAATTCTTGGTTGTGTGGGGAGCTGTCCTGTGCATTGTTGGATAATTCCTTGTTGTGTGGGGAGCTGTCCTGTGCATTGTTGGATAATTCCTTGTTGTGTGGGGAGCTGTCCTGTGCATTGTTGGATAATTCTTGGTTGTGTGGGGAGCTGTCCTGTGCATTGTTGGATAATTCCTTGTTGTGTGGGGAGCTGTCCTGTGCATTGTTGGATAATTCCTTGTTGTGTGGGGAGCTGTCCTGTGCATTCTTGGATAATTCTTGGTTGTGTGGGGAGCTGTCCTGTGCATTGTTGGATAATTCCTTGTTGTGTGGGGAGCTGTCCTGTGCATTGTTGGATAATTCTTGGTGGTGTGGGGAGCTGTCCTGTGCATTGTTGGATAATTCCTTGTTGTGTGGGGAGCTGTCCTATGCATTGTTGGATAATTCCTTGCTGTGTGGGGAGCTGTCCTGTGCATTGTTGGATAATTCCTTGTTGTGTGGGGAGCTGTCCTGTGCATTGTTGGATAATTCCTTGTTGTGTGGGGAGCTGTCCTGTGCATTGTTGGATAATTCCTTGTTGTGTGGGGAGCTGTCCTGTGCATTGTTGGATAATTCCTTGTTGTGTGGGGAGCTGTCCTGTGCATTGTTGGATAATTCCTTGTTGTGTGGGGAGCTGTCCTGTGCATTGCTGGATAATTCCTTGTTGTGTGGGGAGCTGTCCTGTGCATTGTTGGATAATTCCTTGTTGTGTGGGGAGCTGTCCTGTGCATTGTTGGATAATTCCTTGTTGTGTGGGGAGCTGTCCTGTGCATTGTTGGATAATTCCTTGTTGTGTGGGGAGCTGTCCTGTGCATTGTGGGGTATTTAGCAGCATCCCTGGCATACCCACTAGATGCTAATAGCGCTGAACTAGTTGTGGAAACCAAAAATTTCTCCAAAAGTTGTGAACTGTGTCTTAGGAGACAAAATTACCCTTGGTTGAGAACCACTGGGATAATTATACCTACCGCTCAGAGGTTGGGGTAGATAGTTTGCAAAAACGCCCACTCTCCAATCCTCCCTTTAACTACATCCCTTGCAGTTTTGACTTCGCAGCTACTCCCATCACGAGGTAGATTTTATTCCCCCACCTTGAATTTGAGCTGAAATCATGACTTGCTCTCACCAACAGAATGCAGCAGAAATGATGCTGTCTGTTCCAGGCCTAGATTTCAAAAAGCCTTGGAACTTCTACTCACTCTTTTGGAACCCTACAGGAGCCTGGGCCAGCCTGCTGGGGATGAGAGCCACTAGCTAAATCACTCCCCTTGTTCCAGACAACATTTGGGTTCCAGCTGACCTGCAGCTAACCACAGACACATGAGTAAGGTTGGCCAAGAACAGCCGAGCCTGGCCCAGAACTGAAAAACTGCCTAGCTAACCCCTAGAGTTATGAGCAAATAGAAATGATTGCTGTATTAAGCCCACTAGATTTGGGGGTGGTTTGTTATGCTAATGAATTCAGAGCTGCTGTGAAGAACAAATGGGAACACCTTTGAGCTACCTGGGCCCTGCCTAGCCCACAGGAAGCACTCGGGAAGGGGTAGCCATGATGATGTGGTCACTCACCCACCCCCTTTGCAGAGCCTGTGCTGCCAGCCAAGGGCAGGGCAGCCCTTGCCTGTCCACACACCACTTTCTAAGAAGCCACAGACAATTCTTCCTTTTTAGTTAAAGCCCCAAGGAGAAGTAGAACTGACATCCATAGGTGAAAACATTAGTAGAGAGAAAGAATAAAAGAACAATTGCAGAACAGTAGCATGGATTTTACTAGGCTCCAAGTGGTGAGATCATGTGCTCAAGTTCATCTACCGGAAAGAAGAGAAGCCAGGGCCTGGAGAGAAGCAGAATGTGCACAGGTGATCCTGACATCGCCTCATTTCACTTTGTACTTATGTCCCCTGGGGGCTGAGGAATGACATTCTGAACACAGAAAAACATACCAATTCAGAAGATGCATGACAAAAAATGGCCATCAATTTTATTTACTGTCCCCAAACCTTCAAAGTACTTGAGGGTACTGCAAATAAAAAGAAATATAAGAAGAACACAAACATAATAAAAACAAGGGAGGTGTTTCATAAACGTCTTCAAATAAATATTTTCCTTGCCTGCTGAAGGTGCAACCACTTCTGAGAACCCACTTAAACAGAAAAGAACTTGTTGAAAAAATTACTAAACATTACTAAATTACTAAATCCTTAAGTAAATATTTGCAAATTACTGAAGTACATTTTTTATGTGAATTGCACTAAACTCTGTTAAGAAATTTTTTAAAAATTTCAGTATGAATCATTTTGTAAGCAGAAGGAACTTGTGATTAAAGTAAATCAGTTCCTTATTTACCTTTTTCAAAGTCTGGATTTTATTTGCTTAGCTGATAACTTCTTGTATAGTATAGGTTAAATGTCCTAACTTTTTAGACATTTTTAGATTTAATGTTTTTCTTAATTTAGATCCAGTGTCAAGAACAGTGATCAGAAAGAGGCAAGGTCTAGATTGAAGCCCCACCCCTCCAGAACACAAACTTTTACTTCTTCATCTGTACTTAGAACATAGACTGTCTTTTCTTTGAGCCTATGGAAAAATCCTAGTAAACTGATTGTGGTCATGAGAAGAGCTACTGATGCTTTTGCTCAAATGTCAGAAAGCAATTACAGGTTGAACTGTTCTGGGATCCTGTTCCGAGATCAGGGTCAGAAATGGTTTATGATATGCCTTAGATGTTCTGTGTCACTTCTTTCTGGCCCAACTCTGATGATTTCAGCTTTGTACCATCTTCAGTAGCATTCTGAGGGCACCCAAACTCAATGACACCCCTGGCCAGGGCAGGACAATCCATTCCTTGGAGGTGGCCCTTAACAACCTGGGATTGGAGCTGGGGCGTGAGTGCTCCAGTCTCCTGTCCTATAGGTAAGCATTTCTAGGTGACTTTCTATATGCTTCTCAAAAAAGTCTTAGCACCAATGGCAGTGACCTCAAAGACATACCCTCCTTTTCTTCCTTCTTTCTTACTTTCTGGGGCGCTACTCAAATAAACCACCTGCACCTATGCATCTATGGTTTCAGGCGTTGCAACTGACAGGTACCATTTACCCTTGAGTCATTACATCTCAGGAAAAACAATGGACTGAAAAGAGCACTTTGGGAAGAAGCAGAATCAAAAAGTCCAGATAGTCCAACTGAGACGGAAAGGGAGAATTCCAGAGGGAGAAGATAGAGAGAGGGCATATTGATAGCTTGAAGAGACAGCAAGGAAGAGTCAAGGACACGGGGTCCTCCTGGAGCTGACTCATGTGTGCAGGGGGAAGGAGATGGAACCAGAGTGTAAAAAATGAACTTGCCTGGGTCCTCACTCTGCAAAGCCAAACTTCCTCTGGTTTCATTTCCCCCCAAATGGCACACCCACCCCACAGAGCTGACAGACTATCTACCAGTCTTTCCACTTTTTGCTGCCTCCAACCTTAAGTCCCCACCAGGAAGAGAATGAATGGATGACTTCAGAAAAGGAAGATACCACATGGGGCCTGGCCCCACTAGAACATTCCTTCTTTCCAGATGAACAAATGGGAGGACTGAGCAGTGAATGAGGGTTTGCTCGGGGTGGGCCAGAGGAAGTTT
Source organism: Homo sapiens (assembly GCF_000001405.40). Taxonomy (NCBI): domain Eukaryota; kingdom Metazoa; phylum Chordata; class Mammalia; order Primates; family Hominidae; genus Homo; species Homo sapiens. The sequence continues at coordinate 275,690 of NW_025791771.1, read as the reverse complement.
TTTATACTAGAAAGCTGGGTGAATCGCTGCTTTAAAAAAGCTCAAATGCTCAGTATGCATGCTCTTTCCTCTCACTGCCCTATTAATTCATGAGGCACAAGAAAAATAAAATGGTTGCTGTATACTTCCAGCCAAGTCAAAGAAACCTCATTTCCCAAAGCCAAAACTAATATTGTACACTGCAACTGGCTAGAAAGCCGATACAGAAAGCAGGTAGAGCATTTCACGGAATACACGTGGTAACCCCGAGCTGAAAAACGAGGGCTGGGAGAGGGCCTCAGAGCTCTCCCACACGAAGCTGGACTTTCAGAGACGTGGAAGAAAGAAGAAACTATTCTGAACCTACATTTGGTTTTCTTAAACAAGGACCAAAAACCTGGTATGCCATTTGGCCTTGTGACTTTCAACAGACCATTTCCTTTCCCAGGGCCTTGTTCTATATGTAACATGCAACCTTTTAGGCCTTTAACAACTTGAGCTTCCATCCTCCTGTGACAAGATTCAGATTTAAAGCTTGGATCTATCCACTAGCTAATGACTGTCAGCAGTGACGAAATGTGTAAATGGTACTTTTATAAGTGAAAATTCTGATCTCCATTAAAAATCCTCTATTTTCATTAAGGTCAAATTTTTTGGCTTATCTTCTAAAGTAAGGAAAAATGATAACGGTATACTTAATACCTGTTAACACATAACTTTGCTGAATGAAAGAGTGAATGCCATCGTGATCCCACTCATGATCAAGCCAGCCAACATTCATGCCATTCTAAGCATCCACTTTCCCATTTGTAAGTTTGGTACTTCTAAGAGGGGAACTAACACCTTTAGACCTCTGAAATCAGAGTAAATGGTTATCTTTGCAATGCCTAGTTCTGAACCATGCAAACAAGGGGCTTCCTGTTATTCATTCAGTCTCTTACTGGTAGAAATTGCTTTTGACTTAAAATAAAACAAAACAAAAATAAGGGCTTTTATCCCATGAAAATCACAGATGTTCTACAACCCAGCATTGCCCACATTGTACTCTGCACACTAGGAAACTAGAACATGTCGCAGGATTCCAGCTGACACAGGATATAATCAATCATTCCATAACCTACCAATTTCTTTGGTGTCTACAAGAGTTTCAGACCCACCATGCCAATAGCACAAAGCCACCAGCATCCAGCAAGTCACCGGTGTTGTATTTCTGTAGGGGATCTGGGTTTTTCCCAGTGATATTGGGCCTGAGTTGGATGGTGGTGGTGGAGTTGGAGACAGTGTGTGCAGACAGCCCAAGCCCCCTGACTCACAAAGGGTAAGACTTCACATCATACTCTACTTCCAGTCGTTCAGTGCTCAACGGGCAAATGAGAAAACAGGATAGACCATGCTATTTCCACCTTCCCAGCCCCAGTCAAAGGCAAAGCTCTCATAGGTGCTCTTCCTTTTATTTGAGTTCACTTGGGGACAAATTAATTCCAGAGAGGAAAACCCAAGAGTGAGGCTGCTGCCAGCTTTCCAGGACCTGGAGTGGAGACACGCGGGCACCTCAGGAAAGCTCATTCCAGGGGAGGCTGGTGGGGAGCTGGGTCTGTGTGCCAGAATCCTTGGATACTGAAGGAAAAGCCTTGTTTAGACAAATCGCAGCTGTCTCAGAAAATTCATCAATGCTTCCTTGCCCATTGCCCCCCTCCACAAAAAACTGGCCGTGATGTAATAAGAAAGATCTAATTCACAAAGCACCTGGCACTCCAGAGGGTAATGTCTACAAAGCCACGTGAGCAGCCAGCATACCCCAAAAGACATGTAAATAAGCCTCTTTATGCAAAGAAGATGCATTAGAGCACACTGGAGTCAGCCTGCCTGTGCCTGAACCCCAGCCCCAATACTCACCAAGGAAGCTGGTATTTGTAGGAGAGAGATTAAGTACCAGCCTGCCTGTGCCTGAATCCCAGCCCCACCACTCACTAAGGAAGTTGAGTCACCTCCTTAAGCTTGCTAAGCCATGGTTTCCTCATCAGGAAAACTGAGATGGTAACTGCACATACCTCACTGGGTTGCTGTGAGGGTTAAACACGTTAATAAAAAGTGTTGAGCAGCCTCTGGCACATAAACAAGCTCTCAGTAAGGGTCAGCTCTCACTGCCTGCTGTTGCAACTATGTTAGTTGTATGTCTTCAGAGAACAGAGAAAAGTGCAAGCTTTCTGCTTATTTTTGCAAACACTAGCAGAAATCTGACACCAAAACCTGACAAGAAAGAAAATTACAGAGAAATCTTGTTTATGACTATAGATACAAATATACTAAATAAAATCTTAGCAAGTTGAACCCAGCCAGATATTTAAAGAATGATACACAATAGCCAAATAGAAGGTGAAACTTTTAAGATATAATTGACCTTTTTTATAGGTCAAAAAAGAGAAGACTAAAAACTTAGCATGTCAATATTTTAAGCACTAATAGTTAATGAAAAAGAAAGTTGTAATCTCAGCAACCCAATTGATCAAAAACTTCAGATTTAACTGAACTGGATTGGGCCTCCTTCAGAACAAATAATCTCAGAACAAATACTTACAAAGTAGACTTACATTAGGTTGTATTGCACAGATAAGAGAATCCAAACAGGTTCATTTGAAGGAAAAGATTCCGGTCATAAAAAAATTAAAACATATCTAATTGGTCAGATCAGTAATTTGGGAAGTTTCTGCTGTAATAAACCAAAGTTACTGATTAAAAAAGGGGGGGACCTGTCTGTTTTAGGTCTGGTTAGAAACAGACCCTGAGATGAGAATTTATGAGTAAAATATGTTCAAATATGTCCCCAGGGAGACCAGTAAGGGAGTAGAGGCAGCAGCAGGATCTCTATTTACCCCAACACCTGGAACCTTCCGGGAGGCAGAGCTCTTTTCCTGTGCATTCCCCAGGGACAGGGCGACCATGTGACCCACCTTTGGGTTTCTGGGTCTCTGGTTTCTAGGTGGTCAGTGAGTGTCAACGGAATTCTCACATCTCTTGTCAGAGGAGAGCTTGGCTGCATTTAGAAAGACTAAGCTTTTATAATGAAGATGCCCGGGCAAGGAGGCACCCTGAGATTACACATTTCCCAACTGTGATTGTCAAGAGAGTGATATTCTTAAGATGAGGGTTAGCAGCTCCTCTCCTGCAGCTGACTGTACCGTGAGGTCTCCTGGGCCACTCCCACCCTCTCAAATACAGCCCCACCTCTCCTGCCTGACGGTTTTCTCTGCTTAACCCCAGAGAGCAGCCACCTCATTTTTTTTTCCCTTTAGAGAATTGCATTCTGCCTTTTGAGGGGAGTCACTGCAAACAGAACAGAGCTCTCTATTCAAAGGCCATGGGCTTTGCAAGATCCTTCTTTAACCCTCCCAGAGGAAAACTGATACCTTGGAGAAGACCTCTCAATACACAGCTCTAACCACCTTGCCAATCGGCAGGAACCCATCAGAGGCTGCCACTGTCTCACACAGACATTCCCCTTGGATGAAGGCAAATCTTCATCTGGGAGAAGTGTGTGCATAGTGTGCAAAACACAGGCTCAGTGTCCAGACAAGCTGGGCTCAAATCCCAGCTATGATATTTCCTGGCTGCACCGTCCTGGGGCTGAGAAATCTTTCTGGAGCCCCAGTTTCCTCATTTTTATAATGGCTCATTGTGAGGCTATAGTAGGTGACTGTAATTACCGTGACTATCACTCAGCTTCACAGGTAGACCTGTACCCTCACCACCCTAAGCCCTTCTAAGTGGCTCATGCATGTTGGCAGCCATGGCTACAAACAGGCTCCTCCAATGCTAAATAACTCACCTTTTCCCCAACCCACCCTGGGCCCTGAGCCACACTCTGATGGACCATGTACATCTGTTCCTGAGACTCTGAGAGCTCCCTGAAAGCAGAGATGACCTCGTTATGTCCTCATCTGGAGGCCAAAGCTTCCAGATGGCCTGTGTGGTTGGAGGCCTGTATTTAATCTCCTCAAATGCTATAGCCCGTGAACTGCTGCTCTGTATTCTGTATTTTGTCTTAGTGAGGACCAGAAAGAAGAGTGAGTGAAAAAGAGAAGTGTGGCTGAGTCACTGAGAAGCCAGAAGTCACCTTGTCTGTGAGGTGGTCACAGGTTGTCGCAGACCCCACTGATGTTCCTCCAGATCCCCTGCCCTGTGTCTCCACCTGCTGACACCTGCATTTTTTCACCTGAGGACTTTTTCTTGTCATAAAACTGCTCTGCCCCTGCAAACAACAGGCCAGAAGTGTCAAGATCTTAATGCCTTCAGGAGCAGCCCTCAATCAACAGCTGCTGGGAGCAGGTGGATAAAGGCCCCAGACTCCTCACCACGCAGGCAGAAGAACCCCAAGGAGCTTGCTCTGTGGACCCAGGGTTCCCCAGTGGGAGTAAGCCCAGCTGCCCATAGTTGTGGCTGGCTTGACACTCTGTCCTTTTCTCCTGTTTTCTTTTCTCTGTCTCACTTCCTAATATATCCCCCTATCTTCACCTCCCAAACAAACTACAGGTACTTTACACTTGAATTCTTATCTCAGGGTTTGCTTCTGGGGATACCTAAATAAGACATGAGTGTTACTTGGGGTTATTTTAAAGAGCCCATAGCAGAGATTATTTCAAGCCCATAGGATTACAGCTCACACTCCAGCCCTATCAAGGGCCTGCAAACTTGGGCTACTGCAGAAACCCACGTGGACAAAGGACTGCTCTGGCAGGAAAGAGATTCTGGCTTTGAATGAGGGGTCCAGGGAGGAATATGCAGGCATGGCCTTGGTCCACTGTCTGTCACCCCTGAAGGCACAGACATAGGCTGCTCCTCAGTGATGAGTTCCAGCACCAACAGACTTAACTCACTTTTCAGGCCTGATCCCATACAGCAAGATGCAATCACCAGGTGGGGGAAGCATTTCTCCATTTCTGATTCCTGATGGTTTCCCTTTTCTGGGAGATAAGGAATTAGCATTTTTCTCCAAACCCCTACATTGTTTACTAGTTTTTAACACTACTTAAAAATTACTGGTGTAATATAAAACAATAATTGAAAGAGTGCTCATAAAGTACAGAGAAAGATAGATATACCCATCTTCTATCCATTTATTTGCCCACCATCCATTAGTTTATTCAACAAAGATTGAGATCCTACCACACATCCAGGCACTGCTGCAGTTACTAGGTATGAATCAATGAATAAAAAGTCATTCCAGGCTGGGTGTGGTGGCTCACTCTGTAATCCCCAGCACTTTGGGAGGCTGAGGTGGGTGGATCACTTGAGCTCAGGAGTTCAAGACCAGCCTGGGCAACATGGCAAAACCCCCATCTCTACAGAAAATACAAAAATTAGCCAGGTGTGGTGGTGCATGCCTGTATTCCCAACTACTCCGGAGGCTGGGAGGATCGCTTGAGCCTGGGAGGTGGAGGTTGCAGTGAGCCAAGATCATGTCACTGCACTCTATCCTGGGCAACAGAGTGAGACCTTGTCTCAAAAAAGTCATTGCATATTATATGTAGAAACCTAACCTAATTCCGGTAGGAGGACTAAGACAACCAGCAACAAACAAATAGTATGTCCGGCTAGGTGCAGTGGCTCACACCTGTCATCCCAGCACTTTGGGAGGCCAAGGAGGGAGGATCACTTGAGGCCAGGAATTCGAGACCAGCCTAGCCAACATGGTGAAACCCCATCTCTACTAAAAAGACAAAAAATTAGCTGAGCATGGTAGCATGCACCTATAATCCCAGCTACTTGGGAGGTTGAGGAGGAGAATTGCTTGAACCAGGGAGGCGGAGGTTGCAGTGAGCCAAGATCATGCCACTGCACTCCAGTCTGGGTGACAGAGGGAGACTCTGTTTCAAGAAAACAAAACAAAAAAATAGTATGCCAGATGGTCATAGGTTCTATAGAGAAAAGCAAGATAAAGAGGACAGATAGGGTGTTTGGAGTAGTAGGATATTTCTAATCAGGTGACATTTAAGCACAGACAAGAAGGAAATGGGGAGTGGGCTATGTGCCTATTTAAGGGAAGAGCCAGTGTCAACGCCCTGAGGCAGGGATAAGCTTAGTGTGTTTCAAGGAACAGAAGGAGGCCACTGAGGCTACAAGGAAGAAAGTGACAGGACACATGTTCAGAGAGGCAGCAACGGGGTCAGATCTTCTAGGGCCTTAGAGGTATTATAAAAAACTAAGCTTTACAATGAGATGAGAAGCCACTGGAGACTTCTGAGCAAAGGAGTGTAAGAGGAGGAGTGTAAGAGGTAAAGGTGGAAGCACGGAAACCAATTATGAAGAAGGCTATTGCCAATCAATAATGAGGCAAAAGACGATGGTGACTTGGACCAAGATGGAACCAATGGTGATGGTGAGAACTGGCTGGATTATGAGATACTCTGTAGGATCAGCCAACAGGGTGTTTGAGAAATAGATGTGGTGTATGAGAGAAAAGGGAGAGCCAAGAAGGATGGAGTTACTGTTTCCTACAAATGGAACAGGTGTCAGGAGGATCAGGAACTCATTTTGGACATCTTAAGTGTGAGAAATGTGTTAGACAGCAAGTGGAGAGGCCAAACAGGCAATTTGGTACCCAACGCTGGAGTTCAGGAGTGAGCTCTGGGCTGGAGGGGAAAATTTGGGAGTTGTCAGCATGTCCATGATATGAAGTTATGAGACTTGACCAGTTCATCCAGGGAATGCGTATACACAGAAGAAAAGCATTCTCAGGACCGCACCCTGAGGCTCTCCAATGTTGAAAGGTTGGCAAGATAAGGAGACCCCAACAAAGGAAGCAGAAAAGGAGTGGCGAGTGAGAAGAATTGGGGTGAGGAGTGTACCACAGCACAGGAGAAGAAAAGTATCCCCAGAAGAAGGGAGTGCAGAAGACTTGAACAGGCTAAAATAAGTGTCCCAATGGCTGAGGGGCACGTGAAAACGTGTTTATTAGTCATATGGGAGATGCAGCTCTAAATCACAAAGAAACACAATTACACACCAGAATGGCTAAAATAAAAATGACTGACAATACTGAATATACAAGGATGGGGACCAACTCAAACTCTTATACATTGCTGGTGAGGGTGTAAAAGGCAGAACCACTTTGAAAAGCTATTTGGCAGTTTCTAATAAAGCTAAACAGTGACCCTTTGAGCCAGCACCTACACTCACTAGCATTTACTCAATAAATGAAAAAAAACATGCACACGAAAACTGGTATAAAAATGTTCTTAGTATCCTTATTCACAAAAGATAAAACCAGAAACAACTTCAATGTCCATCATCAGGATAATGGAGAAAACATATTGTGGCATATTCATATGATGGAAAACGGGATCTCTTCCTTACACCTTATACAAAAATTAATTCAAGATAGATTAAAAACTTAGATGTTAGACCTAAAACCATAAAAACCCTAGAAGAAAACCTAGGCAATATCATTCAGGACATAGGCATAGGCAAGGACTTCATGTCTAAAACACCAAAAGCAATGGCAACAAAAGCCAAAATTGACAAATGGGATCTAATTAAACTAAAGAGCTTCTGCACAGCAAAGGAAACTACCATCAGAGTGAACAGGCAACCTACAAAATGGGAGAAAATTTTTGCAATCTACCCATCTGACAAAGGGCTAATATCCAGAATCTACAAAGAACTTAAACAAATGTACAAGAAAAAAAACAAACAATGCCATCCAAAAGTGGGCAAAGGATATGAACAGACACTTCTCAAAAGAAGACATTTATGCAGCCAAAAGACACATGAAAAAATGCTCATCATCACTGGCCATCAGAGAAATGCAAATCAAAACCACAATAAGATATCATCTCACACCAGTTAGAATGGCAATCATTAAAAAGTCAGGAAACCACAGATGCTGGAGAGGATGTGGAGAAATAGGAATGCTTTTACACTGTTGGTGGGACTGTCAACTAGTTCAACCATTGTGGAAGACAGTGTGGTGATTCCTCAAGGATCTAGAACTAGAAACACCATTTGACCCAGCCATCCCATTATTGGGTGTATACCCAAAGGATTATAAATCATGCTGCTATAAAGAACATGCACACGTATGTTTATTGCAGCACTATTTCCAACAGCAAAAACTTGGAACCAACCCAAATGTCCATCAATAATAGACTAGATTAAGAAAATGTGGCACATATACACCATGGAATACTATGTAGCCATAAAAAGGGATGAGTTCATGTCCTTTGCAGGGACATGGATGAAGCTGGAAACCATCATTCTGAGCAAACTATCACAAGGATAGAAAACCAAACACCCCATGTTCTCACTCATAGGTGGGAATTGAACAATGAGAACACTTGGACACAAGAAGGGGAACATCACACATGGGGGCCTGTCGTGGGGTTGGGGGCAAGGGGAGGGACAGCATTAGGAGAAATATCTAATGTAAATGATGAGTTAATGGGTGCAGCAAACCAACATGGCACATGTATACCTATGTAACAAACCTGCACGTTGTGCACATGTACCCTAGAACTTAAAGTATAATAATAATAATAATAATAATAATAATAATAATAATAATAATAACAGAAGTAGTCGTTATTTGTACTAATAGATGCTGACGGGTCCAGAAAGAAGACTGAAAAATGACTACTGGATTTAGCCAGGTGTAGGTCATGACTGTCCTGTACATTACCTGTTGGTAATACAGCAAGTCTGAGTACAATCGAGTCTCTAGCCACTCTCTGGCCCAGCGAACCTTTTCTCTTTTTCTTTAGTTGTATACAGACATATTCTCTTTGTCTCAGTCTTAGGCCATGGCAGCCTCTGAGTGACTTTCTCATCTCTAAGAAGGGACCTCCCTGACCATTTTGAGATTTTCCTCTGAGGCCCTGGATATCTCGCCCTGGTTTCAATTTTTCATTTTCATACAGATACCCAACGATCTTGTTAAAATGCATATCCTGACCCCGGAGGGCTGCGGCCTGAGATTCTGCATTTCTAACACACTCCCAGGTGACGTCACCATGCTGGTTCATGGACCATATTCGAGTAGCAAGGGTATAAATGACATGATTACACTTCCAAATAACACAAAAAGACCAAGAAAATAAAAGAGGGAATGCCTCAAGAATAAATAGAATTGTGCTGTGGCTACCACATTAACAGAAATATCATGTTTAGACTCGGGACAATAATAACTATGCTGGGCTGGTTGAATTGCAGTTCAAGCCTGGGTTCTATTTTAAAAAGGAAGATGCCAAACTAGAGACAGCACAGGGAGTGATAAACAGAACAGTGAAGAAGGGCCTGGAAATTATATATACCAAATGGTCTGAAGGACAGGGGTTCTGGAACTTGGTCTTTATTGCATGGATTGACCTAGTATGGAGCTGTGGCACCTCTGTTGAAGGACAGAAATCCAAACACATTGACAACATCGTTGAAATGGCTTCATTTTGTGAAAATAAGAAATACACGTCAGTGAAGATAGATAAGGCGGACAGATAAAGATCATCTTATAATTGAGCAGGATCTGACAAATACTGAAGGGAGTAGACTCACTGGGCAGTCCTTCCCCAGTTCTGCTACGTATCTCAGGGATACACACTCACAAACTACCTCTCTCAGGTCTCTGCCCTGCTGACTCTGCTGGTGCTTCCCAATGGCCACTCTTCCCTTCCTCCCAATAAACACAACTCTGACTCTGTCTAGAGTAGCAATGTGCCCAGCTGAGAAAATTCATTTGCCACCCCACCTTGTGGCATGGTGCTGGCCAATGAGATATATGTGGAAAATGTCAAGTGGAGCTTTAGGAAAGCTCTTTAAAAGGAGGCAGACCTTTTGCCCTTTGTCCTTCTCCTTCTTGCTTGGAATGCAGCTGTAGTGTTGGAAGCGGAAACCAAAAAGCACCATCAGGGAAAGCCCAGCCTTGGAGTATGGAGATGAAAACCCCTATGAAGACAGGCTGAGAGGAAAGACAGAAGGAATGGGGTTCCTGTGGGTACCACACAGGTGCATACTAGCCCTGAAATGCCCATTTCTTATTTTATTATTACCAAAGAAAAATAAAAGTCTCACAAGGATCAGCTGCTAAAAAAGGTGGCTTTTCTGTTACATGCAGCCCAACATATTCCTAACTGATTTTAAACACAGACTTGCTTGGGAGAGCAGGACAGGCTCACTAGTTATGCTCAGGTGCCTGAGTTACAACAATGCCAGAGGCCACCACACATCACAGGCAGAGCATGGGGGCAGTGGAAGCCCAGACTGTCTGTAAGCCTGGCCTCAAAAGGATGAAATGACAGCCCTGGCAAGCTGGATGGTGACGGACTGTAGCCGTACATTCACATTCTCTGTTAAATTCCACGGGCATCTGTATATGTCAATTCCCCAATTCAGATGCTGGTAGAAACATCCCATGTGCAACTGACACAGAATATCATACAAACACCTCAAGAGTTCAAAGACTTTTGTCAATATGCTTGTAATATATCCTTCAGAACAAGAAGGAAACCAGTTGAAGGTAAACCGACTGTAGCAAACAATTTCAATGCCCCACCCAATGCTCCTTGGACTCCCTTTACATGCACACTGTGGCTTCAGTCTTCGTTTGGCTCCAAGAGCCAGAACCGTGGGTCTTCTTCTGCCCTTAAGCTATTGAAGCCCCACTGTCTACACTTCACCCCTGGGTGGAAAGTGCCTAGGACCACTTTCTACCACTTATTCCTCCCTAAGTGGCCCTTAACCAATGACTGGTGTTTACGGGAGAACAAAACTCAGCTTCCTAAGCTGGAGATGGAACAGTACCTTGGCGTAACTCACACCTCTGATCCCCCTTGCAGCATCAGGCTGAGGCCACGCTCTGAGGGACCCTGCCTGAGTTTCAGTCCTGCCCTGTCCTGCGTCTCTCCACTCCCTACCTGTCTTCCCCCGGAAACACATCCTTTATGAACCACTTGCATGTGAGCCCTCATCTCAGGATCTGCTCAGGGAAACCCAGACTAGGACACTGAAGTTCTCGATTTTTGAAAATTTTATTTTATTCGCCTTAGCTTAGTAGTCTTTCATGGCTTTCTTTTCAAGAGATGCTGTGCTGCTTTAGGAAGATTTAAAATCCAAGACTCCCCCCTTTCCCCTTAAAAGAGGAAATTATTAAATTGCTGTTTTGCAGTTAGTTAGAAAAAAAGAAATCTAGAGGTTTAACACATGTTTTCTAAATTCCCCCCACAGATTCACTCAAGTCTTGCGGCTCTGGGAAACGTCCTTCTTAATTGATCCTTGTCGTAACTACAGCTCTGTTGACATTTCTAAAGCAAAACATAGCCTTCCTTCCAAACGCAGTGAATACACAAATGAAGCTTTTCATATACGTGAAAGCTGAGCCCCGCGGCGGAATACTGAAGCCGCCTTGTGATTTGAAATGGACATCTGCGTTTCTCCACCACTTCCTCACTGCCGACTGCCGCAGGAAGCGCCCAGCCTGTCTCCCAGGCAGTTTCACTCAAGGCTGGGCTCTCCCTGATGCAAGGGCCACAGGTAATCCAGGTGAGGAAATACAAACACAGGCTGGGGGTGCCTGCTCCCCGCCACCTTCTCTTGTCCTCTCAAGGAGGAAGGGAAGGGCCTGCAGAAGCAACTGAGAAACACTGAAGGGTCTCTGAGGAATGCCGAGTTTCCATCTGATAAGCGGATGGGGAAGACCAACAAAGCAAGATAAAGAGCTTGCTGTTGTGTTAGAGCCTCGAGTGGGCTTCCAGCCAGGTGAGGCTTTTCTACCTGGCGTTATACAGGAAGTTCAAGGTAAAGTCACCAGGGGGCTTGGGGCACTGGATTAAAGACAGGAAGGGGGCGGAAAAGACTTATTATTTTCTAAGTATCGGCATCCACCCTCAGGGCTCTCTTACCAGGGCAAGCAGCAAGTTCATTCATCATCTTAATGGCCAGGCCAAGATGACTATAAACATCTAAGGGTTGAATTTTACTTGAGGCTACTATTAACTTGACAAGAGACACCAGAGAAAGCAGAACACAATGAAAATCAGTCCCTGCGCTGAATGAAAGCGGCAGTGAAGGAAGGCTGTAATCTGTCCCAGCACTGAGGGATGAGGCTCACTTCTGCCTAAGAACCATTCTGTTGCTCAATGCTTGGTTTCCCGGCTGTAACACAATTTGCTTTGTTCTCCTGCCCAGATGCAGTTTCTGTATGGAACCTTCTGTCTAAAAACAGGCCAAAGCACTCCCTCAAATAAAGGTATACAAACACATAAATGTTTAAGTCCTTCCTGCTCTATCCAGATTAGCAAGTGGATCTGTTTTATCACCTGGTGCCATCTTGAGCGGTTTGCCTTGAAAGTGAAGAGAGAACCACTCCTGAAAGAAAGGGACCACCCTTTCTGTGGTAAAGGTAGATATAATCTGAAGAATCACTTGATAAGAAAAACAAACTTACAAGCCCTCGATGCCTTCTGTCATAAAAAATTAGCCACTGAAAGCCTTGAAAGTTGACCTGGTGCTTTACTGCCTCCAAACCCCAACTTGGAAGACCAGTTTAATTTGGAACTCAAATTATACTCCTTAGAAACAGCAAAAATGAGCTTCCCTTCGAACATCATCACCCCTCCCACAATACCCTCCCATGGAGGAAATAAGGACCTAGGGCCTATCCATCTATCTCAGTCTCTCAAGGAGATCAGAGACAATGCAACATCTTATTAGCCAAATTCAGTGACTTATGGCCAACCGATGCCAGGTACGAAGCACATTCCTCACGAGCTTACAGTGCTCTGTGCGCTAGAGCATGATCAGGAGTAGAGGATCTGGGTTCTCCCTGCTGAGTTCACAATCACCCCTCTTCCTCACTTGTCTTTCTTCCAGCAGTCCCAACACTGAGTCTCTGACCTTCCTGGCCTGTCAGCACTGTTTCTTTGTTCTTCCTCTAAGATGTCTCTAGCCTCTGTTCTTCGTTCTCTGTTCTCTCAGTCAAGACCTCACTTACTGCCTACCTGATAAAAAGTCTGAATCCCATACCGCACTCCTCCAGCCCTTTGGGCCAGATGCCTCCCTGCCCAGTCTGAAAGAGTCAGGACCTAGCCCCCTGCCATTGTTTTTGGAGGGCATTATTCTCCTCATTATCTAAACTTCGCTATTATGTATTACGTGCATCACATATTTGAACAATTATATATCTTGGTTTTAAAAAGTCAATATCCCTAAACCAAAAACTCCAATACTTAAGCAAATGGTAAGTAAATGGAAAAAAAAAATCAACAAGCATTATTTTAAAAAAATCAGGAGTCACAAAAGCCAACACAGACATTTATTGAACTGACCTATATTTACTGCTTCACATTAATTTTCATATAATTTTATTTTCTTAAGTACAAGCAACTCATTAAATTAAAAAATGTTCAGTTTAACACTGTCTCTATTTTTTTTTACAGTATGTAGACACACACACACACACACACACACACACACACTCTCTCTCTCTCTCAATCCTTCATTAAGACAATGACTGATAATTTTTGGCTTAAAAGGAAGAGTTATCACCCCCTGACATACATTCTATGTTTTATATTCTTGCCTTATTTTCCTCTTCCCCCTCAGCATTTAATCTTGGTCTGAAGTAGGTGATCAGTATATCTCTTCTGAGTAAATGAATGAGCTATAAAGTATAAGCTCATGTGTGGCAGAGTCGGGACTACCATGGTAGTACCCATCATATACAAGTGGGACTGTACATGATGGTGTAGGACTCATTTAATCCTTGGCACAATCCCACTTTATAGAGAAAGAAACTGAGGCACAGAGAGAAGACCCTTGAGCCAAGGCCACACTGGCCACAAGAAACAGAGTTGGAATCTCAACTCTGCATCTGCTGGTCACCAAAGCTACACTTTCCCTCTATTTCACACTGGTTGCCTGTTATTTTACTTCTAGCAGCTTCTAAAATTCAAACTCCAGTTTAGCTGCTTCTTGCAATCACTGTGAAGTACAAATATTCCAGCCAGCAAATAGTTTTCAAAACATCATGAGTTCTAAAAATTCCATGGACACTACATTCCGGTTGACCCTCTCCACTCCTCTCCTTCCCCAGACACTCGGACACTTGAAGCCCCAAACTCTCATCTCTTTGACTAATTTATCTGTTGCCAAGGGGAGAACATGAAACACAGTAAGGCTGCAGACAGACTAGTTCTACCAGAAATGCAGATCCGGACTAGAACATACGGAAAACAGCCAGGCTGGAGGTCACAGGCTGGTGGCCTGCAGGCTGGAGGTGGTCACTGGACATGTTTTGTTTGGCTCATACGATGTTCAGAAAACATTTTAATTAGCTGCCAAAGTCATAAGATCTCTCGGTTTTATTAGAAAATAGAGTGTGCTGGGCCTCACTCCCACCTGGCAACCACTGAATGCTGCTGTGAGCCTGCTGCCCTGTGGGTGAAGCTGGAACCCTCCATCTTCCCACTGTCTTCACTGCTTCCTCCTGCCCCACCCTGGTCCTCTTCACCCACATACCACACCTGCCTCACCCAACTCCTGCACACTGTGAGGTGTATGCTACTAGATCTTGTATAAGAACCTCAGCGAGGCTCTATCAGACCAACCCACAACTTCTAGGAGTCTAGAAAGTGAGGTGCTCAGGTTAGAGATACTTCTAATCCTGTGGGCCTCTCTGGCAGAGGCTGGTGAGCCCTGACCACATTACTTGCACTCTCAGGGTGCTCCAGCCCACTTCCAGCTGCCAGGGGCTATATTACGGCATCTCTGCACCCAAGAGCATTTTTCCAAAACCATGTAGGTCTCTCCTGCCATGCATATGGGAGGGCAGGAGTACTGGAGAATATAAATAGCCCCAGGAGACCTCAATTCTTGACACTTGGGGAAAGGAGTATAAAACCCCCAGCTCCCTTACTCTTCCTAGTGTTGCCCTGCAGGAATAAGCCCCATTGCCCACTGTAGTAGTTGGTTTAACAGCTCACTTTTCATTCACTGCCTCCTGCCTATATAACTTCACCTCCCTACCATTGTTTCACCTCCCTACTATATCACTTCAACCCCCTACCATTATTTCTTGCATCTCCCAAATAAAGAAATTTCCCTGAATTCCTCGCCATCTGGGAGACCCAAACCAAGAGAGCATCTCACACTGTGTGTAAGAGTCGGGCCAGGGTGCCTGCCCTGCTTGTTCTCCCTTCTCTCCTAGCATGGCCTCCTCTATCACTCTGTGGCAAGCTGTTGCATCCTGTTTGCACCCAAAAGTCAGCTGGGAGCCCTCATGCACCTGGCTTGAAGCTTATCCTTTCATGTCCAGGTCTGTTTCCATGCATGCCATAACAGTCAATACCATGAAGATGTACACATAACCCCAGCCCCTTGAGTTTTTCTCCCTGCCTATCCCTGGTCACATGAGGCATGCATGAGTGCAGAAATCCAGAATGGGCTAAAAACAAAACAGAATGAGGTGGGGAGGGGAGATTTCTTAGAACCTATGAGTGGTAAAGTCCTGACAGGCCTGTAACAGCAGGCATCAGATTTCTAAAATGTCCTGACATCTCCCTGCCACCAGAAATGTTACTGGCCCTTTGTTCAACATGGGCAGCCTCTTTCCATCCTACCGGGTTCTCTCCTGCCCCTCCTCCTTTGCTCTCTTCTACCCTCTCATCCCTGCTCCAACCTAGGTTCCTCCTTCACCAGCCAAATAAACTGACTCATTCCACCCACCCTAGCTCTGCAATGTAGGAATCAGCTGACATCAGATCCTTTGGAGGCTCATCCATGTACCTTAAGCACTTATCCAAGGATTCTGTCCAACATGGCACTAGCCACTGTGGTAATGACTTGCTTCACCTTGTCATATCTGTGCTTCAAACAACGTTTCAGCACCTCTGTAGAGCAGCTGGCACCTTGTGCTTTAATTGCTTACTGACATGCCTTTGGCCCCAATAGGCCATGAGCTCCCTGGGAGCAGGGACTAGATCTTTGTGTCTCCTTGTGGCTGGAACAGTCCCTAGCATTTAGCAGGCATTCAACAACTGCTGTCCAAACAAATTCATGGCTGTTTGACAAAGGCAAGAAGAGCCAAAGTCCTTTGTGCCAAACGGCTCCAGGGCAAAAAATTAAAATGAGGCTTTACCTTGACTCCAGGGCCATAGAGCTGTACATCTCCAGGGACACCACTCACATTATATTCTGTGGAGGTGTCGTTTACATGGAACCCAGTGTGAATGGTGACCCTGGTGTGATGCAGTGGTTATCTATTCTTCCTTATGCTCCTTTTTAACCATGCAGCACCCCCCGGCCCCAGGAGCTCCCTCTCACTGCTCCCACAGGGCACCCCAGGAATTGTCACTCTGTAGTGAGGCTTTGCTGGTTCCTTGCCCGGCAGGCAACACGGTGCACTGGGCCTGCCCCTGAGGAAACCCAGTTGCTGGCCATAATACCCTGTGCTCTGGCTGGACAGCACACGCCAGCCAGCAGAGTAGCCACCAACAAATTAAGCCCTCTTTTATAATGTGTTTTCAAGTTAGCTTTATTTAGGAGAGAAAAAAGCCAGCAGATGGTCATCCATGTGTACCCCATGTTTTTATAAGCAGCCTTCCCTCAAAGGAAAAAATAATCCAGAATAAATCTATGAAAGTAGTTTTGCATTAGAAGACAGAAAAATCCATTGCAGGGGATATTTTGTATTCAGTCTTAGAAGCTAATACATAACTAATGGACTGTGTGATGACAGAGAAGATAGGTAACCTTGGAGGCCTGGGCCTTGAGTCTCTGTAACTTTGCACAAAATGAATAATCATCCATCCACCTACCCGCCCACCCATCCACCCAGCCAGCCATCCACTCACCCATCCACTCATCCACCCAGCCAGCCATCCACTCACACACCCATCCACCCAGCCAGTCATCCACTCACCTGCCCATCCACCCACATACCCACTCATCCACCCAGCCAGCCATCCCCACTCACCTATCCACATAACTATCCACCCACTCATCCACCCAGTCACCCAGCCAGTCATCTACCTACCTACCTATCTAACCATTCAGCCACCCACCCACCCATCCATCCATCCATCCATCTATTCTGTGGACAGATCCTGTGCAGCCAGGTGAGGAGCCTGCACACGGGCTCCCTAAGCTGAGATTTAAGGACATAGTAGTTCATTAAACAAAAATGGGGGGTGGGGGTGATTCCTGGGTAAAGGCAGCTTTGGTATTAAGTGGCGACTGATTCAAGTGAGTATGTGGGGGCATGGTGAGCCAGGGGTCTGGGGAGAAAGGCAGGCAGGCAGGACCAGGCTCAGGACGGCCTCTCATGAGGAGCTGAGGAGTCTGAACTCCTTCCTGAAGAAAGTGAAGCAGAGGAGTCACAATGTCAACTTTCTTCTCAAATTGTTATTGGTATAACTGAGATTATGGGATTATTTTTATTAATCTTTTAAATTATGCATTTACCATGGCAATACTTTTTTTTACATTTGCTTACTATTGTAAATATTTATAAAAATTGTTTTGCTTCATTCTATGCTTATTTGGCTGTGGCACACTTTTTATTCAACTACTTTTGTATTCTTGAGTAGTTTATCAGTAAATAACTACTTTTCAGGAAGCTCTCATGGTTACTATAGCAGATGTGGCTAGCACCTCGCTCACATTCCCCAGAACCAGCCACAGTTCTGGTCACCTGAAGCCATGCCCCTCCAGGTCAAAGGCTTCCCACATCTTTCTGCCTGAGTTGCTTCCTGGCCCCAGGCAGTGTGGACCTACTTAGAGAAGGCTGGAAGTGCCAGAGAGTTCATGCCCAGGGAATGGTTCTCCATGATGAATGACAGGAGCTGGGGGATCGGTCCTCCAGCAGCTTCCTCATCCTGGAGTGAAGTGGATGTGAGGTTTGTTACACACAGTCTCTTGGAGGGTCTGAGGAAGACAAGCCCAAGGTGCCTACGGCAGTAACCTGCTTATAAATGCACGCCTTCCTGTCTTTCCTCTCTTTCCTGTCTAAACTCAACACTGAGATCGCCCACCCCCAAATAAACTACCTGTACCTGTATCATTGTATCAGGGTATGCTTTTGGGGAAATCCAAACTGGAAGAGGTAATAGCCTATGAATTCTCATATATCTGAGTATATCTTTATTTTGACGTCACAATGGAGGGCAAGTTGGCTGTGTGTTGAATTTAAAATTCACAATGGAATATACTGTTCTAATTTTGGACATTAATGTTACAGAAAAGTCTGTAGAAACTGGTTTCTTTGTTTTCTGCTAAGTGTTAATAGTATCATTTTCATATCCTTAAAATTAAAAATTTCATGAAGCTATTTGTAGACATTAAAATGTTTTAAATATTTTTGCCTGGTGTCTGCTGCACCCATTTCAGGAAATGGAGATCCTCCTTTGCTGTCTAAGGAATGGCTTCTGTTCCAATTATTCTGGAACCATTTTCTCTTTGCTGTTTTCCAGTTTCTACCTTCCACAATATAGTCCTCATGTCATCCTTTTTTATTGCTTTGTTCTTTTTCTCTGAATTCTCAGAGCCTCTCAAAAACACCTCCGCATCATTAAATCAATTTTCTGTTCTGCTGATTCTGCTCTTTCCTGACTATAACATATTTTAATTCTGCCACTGATTTCCTGGTTTCATTGTAACATTTCTTTATCCCATCCATAACATTTATTTTTGCTTGCCTCCCAGTCCATTCCATTTTCATACAGTCTATTGTTCTACTGTCTGATCTTCCACTTTGTTCATTTTTTTTGACTTTCATCAAAAAGTAGATGCTCTGTAAAATTTACTTTTGTTTTCTATTAATAATCTTTTTAAAACTTATGCTTTCCCTCTGTATCTTAGTCATGCTTTTCTTAGTTTACCCATTAGAATATTTCACAGGCCCATGTTGGTCCTGTTAGGCCTGTGGGTTGTTAAGCAGGTTGGGGGGGCTCTCCTGGTGCCCCTCACTAGCCACTGGGTCCTGTCAGAATCCTACCCGGTGCTGGGTGATGCCATTTACATCCGCTGTTTATCAACCTTGCAGCGTGGCTGGAGTCCTGGAAGGGTAGTTTCTGTTTCTTTTCCCTTCCTTTTCCTGCCACCCTGAGGGTCGTCTTGCCCATCTGCGTTTCTGGCTGGCCCTGCCTCCACAGCAGCTACAAGATACCTCCCTGCTCCATCACCACTCTGGAGCTAACACTCACCACGTCCCGAAGAGCCTGATGCTTTGTCAAGTTTCTGTCGAACTGAAACCTAGGGTTCCTTGTGACAAAGGTTTCAAAGGTTGCTGGAATTCAATGGCAAAGAGATCAAAATGATGTGCTCCCATTTTTCCCATGGCCAGCTACAGTGGCCAATGGCTTGTACCTGTGGCCTTCCCAGGCACATTGTCTTTGACTTCCTAGAGCCTCCTTGTCCAGCATGCTTGGGAGGCTACTCACCACGCCTGCGTCCCTCCAGTGGCCAATGACGATACAGGGGTAGAAAATGATGCTGTCCCCAGCAGCTTCAAGGGGGGACAATTCTGCAGAGTGATTTATGCTCCAGGGCTTCCCCACCTCTTCCCAGCCCATAAATCAGACCAAGGCTAGCTTTGACCCGACAGCACATCCCTCCCAGCCCATCCCCTGCCCCTCCCTGCTCCCTCGCCCCTCTTCTCCTGAGAGTGCTCCTCCAATAATTCACACACATTGTGCCTCATGCAGTGAAGAGGGGATGCGGACGAGATGCAAAAAGTCCCTGGTGTATAGTAGGTGGTCAAAAATGTGACTTCACACCCTCTGAAAAGTTATAGAGCTAAGGATATGATCATTTACTGGTACTAATCTCCATAAAAGACATTTCTCACAATTTTACTTAATATAGAAACTGGGAATAACCTAAATACAGAATAAGAGGAATTTTTAAGGTAAATCCACAGTATATCCATATGGTAGAATATTATGCAATCTCCAAGCTAAAAAGAAAAGCATGGTAAAGGGGGAGCAAAGCAAGATACAGGAGGCTAGTGAGTTTATAAAATAGTAAGACTAAGTCCTATATACTGACAGAGTGGGGTCAGCTCTGAGCTTTCTAGCAGCCAATAAAGAGAATGAAGCCTAGTCAGTCACAAGGTAAAAACAAGCCAAAATTCTCAGGCAAAGGGACAGCTATTTCTAAGTCTGGAAATAGCTTAAATGAGGCTGGAAGGAAATTTCTCGCATGGGTCCTGAGTGAGAGAAATCTGTGTAATGTAATGAGCCAGTTGCCAATTACATCTTTTCAGTTACCACAGAGATGAGTTCCACAGATCAAATCCCCAAGGAAGCCCCTTTCCCCCACCTACCAACCCACCCTGCACAGGGAGATGGCATCACAGCACATGCGATTCTGTAAAAGATACTGTGTGTGTGGCCAGCGATACTTGAACCATACAGATACTTGGTTCTCTCTTGACTGGGCTTAATCCAGCGGTAATTTTTAGAATATAGAAAGTGGATGGAAAGCACACCCCTCCTGCAGTCCTTGATTGCTTTTGTGGCCTCCCTCAACCCTGGAGCTCCTAAAAGCTATGAAGCAGCAGGGAATCTGAGATGACTTCTTGGAAAGTTTTGGAGTGCCTCTACTGTTGGTGGCTCTGAGCATTTCAGCTGTCCCCTAAGCTGGGCAGGCTTGGCACAAACCTGTCAACACTATTGAGGCCACAGAATATGTGCCTGAACAAACGCCGTTGACCTGCTCAATGTATGCCCAGTGCTCATCGGTGGGCAGAGTGAAGGTTTTCCACAGAAAGTGATTTTGGTTCCATTTTAACATAAAGAACAAGGCAACCCCGTTCAATGCTGTAAATATTAAAAAGCTGCAAGCAGTCCCAGCTGAACAGCTATCAGCAGTTAGAGCAACACTGGGTAGAGCAGAGTCGACTTTTGTCCACTTGTTCCCCCTTGTTGTCTGCAGGGAAGCCTGTTCACTTCCTCTGAGAGGTGGTACACTCGGGATGATTATGGGTAGGGGAGAATACCAGCACTGTACCTTTGAGTCATGCTATATAAACTTCACTTCATTCAAATTAATTTACTCTAAAAAAACTCACTCAATTTGTGGAAATAATTTAACTACCTCAATTCACTCAAATATGTTAGGAAGGCCAGGGGCGGTGGGTCACACCTGTAATCCCAGCACTTTGGGAGGCTGAGGCAGGCGGATCACTTGAGGTCAGGATTTCCAGACCAGCCTGGCCAACATGGCAAAACCCTGTCTCTACCAAAAAATACAAAAATTAGCCAGGTGCACACCTGTAGTCCCAGCTACTCGGGAGGATGAGGTGGGAGGATCACTTGAACTCAGGAGGTGGAGGTTGCAGTGAGCCAAGATTGTGGCACTGCACTCCAGCCTGGGTGACAGAGCGAGACTTGTCTCAAAAAATAAATAAATAAATAATCCAAAGCACAGGCCAAAGCAGTGACCCTCTACTAGAAACATCAAGTACATCATACATAATAACTAACACGACAAGCAGTGATCTGCCCTTACTTTCACAACTACTGACCTAAAACTGGAATTCTCTAGAACATGTGTGTGCTGGAGACAGCAACTGTATCATCTCCAAGAAGGGGCCAGATGTAAAACCATAGGGAGAGGATTCCACAAGAGAGAAGGGATGGGAGACTACATAAATACAGACACTTCTCTGGCACTCTGTGGGCATTTACGGCTGCTTCTTTGGCTATACCAACATGTTTTCTAAGCCCAGGAAGAAAAAAGTTCTAATCATTCTAAATGATAGTCCACAGAAAGGATTAGTGCTTGTAGAATCATTGCCTATTCCAGGCAATAATGAAAGTCAGCAAGCGCACCAGATGGAACAACTGCTCTTTTTACAGGGATGCCCTCCTTACCTTCTGCCACATGTTGATGAAGAAGAGCTCCCGGGAAACATTGAAGGACACGTTGGCATCATAGGCATCATCTCCGAGGTTGGAGATAGAGATGTTTAGGGAGATGTTCTTCACAGCCCCCAAAGCTAGATACAGGGTTTTCTCATCCATACTGTAACGAAAAATAGACAGCAATGAATGCCCTGAGGCCTACACTAATATAACATGAGGCACAGGGGGTAGTTGAAGGTGGGGGGCAGAAACCGAGATCAGAACTACAAGTTCCAGGAGCCCCATTAACTAGCCATGTGTCCTTGGGCAATCAGTTAGCTCTAGGGCCTCAGCTTCCTCATGTAAAGCACAGGGTTCTACCTTGCCTAACTCACTAGACTGTTTAGAGGCTCACATGAAATCTTGTACATCAAACTTCAAAAACTATAAGGCACTTAACAACCTAAGCGTGGGATTCATTTGTACATGAATTCATGCGGTTATTTCTGAGTGCCTACCATGTGCCAGCCACTACTCCGTGCTAGGGAAGTAGCAGCAAAGAAAACAGAGTCCTGGTAGCTTCAGGGAGAGAGAAAACACACATAGAAAGAAGCAAATATGTCTGTCAGATTGTGGTAAGAACTGTGGAGAAAACTTACAAAGGGTAAGGAAGATAGAACATGCCAGACTTACAAGGGAGGTGGGGTGCAATTTACAATAAGGTGATCAGGGAAGTCTCACTGATGAGGTGACTTCTCAGTACAAACCCGAAGAAAGAAGGGGAGCAAGAAACACGGTATGTGGGGACTAGCAAAGGAGAAGTCCTGAGGTGGGCGTGTGCCTGGCATGTGCAGGTAACAGCAAGGAGGTCAGTGCAGCTGGAGAGGAGTGATAAAGAGAGCAGGAAGGATTGAGCTCAGAGGGACTGAGGGAGTTGGGGCAGCAGATCCCACAGGGCCTTGAGGGCCAGCACAGGGACCTTGGTTTGACCCTCGGAAGCCCCTTCAGGGCTCTGAGCAGAGGAGC
The DNA here is from genome assembly GCF_000001405.40 of Homo sapiens. NCBI lineage: Eukaryota > Metazoa > Chordata > Mammalia > Primates > Hominidae > Homo > Homo sapiens. The sequence continues at coordinate 252,858 of NW_025791771.1, read as the reverse complement.
AGCGTGACTTGACGTTAGTGTTTAAAGGAGGCTCGCATTGGCTATGATGTGAACGGTCTGTGGAGTGGCCAGGAGAGGAACAGGGGGCCTGAGTAGGAGGCTCTTGTGACAATCCAGGTGTGAGAAGATGAACGTGAAGGCCAGGGTGATGGCAGCTGAGGGGGTGAGAAGGGGTCATATTCTGGACACATTTCAAAGGTCATGCCAACAGATTTTTCTCATGGACTGGATGAAGGGTGTTAGGAAAAGAGGAGTCAAGGACTGCTTCAAGGATTTTGGATTCAATAACTAGAAGAGAAAAGTTGTCATTTATTGAGATGGGAAAGACTGGGTTGAGAAGGTTCAGCAGAGAAAATCCAAATGCCTATTGGGTTTTAAAGGAGATTTTGAGGCAGGTGGATGCATGAGTCTGGAGTTGAAGGAGGGGTCTGGGCTAGGATACATTTGGGACAGACTAGAAACGATCACTAGGAAATGAGTATAGATAGAAATGAGGACTCACATTTAGGAGTTGAAGATGAGGAGGTGTCAGCCAACAAGACTGGAAAAGCATGGCTAGAGAAGGAAGAGGAAAATCGAGAGAGGAGTCATCCACATGGTCACAGAGGACAGTCTCAAGAAAGGAAGGATCAATTTTGTCCAATATGGCAGACAGGCCAGAACAATGGGAATAATTAGAACTGGCCATTGGAATCAGCCTTCTGGAGGTCACTGGTGACCTTGATAAGAACTGCTGAAGTGGCACGATGGGAGGAAAGCCTAACTGGAGAGAGTTTCAGAGATGTAGGAGGAGAACAAATGGAAGCAATGAGGACAGACAACTATTTGGAGGAGTTTTTCTCTAAAGGAGAACAGAGAAATTGGATGGTAGCTGGTGGGGGAAGTGGGCTCCAGGGAGTTTTTTTGCTCTTTTTTATTAAGATGGGAATTATCATAGCATATTTGCAAGCTAATGGGAATGATCCATTAGAGAGGCAACAATTAATGAAAACACGACAGGCAACAATTGCTGGGGTCTGATGAATGACTGTTCTCGCCTGGCTGGAGGTGAGCTGAAGATGCATTAGTAGATGGGTGGTAGGAACATGCGGGAATTCCTCTGTGATTGCTTCTATTTTGTAGTGAAATAGAAGTAGGGTGAAAGACTGGGAGTTGGAGGAGAAAGAGGTGAACGTTTGAGAGGTGAGGAGATGGAGGGAAATGGGGGCCCAGGACAGGGGTGAGTGAACGGGGCTAGGATGAGAACGGTGATAAGGCTGAGGCTGAAGATGACAAGGATGAAGATGCATGAGAGACTGATGATTATTGTGTGATGCGACCTTTGAACAAAATAAATCCATGTGAGTGGCCAGTTTTAATCGGATAACCAGTTAATGGAAGACGTAATTAAGGATATAAGGGTTTGTATAATGAACAGTTGTTATTTTTGGCCACTCAGCATCCTGACATCCTCGTGTTTTGGGGGAATCTCAAGATAGGTGGGGCGGCACATCAGCAGAAAGGGGGCAGACCCTCTCTTTCCCCTCTTCTTGATCACTAGGGTGTGGGCACTTGCCTAAGTGAAATCATGTGATCTAAGGGTGATCAAGTGGCAGCGATGTGAGAACAGATGCTCCCACCCAGGGCTACAAATTTTGAGGGTTGCACAGAGACACCAGGGATCATCTGAAGTAGCTACAGAGGAGTAAAGGGCCCAGAGGTGGAACCCTGGACTAAGACTTGCCTCCTCTGTTTCCTGCCTGTGTTGGTTCCCCAGCCTTCTTGTCTATGCTCTGAACCACCCCACATCCTTTTAATAAATTCCTTTTCTGCTTAAATTAACCAGCATACGTTTTTCTTGTTTGCAACCATTAATACAGCTAATACACCATGCAAAAGAAGAGAACTCTTCAAAATCTCCATAGGCAAAAATACTTTGAAATACTAATTTCTGGGGGGGTGGAATCCTCATTACCCATCCGTGAAGAGAGGACCTCACTCTCCTGCATGTCTGGCACATCAACAAGAATAACATGTGCAATGAGAAATATGATGGCCTTGCTTTGGAAGCACGGGCTCTGAGGATCCAAACAAGATGTGAAAAATTAACTTAAGAGCTGCAAATTCTTGAACGGCCTCCAATAAATTAAGACCCTGATCTCAAGCTATTGTGGCAATTATTTATTATTGTTGGCCATTTTAATCTTAAACAGTGGATAGGTTATTTCTGTTCTTCTGTTTGCTTTTGGAAGATTAAAAGAATAAACCTCAGGCTTGAGTTATGAGAGAGTGCTAACCTAGCTTTATCTTGAGAAGGAAGTGGACAGGCATTCATAAGTAGTCCTGACATCAGACAGTGTCCAAGGTTTCCATGGAATATTTGGCAGGGAGACAGTATAGATGAGCCCAGGACCATGGAGGAGGGGCTGCCTCCTCATTCCAGTTTAGTTGTTCATGTGATCAGCTTCCTTTCCTTATATGTAAAGGGTAAGGGATCAGGCCAGGGACATCTAAACTTCTGCCAATCCCCAAACCTTGGGCCTCTGTCACTTAATCACACAGCAAAGTCATTCCTGGGATTTCAAAGTCAAGTGATTCAAACAAGGCTCTGTGATTAAGGGAAGCAGCCAGGCAACTTCCAGGGCAGAATGTGAACTCAGATTTTTTTTAGAGGAGTCTCAAAGCTGGGGTTTCATTCTTTCTCCAAAGCTAAAAAAGTCTTTGACTAAAACAGCACATCTCTGCTTCCAAAGTTATTTTTAGAAATGAAATGAAAATGTGATGTGCCAGCATGATATTGGGTGTTGTCAAATATGTCATCCTTCTGAAACCTCACAACACTGAGAAAGGGTCTTGATATTAGGCCCATATTAGAGAGATGAGGAAATTGAGATGAAGAGAGAGAAGACGCTGTGCTGGTATGAGAACCCAGCAACTCCTATCCCTTCAAAACTCATTCCTCTCCAACATAACCCACATTCTCCAGCCCCCTGACTATCATGTCCCCAGGGGATCCTTCCTGATCTCCCTGCCTAGGTGAAATAAATCCTCCCATTATGAGCCCCCCACCCCCCATGTGCCCCATCAACCCTTCATGGCACTTATCGAAGTTGTGGTTATGCATTTGTTTGTGGGGCTTTTTGGTTGAGGACTGTCTATCCCCTACTAGAATCTAAACATCAGGGGTAGGACCCTTCTCTGGCTTTGCTTATCGTTGAACTCCTAGTGACAGAGTAGTGCCTGGCACATAATTTCTCAGGGAATAAAATTCCTTGAATATCAGAAAGATTCTTCTTCAATAAATAACTAAGCACCGTGGAATGTTCAGCATAAAAACCCCGTGCCTGATTGTTTTCATCTTTCAGCAGGACTGTCAGAGAGGTTGGTCTCTCCTAGCAGGTGTTCAGTGAACACTTGAATGAATGAACATCCATGACATCCCCACAACAGATCATCAGCTCCCCCTTCACATTTTACAGATGAAGAAGTTGAGCCCCAGAAAGGGGAACCCACCCAACTGAGGTCACCCGGCCATGCAGGGTCTGAGTTGCAACTAGCAGCACACCTCCTTTGGCATGAAGGTTGTCCCAGCCATGGCTCTAATATCAACTCCATCTCAGTCGGGAAGGGCTTTGGCAAGAAAGTTTACAAACACCTGAAAGGAACAGGACTCCACAAAGACCAACCTCTCTGACAGTCCTGCTGAAATAGTAAAACGATCAAGCATAGAGTTTTTGTGCTAAACATTCCAGGGGTGCTTATTTATTGAGGAACAGTGTTTCTAATCTTCAAGAAATTTTATTCCCTGAGAAATTTCCCTTTTTATTTTAATTTGCTTGTGCAGTCTTTTAAGTGGGTTATATTACTTTGTACATGGATCTCTTTGCTGTGCTTTTATATGAAAATCATTATTAGTAGTCAACATAAGATACAAAGTGTACTGCTTCTATAAAGCTTATCTTACAGCATATATATAGCCTGCTGAAAATATATTGCTCATTTGTTATTAAAAATCCTACCCAAGTATATCTTATAGCAGCTGGCTTTTTTTTGACTGCGTTATTGGGTTTGTACTTAAGTTTAGCACCAATTCATTCACTATACTCAATGGAAGATGTTACTGATGACATCTTGGCAGCTGTGTCAAGCCAGAAAATCTCTGTAGAACTTGTTTTCTGTCCTCATTCATCACTGTACATTAGGATTACCATTCAAAGTTCCTTGTTGGGTAAATGCAATACATTTCCATATCAACCACATATGCTGAATCACTAAGGCAACTAAAGCAAAAATTTCCTCTTCTATCCAGATAATTTTTTGGATGGTGCTTAATAATATTCTGTTGGATCACTTAGATTTTCCTTAAGTCTTAGACATAAAAACCATGACCTTTTCTTTTGCTGCCATCATAAATCTAGCCTGAGTAAAGGCTAGCACAAGTGTTAATCAAATGCATCCAACTATATTTGCATTAAAAAAATTCTCATTACACCATCATTATTATTATCGGTATTGTATCTACCAACCACAACTATATTTAACAATGATGACTAGGATAATAGTATAGGGCAGCCAAGTCTGTCCATCCGTCCATCCTTCACTCCTTCCTTCTTTCTCTTAGTTGTTTATCCATCTGTTACTTTTTAAAAACTATTTTTTCCCACTTCATGACTATTAGGATGGCAACTATCAAAAAAACAGAAGACAAGAATTGTCAAGAATGTGGAGAAATTGAAACCCTTGTGCACTGTTGGTAGGAACGTAAAATCGAGTGGCTGCTTGGAAAACAATATGAACATTTCTCAAAATAATTAAACATAGAATTGTCATATAACCCAAAAATTATACTTTTGGGTTTATTACCCAATGAACTGAAAGCAGGAACTCAAAGAGACATTTGTTCCCCCATGTTCATAGCAGCACTATTCACAGTAGCCAAGGGTAGACACAACCCAAAGTGTCCATGGACAGACAAGTGGATAAACCAGATGTACTACACATACAATCCCCAGTTTTCTCAATCATGGAAATCATACCAAAAAGGACATTGTGAAGCAGATTTTATTCTTCCTAGGAGCAATATCATAACTAGGGGCAGCATGCCCTCAGTAAGGATTCAGCTTCCAAAAAAATCACAGATACTCTCAACAATGTATCATAAAATCAATGATGCAAATCATACATGTAAATAGCCCCTGCAATGTGAAATCACAAACAATGCTTCCCATTCTTAAAAAGGGCAGACATCATAAAATCAGACATGGAATTTGACAGCTGGAAGGGGGCCCATTTGGGTCACCATTTTGCAGATAAAGGCAGACAGTTAAATGACTTCCCCAAGGCCACTCAGCAGACAAGGGCAGAGCTCTAACCCCTGGTCCAGTCAGTGCTCCTTTGCCTTTCCCATTGCTCCTAAAGCATATAAAAATGCAACTAAATAGTATCAATGTATATGAAACATACTTGGCTATAAGATTATAAATAAAATTGTGTTTATTTCCTTAGCATTTAGAATATTTTAGAATACTGGGAGAATATTTAGAACATAAGGTGTCATCTCTTTACAAATGCTACTGAGGTGCTTAACTTTTCTCTTGACAATTTTCTTTGAAATTTGTGGAGGCATTTGAGATGACTCTAGATGTCTTTAGCCACTCTCATGGGCAACCTTCTTTCTGGGTACTTTGTTGACAACTATCAAAGCTTTTCAATTTTCAGAGTTTAAAATTACAAACATGAGTAAACCATAAAACCAAAATTGCTCATCTGTTGTCTTTCTATGAGAGATATGAGCAAAAAATACCAAATAAATTGATTATAACATGAAGAATTAAGAGACGGTGTTAATTAAGCTACAGGGAATAAGTGAGGACTGTCAGGCACCTCCTGAATGCATGCTGGTAAATGAATTACCCAGGAAATAAACCATGAAGTTGATAAGACCTGCCAAAGGAACAGGTGAAGATCAAGGGGCAAGAGAAACTCAGGGAAAAGATATCACTGTTGACTGAAGTTATTACATGAAGCTTCCAGAGACAGGTAGCAATTGAGCCACATCTGAAAGAATGATCCTAAAACTCACTTGCTTGTAAAATGCTCTGCCTATTGATGGGCAGAAAAACAGGGAGTACATTCCAGCCAGAGAGAAAAATAAACATGATCAGAGGATGAAGGTGGGCAGAAATAACATGGAAAGGGGCAGGAGAAGGACACTCTTAGCAGAAAGATTAGCGAGAGGCAAGTAGATATGTGTAGGGCACATCCAGATTCCCTTAGGTCTTGAAGACAAAGATTTGATGTTGATCTTCTAGGCCCATGAATTTAACCAAGTTTTCTTGAGTGACCAACTTAAGATACATTATTGCAAGTAATTTGACAATAATAAAACACCAAAGTGAAGATATTAAAAAATGTAGTCAGCTATAAGTGGTTCCACCTGGGGTCTTATCACTGTGTAACCTGCACAGACTGCAGTTCTATCTAGTCAGTATCCCCATCTCTTTGTCAGAGGGCTTTTTTCTGCAGGCCAGGAAAGTGCCTAAGAATTAAGCCTCTGACATGCTCTGCAGCAACCCTCAATGACTGATGGGAACTGCTGTATAATTACCCCAGCTCCCTTGCCTATTGAGTGGGACAACTCTGAAGTTCATGTGCTAGACCAGAGCTGCCCCATATGGTTGCTACAGATAACATGTGGCATTTGAGCGCTTAAAATGTGGCTGGTCTGAATTAAGTTTAACATACACATGAGTTTTCAAAGACAGCAGATACTCAAAGATGTAAAAATCTCCACAGTTGTTTTAATATTGATTACATGCTCAAATAATTACTTTTGGGATATACTGCATTAAATTTGTTTCACCAGTTTTACTTTACTTACGATATAATATGGTTGATTTGTGATAAATCTTTAATGATACATACTTGCTTATGTTACTGCTTGTGAAGTAGACGTCCAGGGGAAATAAATTTGGGTAAAAATGAAAGTAAATAGTTTTGGGCCGGGCGTGATGACTCATGCCTGTAATCCCAGCACTTTGGGAGGCCAAGGCGGGTGGATCATGAGATCAAGAGATTGAGACCATCCTGGCCAACATGGTGAAACCCTGTCTCTACTAAAAATACAAAAATCAGCTGGGTGTGGTGGTGCACACCTGTAGTCCCAGCTACTTAGGAGGCTGAGGCAGGAGAATGGCTGGAACCCGGGAGGCAGAAATTGCAGTGAGCCGAGATCACACCACTGCACTCCAGTCTGGCAAAAGAGCAAGATTCCATCTCAAAAAAAAAAAAAAAAAAAGTAGTTTTTAAAAATTGATCATATTTAGCTCCTACAACTCACTTGCTTATAAAATGCTTTAGTGAATATTGTGAAATGCTGAAAAAAAAAGCGTAACATATGTGTGCTTTTCTTTCTCACCAAGTAATTTTGAGTTTCACCAAAATCTGATGTCCAAAGTTGTATGTTGTGCAAATGAGCCTCATTCATTACCTGTGATGTGGTGGGAGAAAAAAGTAGCAAGCCACACAGATCTAGGGAATAAAGAATGTCAGTGCAGGCGCCCCCAGATGCAGAGCTGGAGACAGGTTTGAAAGCAAGTTGTTTATTCCAGAGGTGGTTCCATAAAACACCAGTAGGGAAGGGGTAGAGTGAAACACAGAAGGACAGGCAACCAGCAAAGGCAGCAACATCAAGCCAGTCAGCTCCCTGAGCACCTGGAACTTAATCTTGCTGGGGAGCTCTGGGAAACTGTGCAACACATGAGCAGAACAGAGTTATCCCATTTGTGGGATGAGGGAATATTTACGTGTCCACTCTAGTCAGTCATTGGTTGAGGGCTACTGCAAAGGCGGGGGGCTGCACATCTACTCCCAGTACCTCTGGCAAGATACTTGGTAGGCAGAAAAGGCAAAGAGATATAGTTACTAGTAGCTGCATACCAGCATAGCACATAAATATAAAAGGGATGCAGCCAGCACTGATCATTCCTGCTACAGGATCCTATGTCAGCTTTCTGAATAGGAGAATGGTCCAGTGAGTGAGGCCTGTCACTGGCAGGAGACCAGATCAGTTAATCTGAATATCTCTGAATTACAGGGGCCCAAGCTCCTTCTGGAAAGGACCCAAGGCTCTGGACAAACCCTACCCAACCCTTGGGATCCACATTCTGTTCACTTTCCTTCTTGCGTAACTGTCACAAGGAGACATCCCAGGTGCCATAGCCTCAATTTCTACTGATGTGGTTCAAGTCCCAGGCCTCACAGTCCAGCCAAATGTGGGTGTGGGTGACCAAAGACACCCCTGGCCCCAGACTGACCATCAGTGGGTTGCACCAGGGGAGCTGTACCAGTTCTCTATGACTGGCAACTGTTCTTAAAGGTAGGTGTGCTCATGCTGTGCAGGTTCTTAACTATTTTGAACATTGCCCCTGCCATAAACTGGTATAACTTAAAGGAAACACACAAGATACCACCCTTGTTGAATCTGAGGGGTGTATATTTCTGAATTTCCCCAGTGCAATTCACTTTGGGTAGACTCACTAGGGACCAACTGAAGAAGATATACATGTCAGCAAGCACAAGTTCATGAGCCTCTGTCTATAGGGCATGCACTCCTGTAAGAGGCTGCTCTCAGCTTCCCCACCTAGGAAGGCAGCTGCTATTGCATTTCCAAGGTACAACAGCATTCAGGCTATTTTGTCCCAGAATGTTGGTATGGTGTTTACTCCTCAGCCTCTGCTCACCTCTGTGGGCTGGGAGCTTTTACAGTTAAGTCTACTGCCATATCTGAGAGTTATTCCAAAGTCCCCTGGATTTGTCACAGAAGAATTTGCATTCAAAGTGCCAGTCTGGGGGCCTCTCCTTCATGACACAGGTAACTGTTCTTTAATAATCTACGCCAAATAATATAAAAGCCCATTCTCAAAACCACAACATTTCTATGTCTCCTAAGAATAATGCCGCCAACATCAGCCTTTAGTGGTACAATGCCAGGGTAAATGCCTTCATGAAATCTGTAAACAAACAGTATTATGAAGGCTAAGGCCATGTCCTAGAAAGCAAATAATAAAAACTATCTCTGTAATGGAGCTAGAAAAATACACTCATTTCATGAATATGTATTATGAGATCAAAATTTAGAGACTCACGGATTTTCAAAGCTTCAAGGGATCTCAGAATTCATTACAGACCAACCTCCTCCCCATTTTGCAAAGACATTGAGGACTAAATAAGGTAGACAACTTAATAACTTATTTAGTAACTAGTGGCAGTACCAGGATTCAAACCCACTATGTATTAGTCAGAGTCCAGAGAGGAAAGCAGAACCCATGCCAGGTAGTTCATAGAAGGGATTAAAATGGGGAACCAGGTACAAAGGTGTGAAAAGAACCAGAAGAGCAAACAAGGTAAGATAAGGAAAAGCTGAGATCAGAAGCAACTGCTGACACCCTTAGAGTTGGAGGGACTGAGGGAGGAGGTGTTGTGATTGTGACTGGGACTGGGACTGCCAAGAGGGAGCTAAGACGGTGGAGGAGAAGTAGCTACTGCCAGAGATGCTGCTTAAAGTGAGTGGAGTTAAGGAGAAACACCCTGACTTTTCTCCTCCTCCCTTTCTCCAATCTCACACCAGTGATGCCACTGGCTGAACTTCCCAAGAAGCTTATCTGCAAGGGAGCCTGGGAAATGTTTTTTTGAGTCTCACAGGGGAAAGGTGGGGAATGGATTGATGTGTCATGTTTTCAGATTCTCAGTCCATTACTCTCAGCTTGGAATAGGTTGTAGTTGGAGCTCACTGTCATGTGTGAGAACTCTGGACAAGGAAAGCCTAAAGTGCAACGAGGTACTAAAATGGAGTCGGTTTTCATGCAATGAAAGCTCCGAGATTTCTCTTTCCTACAGGGATAGGAAACTGTTTCTGTCTTGCTGTCCCATTTTAGTTAGTGACTGCCTATTGTTTTCGATTCCTGCAGATTTCAGTGAAACATGGAATTATTTAGAATATGAATATCAATTTTCACTGCTGTGAAAATCATTAAAATTTCCTGATTTAGAAGATTCTAGAGATTGTGGCAAATATTTAGGGATTTATTTTACTAACCAAGAAAGGTATTGCTCTATTTTTTGTTGTAAAAAAAAAAATCACCAAGAAATACTAAAAAAGAATATTGTACCCAAAAAGGTTCAATTCTAAATATATTAGAGAAAATCTAATTTTATTTTATATTTTAATCTATTCTAGAATAATAAAAATTGGTATTTCTGTCCAACTACTAGTCTTGTCCTGTGGTTATCCTGCAACTTGCCCCAGATAAACATAGGTAATCCCCTGTGGTTTACAGCCTCAGCCCTAAACCACCTGCTCTAGCCCATTGGATGCTCCTCATCCCAACAAGCTCAACATCCCCTATGATACGCTTTCTTCTGTTCAAAGCTTACCACCTTATCTGACCCTGTCCTCCTTCTCAGGTGTGCCTATCCCGCCTGTATTAGCCTGTTCTCATACTGCTAATAAAGATATACTTGAGACTGGGTAATTTATAAAGGAAAGAGGTTTAATTGACTCACAGTTCCACATGGCTGGGGAGGCCTCACAACCATGGCGGAAGGTGAATGAGAAGCAAAGTCACGTCTTACATGGTGGCAGGCAAGAGAGTGTGTGCAGGGGAACTCCCCTTTATAAAACCATCAGATCTCGTGAGACTTATTCACTATTACAAGAACAACACAGGAAAGACCCGCCCCCATGATTTATTTACCTCCCACCGGGTTCCTGCCACAACATGTGGGAATTACGGGAGCTACAATTCAAGACGAGATTTAGGTGGGGACACAGCCAAACCATATCACTGCCCTACCTTGGCACCACTCAGCTTCTTCTCCAGCAGTCCTGCCCTAGTTTCTCTAAATACACAACCTAGTAGTCTGGCCCAGCTCCAGCTGAACCCTGGGTTGATACCCTTATACAGCTTGTCCCAGACTTCCACTAGCATCTATCTGGATACTTGTCTGCATTCAAATACACTTGAAAAAAATCCAAACAGCAACATTAATTAAGTTCTGCTTTTGTTTTAAATCCATAACTGTACGTGGCTTTATGTTCATATTTATATATTCAAATACTGCATAAACCAATAATATTAAACAGAACATTCTATATGTATGTATACATGTTTTAACTTCCTCTGGGAGTGAGTTACTATGCCATGTAGTTTGAATTGTGCTTCCCCATCTCATCATGCTTTAGAAATCCCTTCTAATCAGGCAAAACAGATCCATATGGTTATTAACTCCAGAGAGAGATCATAGTGCACCCCTGTAACGCACCTCAATTAAAATTTACAGTGGGTCAGGGAAATCATTCCTGGGACTGAATTTCTGGTTTGAAAAACTCACTTATAGGAAGCCAGAAATACCTCCACCTCCCTCATAGGTACCCACCTGGGCCAGTTTTATGCTCAAAAAGTGAGAGAAAAAAGCATTTACTAAGATGATCTGAGCCAAAATAGTGGTTTCCCTAGCAACAACATTCAGATAATTAAGGTAAATATGTATTACTTTAAAAAAAATAGCACGTCCATGTCCCTGCCCAGCTGACTTTGGCCCCAGCCATGTAGTGGTAGAATCGATATTTGCTTCAAAGGCCATCCTCTTTCTAACAAGGCAAATAAGCCAGTCAGTGGGCCCCTCCCTGTCCCTCAAGGCAGCTCAGTCTCCCTCCTCCTGCCTCATCTGTTTAACTGTGAAAAGAACTGCTGGTTCCCAGCTAACAGAGGAATTCAAATCCTCATCAGCCTTGACTTTAGGAGTAGTTTCCGGAATCACTAAATCTTAGGACATCTGGAACAAATCAGGTTCACTCACTGTAACAACTGGATTAAAGACAAAGAATACTTTAGGGGGCAGAGGAATTCCCAAGATCTGCAGGCTGCTCGGAGGTCCAATGTCCTAAGACAGCCCCGGTGTGCAGCGATGTATGACTTGACCCGGCAAGGGCCCGCTGCTACGATCTGCCACATGTGTGCTGCCTGTTACACTTGGCCATTGCACAGAAAATGCAAGCAGTGTATGTGCATTTCATCAAAGCTAGCGGGGCAGACAGCTCAAGAAAGCCCAGGTTAGCAGGGCCATCATAGTCCCTTGACAAGTAATTCTGTCATGGCCATAACTTTTCTGTTTCTAGCTCAGGAACCAAATACGGCCATAAATAGTCACAAGCAATGGAATATATTGAAATTATGAATCTCCTAGATTTTGAATCTTTTCTCCTGGGAGGTGAGGTAGCCCTATGGGAAAGGGGAGAGCACAAATGTGTAGTTTAGCAATATGCTTTAAAAAAAACATATTAAATAAAAAGATCTGGAGGTAAATCTAATGCTATAACTCTGAAGGAGGGATGAATGTAAATGGTAGTTTGAAATATCTGCAATAACTCTAACTTGATTTGACAATACCTGTGATTTCTATTTGGGACAGAGTCACAGGTCCTGGTAATATTACTGTAGTCTGTTTCCTACATTCATAATTGAATATGATGTTAAATTTCAGTGTGAAGTTAGTGAAAACAAAATGCAATCATTTCCTTATCCGGGTTCACAGATCAGCAAGAGGACATAGACTCCAGGTTAAGAACACCTGTCCTATGGGAAGGTGAGTGGTAGGGACTGAGTTAATGACCCTAAGGGGAGGCTGTGATGGACAGAGGGAAGGAGGGATGGCAGGCTCAGCCTAGGACAGCAGGAGGAAAGGTGAGCATGGTGTTTCTGAAGGCATATAAGAAGACATTAGAAACTGTGGTTGACTTCATTCACCTCAATTCTACCACCTCAGGACTGACAAGGAGCCACCTTTAAGCCTGGCGGTTTAGATGAGAATTTTTTCCTTCTTGGCTTAGGAGGTGAAATTGTTCTTTAGCACCAGAAAAAAAAAAAAAAGTTTTAACATTTGTATTTCTTTTTTTTCTTGGAAAAAACACAACTGTTAACTGAAAGAACAGCATTTCTTCCAGTTCAAATCTCATTATCACAGAAAACTTTCTTAAAGGAGAGTCCAGTGCTCCTGGTGAGAAAGGCTTATGACTGTAACTGAACATCATCTGTCCCCTTATGCAGTAAGGACTGTACCTGTCTTCAGTTCCCCACCAGTAAGGACATTTTGTATGAAAGCCATTTCTCTCAAGGGAGCCCCCTTCCATTCCCTTGGGTCTGGAAAGTCCTCTTTAAAAACAAAGCCTCAGTGGAAGAGGTGTCCAGAGCAATCTCTAAAGACACAAAGTCCCCTGGACCAGCCTGAAGGGGTCTCCCACACATTACTCCACAAGTCTGGTTTTTAAATATAAAAATAACAAAATCCTCTGCAATTCCAAGAGGGCAAATAAAAAGCCAATGAGCAACTGTTTTTTTTTCTCTCCCACTAATGTCTGATAAATACATTGGATTTGATTTCCTTTTGAAACTTGGAATCCTAAAAAGCAATCAGCCTGCCCGGACAGGAGATCTAAGAGCAGATAAATAAAACATGAGGTTCTACCGCATCTCAGGATAGGCTCCCTTCCCTGGAAGCCAGAGCTTGTGGCAGAGATCCAGGGATCTGTTGGCGAGCCAGGGAACCAGGCTGGGGCAGGGACAGGGCAGGAGTGGACCAAGGCTGTGGGCACAGGGGGAATCTAGCCTCAACCAGACACCAAGGGGAGCTGTGCAGCATAAACTGCACCAGGGAGTTAATCCACACCCCAAATCAGCCAGCCATTGGCTAACAAGTCACCCTCCCAGGCAGGGCAAGGGTGACTTTCCAGACCAAAGGACGGGCCACTGTGAGCAGCTTGCAGCCAGCACAGCAGCTGGGAGCAGTGCACCTGCACAGCAAGGGATGTGGGTGTGACACCAATGGCAACCACCCAGCCTCGTCATTTTTGGATCAAGATCACCTGGAATGGAGTCAGGGAAGCAAGCTCATAAAATCTAGAGGTTCTCTACCTGGTACCTTCCCTCTCACTGCAATTTCAGCAAAATGATTTACGGACAGGTCACGTTAAACCCAAGTCTCACACGTGGCTCTGGAATGCAGTCAGGGAAACAAGCTCATAAAATCTAGAGGTTTTCTACAAGGTACCTTCCCTCTCACTGCAATTGCAGCAAACTGATTTATGGGCAGGTCATGTTAAACCCAGGTCTCACCGTGGCCAGTGACTACTGGGGACAAAGCGAAGCCACAGCTGCCTTTGGCTTTTCATCCGTGAAGAGCCACAGGGCAGCCTTCTTGTTCACCTGAGGTTATATCAGGTGGCTCAGAACAAACTTGGGAGGGGTGCTGATGAGAGGGTGTGTGCAGGACAACAAGAAAAGTATGTGTTGGGGAAGACTGAGTTCAGACAACAAACAACTGCGCTGCTTCAGAATTTGGCTTGGCCCACAGTAACAAGCCTGTGCCGGGATGGGTGAGTCTAGGATTATTGGCAAGGGACCAACACACACAGCCACACAGAATAAACTGCAAAAATCTTAGCAAGGAAACCACACATGGCTCCCTGTCTGCTCCAAGTTGAGAGAAGGGAGGGATTCGGGGCTACATTCTCTTCATAGATCCTTTCCTTGCGTCCAGTCACAAGGGAAATAGCCATGTCATTGTGCCTGCTGGAAAGATGCTTCCACATAAAACCTCCAATGGATGGCTATGTTTGGAAGCCAAGGAAAACACTGCCCAAAAAAATTTTATCAGGCACACCTGTGAGGTAGACTCAGCCTTCCCGGGTGTCTCAGGAGGAAGGCCGCTATGAGCACGTGGCCAGCCTCTTCTATGGTTGCCACAGTTACTGCCTCAGTGCCTTCACTGTCCCTCTGAGCATCCCCATCCTCTCACCATCTAGAAAGTCGAAGCTGGAAAATCTCAGCCAGTGTCTGCTCAGGAGGGAAGGGGCTGTCCCTGAAATATGGTATCTGTAGGGAGAGCTATCTGTTGCTCATGTATGGTGGGCCCTGAAAAGCTCCCCTCAGTGCTTTGAGTCTGCCCAACAGAGAAAAACGTCCTTGGGTGGCGGTCCCTACACTTGGAGCCTCGCATTCAGGAAACTGCAAATCAAATGCTTTCTGCAATAGGAGGAATTTCCAAAACTTGTTTCCACCTAAAGACAGGCCAGGTTCCCCAAGCTGCAATGGTTATTTAAAGTGAGGGCCCATGGGTCAAATTGCTAGAATATCAGGCTTTGGAGCCTCCCACCAGGTGTTTCTCCTGCCTCTGCTATTTAATTTTTTTGACCTCAGATAAGTGACTCTAATCCCTGTCTGTCAGCTTCCTATTCTGCACCAGAAATGCTCTGGCTCCAAGTACACACATAAAATCCCCCAACCTGGAAGAACTTGTGTGCTGGGCTTGTCTCTACCCCACATCAATGCCTGAGTTACTTTGTAAGACAATTGAGGGGCATCCCAGAGTCATGGGTTGTGCTTACGCCTGAGCTGCGCTGGAGCCAGGGCTCCTAAGAAACACAGAGTTCTGCTGCATGGCTAGGCTTGGCCCACGTCACTCCCAGGATGATGCAGGGCTCAGGGATCTTATCCTCTCTGCCTGTGGACGTGCTGTGGACACATCCCTTATCTGCCTTTGCTGCTGTCCTCAGCGAATGGGAACAAAACTTGGAGCCCTATACATGGTTCATAGGTTTGCTGTAAAGCCAAATGCCCTTCTGCATGTGTGCAATAATATATTGTTATGCTTGCTAGTGAAGGGGAAAAAAGGGTCCAGACGAATGCAATAGAGAATAGTTATCATAGTACTGGAGAATGTTGGGTGTTTGGCAAAACATGAAATGAAAGTATTCCTAGGAAGCTAATGGGAAGAAGCCTCCATGTCAAAAGGTGATATGATACTCCTGTTGGAATTTCAGAATAAATTCATCAACTGAGAGTCTTTAAGAAAGCGGGTACAGGAGATATCATCCATGTCCCTGCCATCCCCTCCCACACTCCCCACCCTGACCCCAATGCTTTTGCTGACTTTCAGCTGCCAGTGTCTGCATTTTTGTATCTAAGGGCCTTTTCCCATAGCTAGACAAGGATGCAAGTGCCAGGGAGCTAACTGTCCCCACCCACCTAACCCAGAGTAGCCCTCAACCAGTGAATCTCAGGAATTGGGGTACAAACACTCCAGCTCCTTCACTTCTCAGATATAGTCATTCCAAGAGGTACGTTTCCCTGCAGGACAAAGTGCCAATCATCCACTGTGGGAGCAGGGGATGATGCACTGATTGACAGCCTCTCTGGATCACACCCTTTGCCATGTGACTTTGCAGCTCCTCCCATCAGGAAGCAGAGTTTATTTCCATGCGACCCTGTGACATTTGCTTTGATCAACAGAATGTAGCAAAAGTGAGAATATATTTGCTCTGGAACTAGGCCTCATGAGGTCTAGTGCACTGCTGCTCTCCATTTTGGGCCCTGGCCACACTGTAAGAGTAATCCTGGGCTAGCCTGCTGGAGGAGGAGAGACCATGCGGAGGAACGCCAGCGAACCACAAACCAACAGCCAGGCACCCAACCAACCCGAGGTTGCCTGCAGATGCAAGAGGGGGCCCAAATGAGACCAGAAGACCCAAACAGCTGAGCCTAGCCTCAACAGCTGGCCACAGAATCAGGAGCTAAACAAATGGTGGCTGGTTTAAGTCATGGAGTTCTGGGGTGATTTGTTACAGCAGTAAGTAACTGATATACAAGTGCTATGGCACATCCTCACCGCAGGCTTCCCTGTGTACTTCCTTACTTCTTCATTTCCTGCACTGCTCACTCAATTATTTGCACTCAAATCCTTGTCTCATGGTCTGCTTCTAGGAGAACTCAACCTCAGACCATGTAGAGTGCTGCCTCCCTTGTGCTTCCGGGGAACTCCCTCATATTCCCATCGTGATCATGACTATAGTTAGTGATACCTGTTTTCATGTGTGTCTCCCCTTCTAGACTGGGAGCATTGTGATGCAGCATTATGTGTCTATTTCCACCAGGTCTGGCATACCCATAGCAAGTGCTCCATCCACATTTGTCAAACGAATGAACACCGTAGCATTGTGTCACCTCTCATCAGGTGAACAGAAGCTGGGCTCTCTGGAAGGGCATGTCACCCTTCGATGTCTTTCCCAGAGTGTGACTGTCCCTTACACTGCTCCTCACCTTCCCTGGGGCCTAAATCCCACCCTCCGCCAGGTAACTCCCACGGAAGACACCCACATGTCCATTCATCCTTGATGCGTGGCTGGGATGTGAGGAGAGGCATCTGCTGCCCCCTCCTAGAAAGCCCACATCAGGCTGGGCACGGTGGCTCACGCCTGTAATCCCAGCACTTTGGGAGGCCAAGGCAGGTGGATTGCTTGAGATCAGGATTTCGAGACCCGCCTGGCCAATATGGTGAAACCCCATCTCTACTAAAAAATATAAAAATTAGCTGGGCATGGTGGTGGGCGCCTATAATCCCAGCTACTCAGGAGGCTGAGTGAGGCAGGAGAATCACTGGAACCTGGGAGGTGGAAATTGTAGTGAGCCAAGATAGCGCCACTGTACTCCAGCCTGGGCAACAAAGTGAGACTTTTTCGGAAAAAAAAAGAAGGCCCACATCAGAGAAACGGCAAACACTTGTTCTGAGGAGGGCAAGGATGAGCAATCTGTCAACTCTTATTCAAAAAGTTCCATTTGGTTGAGCATTTTGCCTTTCTTTCAAGAATATACCATTGAGAAATCCATTCCTATAGCCAGAGATTCCAGAAACAGCAACCATTAAAGCCAGCTAGGCCAGGCACAGTGGCTCACACCTGTAATCCCAGCACTTTGGGAGGCCAAGGTGGGTGGATCACCTGAGGTCAGGAGTTCGAGACTAGCCTGGACAACATGGTGAAACCCCATCTCTACTAAAAAAATACAAAAATTAGCTGGGCATGATGGTGGGTACCTGTAATCCCAGCTACTCGGGAGGCTGAGGCAGGAGAATCGCTTGAACCCAGGCGGAGAAGGTTGCAGCGAGCTGAGATCACACCACTCTACTCCAGCCTGGGTGACAAGAGCAAAACTCCATCTAAAAAAAAAAAAAAAAAAAGCCAGCTACTCCAAATCAACAAACTTCTGCATTTTTTCTTCAGAGCTGGTGCAGACAATGAAGGGGAAAAAAATTACACGGCTAATGTTCTGACAACATTTTCCAGGTTTCTGATGAGTTCCTATTCACCTTCCCTCATATAATAACAATAATAGTGATGATATTACATTTTAGGAAACTGCTGGCATGCCAGCCGTAAGCTCACCATTGAATCTGAGGCTCTCCAAGGAGAGAAAATGCAACCTACATAGATAAAGAATGTGCTGACTCGGCCAGGCGCGGTGGTTCATGCCTGTAATCCCAACATTTTGGGAGGCCAAGATGGGAAGCTCGAGACCAGCCTGACCAACATGGAGAAACCCTGTCTTTACTAAAAATAGAAAATTAGCCAGGCATGGTGGTGCATGCCTGTAACACCAGCTACTCGGGAGGCTGAGGCAGGAGAATCGCTTGAGCCCGGGAGGTGGAGGTTATGGTGAGCTGAGATTGTGCCATTGCCAGCCTGGGCAACAAGAGCGAAACTCCGTCTAAAAAAAAAAAAAAAAAAAAAAGAATGTGCTGACTCAATGCAAGGACTGCCACTGACCCAGCAGGACAGATTGCTTGTGTCTCCAGGAGGAAAAGCTATTGAACAAGGCCTCCAGGTCAGACAGCACATGGGGAGAATGGAGGGGAGGGATGGCAGCTATCTTTGCTGGTGGATTTTTTGCCCATCTACCTCCTCTCTGGATTGGGGCTTTCAAAGAGAGGAAGACTTTTTACCCAAGGTCTCTAGCCTTAGTACCTCTGGTCTAGAGCCAGCTGATAGCTGAACCCAGAGACAACAGAAGCCAATGTACAGGAGGAGAGCGCGATGTAGAATCAGACATTCCAAGCTTTAACTTTCCCATACAACATGAGCCTTGAGCAAGTAACCTGGCCTTCCTGAGCCTCTGCACCGCCTCAGTAAAAAGAGTATAAGAATATTTATTCTCAGTGTTGTTGAGGATTAAATGAAATAATAATGCTAGTTTTCACTACTGAGTGTTTCCTTATATGCTAAGCACTTTTAGAAGCACTTGGATATGTATTAATTAATTAATATGCAAAATAACCTTATAAGGTGCTGCTGTTATTTTCCCCATTTCACAGAGGAGAAAACAGGCAGAGATGTTAAGCAACTTGCTCAAGGTTATGCAGCTGGTAAGATACTTCAGTGCTTTTATGTATATGGAGTATTCAGTGGGGTATCTAGTGCTTGGTCAGTGCTCACTAAACAAGGGTGTCTTTCCCTTCATAAAACAGGACAAACTTCACTTCTGACCTAGGCTGTGCAGTTGATGATTCTAACCATTCTGCCACTTTTGAGAAGGAGAACAATTTGTTTCAAACTCTAAATAGCTCTCTGGGTTTGGGGATCCTCCTCTGGAAGACTGGTTTTCATGGATGGAGCTCTCATCCCTCAGCTAGCCAACAGTTTTGGGAAATGCACTTCGCCCCACCACCCAACCCCCATGGTAACAGCACTATCAAGGTTACAACCATAGGACAATTATATGTTGCCACCAGATGATTCTGGCTTTACAGATATCCTGCTGTGTCTTTCCATCTCCCTTAAAAGTCCTTATTTTATCGGAGTTGGCTAGCCAGACAGCAATGAAATGTTCCACTGATTTCTGATGGAATGCATCAAAAAAAGAATTTTTTTAAAGCTCACTTGCCATAGTCTTTTTCTTTATCATATGTGATGCTTTCTTAGGTACTGTGAGTATTCAAAAAGACAAAACATAGTTGCATCCTTTTACAAATGGAATTTTCAGTCCTGCTTAATAGAAACTTTTAAACAAGTTTCATCCCTGTTCCTGGACGTTTTGACAATGGCCTGTTTTGGAACTGGACTCAAGCCCATTAAAGATCATGAACTTCTAATTGAAGAGTTGATTGTTTTAAGAGATCACAGGCCTGCCAGAATTCATGCTCTCCAGAGAGGAAAATAAAAACATCCATGAATCCTGGTCACAGACAGCATTTCCTATGGCTTGATCTCTGGCCACTCTGGGTGACACAATCACTCCCAGATGTCCTTCCCTCTGTCTTAAGACAAAGGCTCCTCAGTCTGGTGGGTATTCAGAGGCCTCCAGCCACAACACCATGGACCAACTGTCTACACAGTCATCAGAGAAATCTTTCTCTGTGACCCCTTTGCTTCGACTTTTCGTACAGTGAGTAAGGTCACGGCTAACAGGAGAGCTAAGTTCTAAAGACATCACGGAAAGCAAAAATTGTGTCCAAGTTGCCCTTGTGAAGCCCTGGGAGGGGGGCACCATGGTGGAAATCAGCACAACATCTCTCATAAGTCCAACCCTGAAAAGGCTGCTCCTGCACTGAGATGAAGGGCAGCTGCCCCACAGACCTACCCAAGGCAGGGAAGCAGGAACTGTTATGGTTGGAGAGAGGAGCAAACTCAAAACTCAAGCTGGAACGTACTTTCACTGAGAGGAATAGAGGGTAAAATGACCTATACCATCTCAATGTTCTCCTCTCCCTTCCCCACCCTGGCTCCTGGAGTGTGCCCAGCTGCATTATTATTATTATTTTTTTGCCCCCGGTCACCCAGGCTGGAGTGCAGTGGTGCCATCTCAGCTCATTGCAACCTCTGCTTCCCAGGCTCAAGTGATCCTCCCACCTCAGCCTCCCGAGTAGCTGGGACTAGAGGCGCTTGCTGCCACGCCTGGCTAATTTTTGTATGTTTTTTTAGAGACGGAGTTTTGACATGTTGCCCAGGCTAGTCTCAAACTCCTGAGCTCAAGCAATCCATCTGCCTCAGCCGCCCAAAGTGCTGGGATTACAGGCACAGCCACTGCGCCTGGCCCCCTGGCTGTATTCTTGTTAGGTTAAAAGCACTTACACTACAACTTGGCTGTACTCCCACTGGCTTCAAGATGAAGTCCAGACTCATAAGTGTTCCACAATCTGGTTTCTCTCCCTTTCTCCTTCCCTGTCTCTCACTGTGTTCTCCTGACTGCCTCCTTCATTCCAGACACCTGCAGATCTTCATGGGAGTCCTGTTCTCCATACTTCTGCTCACATTTTCCCTCTGCTTGGAATGCGTGAGTCCTCATTCCTCTCAACACCACCTCTTGGAAGCTGCTCCAGAGCCCTGGAGTAACCCACCTAGCACTCACTGTGTGGTACCACTATCTCCCAGCCTCTTGCTCTGCTCACAGCAGGAGAGCAGGGCTCACATACTGCTCACTTCTGCAGCCCAGTGCCTAGCACTTGCCTGGCTTGAACAAGAAAGGAGGGCACATTCCATCCCAGACAAGAATGAATCAAGAGAGCTCAATGATAACCAAAGCAGTTTACCTCTGCTTGGAGCCACTATGCCTTTGCCAACCAAATTCAGACCCTGGTTTCCACTAGCACTTAACTGATTGTATCTTCCCTCACATTGTCCCTGGCTCTGAAGAGTGAACATCCAAAGGTCTGGATAAATCCCATATAACTGAACCACAGGTTTGTTATCTAAGTATCAATGAACATTTCTCTGATGGTTCCTGTGAGAACAGCTATGGGCCCAAAAGTACAACGAAGGTTTCTTTAATGGAGGATTCGGCCAAAAGGCTATTTTGAGAGGCCAGGGGTCCTCTGAGAAATAACCCAACCTAAGAGGCTGAGAGCTTCGGTCCAAAGGCATTGTTTCTGAGGTTCAGAAAATCTTCTCACCCAGTCTCCAGATCTCATGTCTGAATTCCAGAGAGACGGCATTGCAATAAAGACTGAAATAGCCCTGATAACAACAAGGCATCAGGATAAGAGACAGGGCTACCTTGCTGTTTATATAGTATAGTCAATTGCATTATGGGTCCCAAGTCTTCACCTCCTCCTTATACTCAGGCCCTTTGCTGTGTGGCTTTGTAATTCCTCTCACTAACTTCCTGTCCCTTGACTTTGGGTTTGGCCATGTGACTTGCTGTGGCCAATAGAATAAGGCTGGAGGAAAAGTGCACCAGTTCTGAGCCCAGGCCTTAAGAGTCATTGCACATTTCTGCATGCCTTCTTGTACCTCTGTTATGCTGTGAGAATATGCCCAGGCTTGTCCACTGGTTCCAAAGAAAAAATGAAAGACACAGGGAGTAGAGCTGAATGGTGTCACCCAAGCCTAGAACCTACCCTCTGCTGAACCCAGATGCATGGACAAATCAGCCAAGGTCCAGCTGAGTCCAGCCTGGGCCAGCTGACCTGAAAATCCATGGGAATCAGTGATTGCTGTTCATATCATCGAGTTTTGGGGTGACTTTTTTATTCAGCCTTTTTTGTGGCAATTGGTAGCTGATACATATGGGGGGACTGGGTCCTGGCCACCACACTAGTTGTTCAAGCATTATTGATTACTGGGCCCACAGAGGATAACTAGCTCTGACCACACTTGAAAGGCCAGACTGGGGCAGTGGAGGCAGCTTTAGCCACCAGGTGCTATACTGAGCCTTGAATTTTACATCTTAATATAAGAAAAGCACAATTCAATAGAGATGGATTTGATCATCCACTAATGGGTAGCAAAAGCATTAGGACTTTGCTAACTTAATACCTGACCTTGGAGCAAGTGAACATTTTCCCACCACATGAAGTTTTTCTACGATCCAAAATAAATTTCCAGCATTTCCAGTCTGCCTCAAGACAAAACAAATCCATATATTTTTGTTTCTTGTTATTTTTTCCCTAAAACACTTTGTGGAAGGCCTATTTAAAATTAAAATTAATGAGCTGCAAATTTATGAAACTTCTTTAAAGTCAGTTCCTCTAATAATCCCAGGAGGTCCTTCGTACTAATGTGAAACAATTCTAATATCCATGCCATGAGTTTTAAGTAATTTTGTAAGCTTGGCAAAACGTGTGCTATTTTAATCTACCACTATTGCCCTAAGTAAAAGTAATGCTAATTAATATTTAAGTG
Organism: Homo sapiens; assembly: GCF_000001405.40. NCBI lineage: Eukaryota > Metazoa > Chordata > Mammalia > Primates > Hominidae > Homo > Homo sapiens. Next base: position 229,874 of record NW_025791771.1, on the reverse strand, counting down.
GTTTGGAGGACTATTTGTGTGTGTGTGTGTGCGTGTGTGTGTGTGTGTGTGTTACATCATCTTCCTCCAGTAAACTCAAACTGAAGAAAAGGAATCTTAGTATTACTTTCCTTTGATGAATGAAAGATCATGTGCCATCATAAGTTAAAATGTACTAGTGTACGTCCATACAGAAACCCCATCTGAAAGTCACCAACATAAAGACCAAAGGTAGATAAATCCATGAAGATGAGGAAAAACTAGCACAAAAAGGTTGAAAATTCCAAAAATCAGAATGCCTCTTCTCCTCCAAAGGATCACAACTCCTCACCAGCAAGGGAACAAAACTGGATGGAGAATGAGTCTGATGAATTGACAGAAGTAAGCTTCAGAAGGTGGGTAATAACAAACTCCTCTGAGCTAAAGGAGCATGTTCTAACCCAATTCAAGGATGCTAAGAACCTTGAAAACAGGCTACAGAAATTGCAAACTAAAATAACCAGTTTAGAGAAGAACATAAATGACCCAATGGAGCTGACAAACACAGCACGAGAACTTCATGAAGCATACACAAGTATCAACAGCCAAATCGATCAAGCAGAAGAAAGGATATCAGAGACTGAAAATCAACTTAATGAAATAAAGCATGAGGACAAGATTAGAGAAAAAAGAATGAAAAGAAATGAACAAAGCCTCCAAGAAATAATGGGACTAAGTGAAAAGACCAAACCTACATTTGATTGGTGTATCTGAAAGTGATGAGGAGAATGGAACCAAGTTGGAAAACACTCTTCAGGATATTATCCAGGAGAACTTCCCCAACCTAGAAAGACAGGCTAACATTCAAATTCAGGAAATACAGAGAACACTACAGAGATACTCCTCAGGAAGACCAACCTCAAGACACATAATCATCAGATTCACCAAGGTTGAAATGAAGGAAAAAATGTTAAGGGCAGCCAGAGAGAAAGGTTGGGTTACCCACAAAGGGAAGCCCATCAGACTAACAGTGAATCTTTCCGCAGAAACCCTACAAGCCAGCAGAGAGTGGGGGCCAATATTCAACATTCTTTAAGAATTTTCAAACCAGAATTTCATATCCAGCCAAACTAAGCTTCATAAGCGAAGAAGAAACTTTTTTACAGAGAAGCAAATGCTCTGAGATTTTGTCACCACCAGGCCTGCCTTACAAGAGCTCCCGAAGGAAGCACTAAACATGGAAAGGAAAAACCAGTACCAGCCACTGCAAAAACACGCCAAATTGTAAAGACCATCAACACTATGAAGAAGCTGCATCAATTAATGGGCAAAATAATTGGCTAGCATCATAATGAAAGGGTCAAATTCACACATAACAATATTAACCTTAAATGTAAATGGGCTAAATGACCCAATTAAAAGACACAGACTGGCAAATTGGATGAAGAGTCAAGACCCATCAGTGTGCTGTATTCAGGAGACCCATTTCATGTGCAAAGACACGTATAGGCTCAAAATAAAGGGATGGTAGAATATTTACCAAGCAAATGGAAAGCAAAAGAGAGTAGGGGTTGCAATCCTAGTCTCTGATAAAACAGACTTTAAATCAACAAAGATCAAAAAAACATAAAGAATGGCATTACATAATGGTGAAGGGATCATGCAACAAGAAGAGCTAACTATCATCAATATATATGCACCCAATACAGGAGCACACAGATTCATAAAGCAAGTTCTTAGAGACCTACAAAGAGACTTAGACTCCCACACAATAATAGTGGGAGACTTTAACACTCCACTGTCAAATATTAGATCATGAGACAGAAAACTAACAAGGATATTCAGAACTTGAACTCAGTTCTGGACCAAGCAGACCTAATAGACATCTACAGAACTTTCCACCCCAAATCAGCAGAATATACATTCTTCTCAGTACCTCATCACACTTATTCTAAAATTGACCATGTAATTGGAAGTAAAACACTCCTCAGCAAATGCAAAAGAACAGAAATCATAACAGTCTCTCAGACCACAGTGAAATCAAATTAGAACTCAAGATTAAGAAACTCACTCAAAACTGCACAACTACATGGAAACTGAACAATGGCCTCCTGAATGACTACTGGGTAAATAATGAAATTAAGGCAGAAATAAATAAGTTCTTTGAAACCAATGAGAACAAAGACACAACATACCAGAATTGCTGGGACACACCTAAAGCAGTGTTTAGAGGAAAATTTATAGCACTAAATGCCCACAGGAGAAAGCAGGAAAGATCTAAAATTGACACCCTAACTTCATAATTAAAAGAACTAGAGAAGTAAGAGCAAACAAATTCAAAAGCTAGCAGAAGACAAGAAATAATTAAGATCAGAACAGAACTGAAGGAGATAGAGACATGAAAAACCCTTCAAAAAAAAAATAAACAAATCCAGGAGCTGGTTTTTTTTTTTGAAAAGATCAACAAAAGAGACCACTAGCCACACTAATAAAGAAGAAAACAGAGAATCAAACAGAAACAACAAAAAATGATAAAGGGGATATTACCACCAATCCTACAGAAATACAAACTACCATCAGAGAATACTATAAACACTTCTATGCAAATAAACTAGAAAATCTAGAAGAAATGGATAAATTCCTGGACACATACACCCTCCCAAAACTAAACCAGGAAGAAGTCGAATCCCTGAGTAGACCAAAAACGAGTTCTAAAATTGAGGTAGTAATTAATAGCCTACCAACCAAAAAAAGCCCAGGACCAGGCGGATTCACAACTGAATTCTACCAGAGGTACAAAGAGGATCTGGTATCATTCCTTCTGAAACTATTCCATTCAATAGAACAAGAGGGACTCCTCCCTAACTCATTTTATGAGGCCAGCATCATCTGATACCAAAACCTGGCAGAGACACAACGAAAAAGGAAAATTTCATGTCAATATCCCTGATGAACATCAATGCTAAAATCCTCAATAAAATACTGGCAAACTGAATCCAGCCGCACATCAAAAAGTTTATCCACCACAATCAAGTCGGCTTCATCCCTGGGATGCAAGGCTGGTTCAACATATGCAAATCAATAAACATAATCCATCACATAAACAGAACCAATGAAAAAAAAACACATGATTATCTCAATAGATGCAGAAAAGGGCTTCAACAAAATTCAACACCCCTTCATGCTAAAAACTCTCAATAAACCAGGTATTGATGGAACATATCTCAAAAAAAAAGAGCTGTTTATGACAAACCCACAGCCAATATCATACTGAATGGGCAAAAGCTGGAAGCATTCCCTCTGAAAACTGGCACAAGACAAGGATGCCCTCGCTCATCACTCCTATTCAACATAGTATTGGAAGTTCTGGCCAGGGCAATCAGGCAAGAGAAGGAAAAAAAGGGTATTCAAATAGGAAAAGAGGAAGTCAAATTGTCTCTGTTTGCAGACAACATGATTGTATATTTAGAAAACCCCATAGTCTCAGCCCAAAATCTCCTTAAGCTGATAAGCAACTTCAGCAGTCTCAGGATACAAAATCAATGTGCAAAAATCACAAGCATTCCTGTACACCAAAAACAGACAAACAGAGAGCCAAATCATGAGTGAACTCCCATTCACAATTGCTACAAACAGAATAAAATACCTAGGAATCCAACTTACAAGAGATGTGAAGGACCTCTTCAAGAGAACTACAAACCACTGCTCAAGGAAATAAGGGAGGACACAAACAAATGAAAAAACAGTCTGTGCTCATGGAAACAAAGAATCAATATCGTGAAAATGGCCATACTGCTCAAAGTAATTTATAGAGTCAATGCAATCCCCATCAAGCTATAACTGACTTTCTTCATGGAATTAGAAAAAACTACTTTAAATTTCATATGGAACCAAAAAAGAATCCCTATAGCCAAGGCAATCCTAAGCCAAAAGAACAAAGCTGGAGGCATCATGCTACCTGACTTCAAACTATACTACAAGGCCACAGTAACCAAAACAGCATGGTACTGGTACCAAAACAGAGATATAGACCAATGGAACAGAACAGAGGCCTAGAAATAACACCACACATCTACAACCATCTGATCTTTGACAAACCTGACAAAAACAAGCAATGGGGAAAGGATTCCCTACTTAATAAATGGTGTTGGGAAAACTGGTTAGCCATATGCAGAAAACTGAAACTGGACCCTTTCCTTACACTTTATACAAAAATTAACTCAAGATGGATTAAAGAGTTAAACGTAAGACCTAAAACCATAAAAACTCTAGAAGAAAACCTAGGCAATACCATTCAGGACATAGGCATGGGCAAAGACTTCATGACTAAAACACCAAAAGCAATGGCAACAAAAGCCAGAATTGATAAATGGGATCTAACTAAACTAAAGAGCTTCTGCACAGCAAAAGAAACTATCATCAGAGTGAACAGGCAACCTACAGAATGGGAGAAAATTTTTGCAATCTATCCATCTGACAAAGGGCTAATATCCAGAATCTACAAAGAACTAAAACAAATTTACAAGAAAAAAAACAACCCCATCAAAAAGTAGGCGAAAGATATGAACAGACACTTCTCAAAAGAAGACATTTATGCGGCCAACAAATATAAGAAAAAATGCTCATCATCATTGGTCATTACAGAAATGCAAATCAAAACCACAATGAGATACCATGTCACGCCAGTTAGAATGGCAATCATTAAAAAGTCAAGAAAACAACAGGTGCTGGAGAGGATGTGGAGAAATAAGAATGCTTTTACACTGTTGGTGGGAGTGTAAATTAGTTCAACTATTGTGGAAAACAGTGTGGCAATTCCTCAAGGATTTAGAACCAGAAATACCATTTGACCCAGCCATCCCATTACTGGGTATACATACCCAAAGGATTATGAATCATTCTACTATAAAGACACATGCACACATATGTTTATTGCAGCACTCTTTACAATAGCAAAGACTTAGAACCAACCCAAATGCCCATCAATGATAGACTGGATAAAGAAAATGTGGCACAGATACACCATAGAACACTATGCAGCCATAAAAAAGGATGAGTTCATGTCCTTTGCAGGGACATGGATGAAGGTGTAAACCATTATTCTCAGCAAATTAACACAAGAACAGAAAACCAAATGCTGCATGTTCTTAGTCATAAGTGGGAGTTGAACAATGACAACACAGGGACACAGGGAGGGGAATATCACACACCGGGGCCTGTCAGGGGTGGGGGGTTAGGGGAGGGATAGCATTAGGAGAAATACCTAATGTAGATGACAGGTTGATGGGTGCAGCAAACCACCATGGCATGTGTATACCTATGTAACAAACCTGCACGTTCAGCACATGTATCCTGGAACTTAAAGTATAACAATAAAAAAAATGTCCTAGTGTAGGCACTGGTTCATAATAGTATATTCATGTCATTTCATCCAAACTTAACTCTCATAGTTTTAAGTAAGGGATACACTATGCATTTTGAAAAATAACTACCAAAACTAGTGACTGTTTTTCAGAAATGGTAATAAAACTAATAGAGGGGTTTCTGGCCCCAAGGCTAAAACAGTCTTTCAGAAGGAACTGTTTCAAAAGGAAGCCATTCTGTGAAATGAGGCTAAATGATCAGGACCAGCACCTTCATCCTAAATGAAGTCTAAAATAAAAGGTTGGCAAAGAGGAAACAGAAGGCCGCTGTACGGTTCACCTTTAGCCTTGGGGGATTCATGCAGTGCGGGAGGAAACCCTGAAACAATAAGGAGACTATCTGCTCACTTGGATCAGGGCAGCCTGCCCCTCTCCTTCAGCCCTCTCCTGCCACAGAAATGTTACTTGTTAAAACATACACTAGTGTGTGTGTGTGTGTGTGTGTGTGTGTGTGTGTGTGTGTGGAGGCAGGAGGGCATAAACCTTTATTTAATAATAGGATGAATCATACATATGAAATTGTCCAAAAGTTCAAATATTGGCAATTTCATATGATTCAACTTAATACAATCAGCAAGCATAAAATAGCCACCCCTCAAATACTCATAGAAATTAGAAATACAAGCTACATTGTGAGATATGTGGAATTGCAATCAACACACAAAAAAACCTAAACAATCTTCCCAACAAAGCTTTTGTTATAATTATTTTGTAACATACATTTTTTTAAAACCACAGAATATTACTGTAACCCATCAACTCTGTTTATCCTCTTCAGTGGGGAAATCTGCACATTCAGGTTTGGGACCTGGGGTCAAGAAAAAGGAGCCTGAGAACAATGCTCTGAAGGAAACACCGACATACCTGGAGAGCAGCAGTTTACCCTGAAGCTGCAGGTCTGCGGCACAGTCCTCTGAACGGCAATTCCTTTCAAAAACAGTCTGTGAGAAAGACAGGAGAGGAAGGTTAGGGCAGGATTGAGTGGCAAACGAGTACACAGTGGCCAATTCCTTTCTTGCAAATCAGTGGGAATTCCTCCCCTGAGCCCCTCAGGGCTTCTACTCCCACCTCCAAAAAGCCAGCTCTCCAGCGTGGGAAGGGGTTCTTCCAAGCTCCAAGGAAGCCTAAGTCAACTGTGGTTTTGATTTTGTCAGTGCATTACTTATTTGATTCATTCCCTAGTCTACTGAAGTGCTTCTCCAAGCAGTTTTTTCAAGAGAGGTACGTGGTGGTGGATGTCCTTTCAGTCTTTGCTTGTGTGAGACTGTCTTTCAGATGCTCTTAGATGAATGATAATCCAGTTGAGTAAAGAACTCTCAGATTATAGTTTGGTCATTTCCCCCTATTTGCTCTGCCTTGGGGATGCAGGAAATTTATATATGAAATAGGTTCTGCCTGAGCAATGGGACTGTATTGAATTGTCAGTATTAACAGGAAAAGGCAAAGGCAATTAGGCCATCAGGCTGAGGGAATCACAACAGACTGGGGGAGATTCTTTCCAGTTTGTTGGTGGGGCAGCCAGCAGTTAACAGGGACACAGTGCCTTTTCTCTAACCAAGACTGGGCCTCAACAGCCAAAGCCCCACCCAGCCCTTACTGGGGCCAAGTCTTGGCATGTCAAAACCCAAATATTTCCAGAGAGCTTGCTGGCTGTGCCTGGGCCTGGGCCTATCTGTGGAGGCTTGCCAGGAGATCAGCAGCAGCATTTGGAGAGGGGTTAGGGCTTTCTTCTACGGTCCATGGAGGGCTTGTTAGTCTTCCCCTCAATCTGTCTCAACCTCTCTGACATTTCAGATCTATGGACAGTAGCTTCCCCAAGTTCCAGATGACAGAGACTCTTCACTACTGTTAGATGGCTTTGCTCATTTCAGTGGAATTTGGAGAGAAGAGCCTGTTGACAACTTTTAGTTGTAATTTACTCATTATTAAACTTCTTCCTTGTCACTGCTCATGTTCGTGAGTTTTTTCCCCAAAATGTAGTTCCAGGTTATTTCTTCCCTGCCCAGAGAATAAGTCCAGGCAGCACCTCAGAGTGTCAGTGTGGGCGCCAGCAAACGTGCTGGCCAACGAACAGTCTAGACTCGACCAGACAGAGTAATTTCGCCTATGAAAATTCATATTCCCCTGCCACATTTCCAAAAGAAAAAAGTGTCCCAGCCAACACTCCCTTCCTTGATTATCAGGGAAAATATCATGGAAGTCTTGGGAAAAAAGAGGAAATTCCTGTGTTCTTTTGGACACTACTGGGGTCAAGGAGAGAGCCAAATTTCCAGGAGATTTCAATATATTTGCTCTTTCTTTGCCATCTTAACTAAGAAGAAAACAGGAGGAAGTGGGTGTAAGGATGGCATGAACGTCTCAGGCAAGATGAAAGGTGGGCTTTATGAGCTTTGAGGACAGAGGGAAGGTGCCAAAGGGAGCTTCCCCACCACACTAGTGAAACTTCAGCTTAGAGGTCCCCAGCTGACATGGCCCCTAGGGAAGCCTTGCACAAACTTTGTCTTCATAATTTCACCTTTTTTTTTTTTCCTTCAAGACCCCACCCTCTACTATATAAGCCTCAGGTCTCACAAAACCTGGACTGGCCCCTAGTGTACAGTCCCCTCATCACACATGCCTTTCCTGTCTCACAGGCAAGACAGTCCAACTTTGTGAGGCATGGAGAGGTGAAGGGGTAGAGGTGGAGGTGGAGATGGAGGTGAAAGAGGTGAGAACGGAAGAACAGGATGTGACCTAAATCCATCTGGTGACATGCAGGCTGCCAGATCTGGCATGTGCCCTCCTCACCTCTGTCACCCTGGCTTTCTCATGCCAGCTATCACTCTGGTTGTCCTTACAACTTCCCACCCAGGGCCTCCCCACAAGTGGATCCCCAGATTCCTCCAGCTGGTTCACCTAGTACATGTCCTCTCACCCTTCAACAAGCAAATCCAGACCACTTCTCTGAGTCCCTGGGCAAGTTCAGGCCCATCGTGAGCTCTCACAGTTCCACACACTTTTCCCTCCTACTGCTCATCTCAATCATAACTAATCAATTTTATCATTACATGTTCAATGGTAGTCTCCCCTGCTAAAATGATGTCCCAAGAGGATTGCAGGGGGCACTGTACTGGTCTTGCTTGCCTCTGTGCCTGCCCTTAGGGCCTGGCATGTAGTTGCTGCTTTATCAACACCGAAAGACCACACATTGCTCTGAGAGACAGAGTGACCACTCAAATGGGGAGCCAAATGGTGGATGCCCCAGCTTAGAGCCAATACCAGCACACTGTTCATCAAAACCAAAGCTCCAGGCCCCTAACCAAAGTACTGTCTCTTAGCCATGTGAGATGCAAAGACTTCTCACGAGGAATTGGTTGCTTTGTAAAGACTCATTTTCCTTGTCCTAACTTTTCCTTGAACTCTACTATTTCCTGTCCCTGAAACTGGCTTTTCTAGCTGTCTAGTCCTCCAGTGCTGCTGAATTTCCATCCAACAAAGGCAAGCACTGAGTTTGACATATACACACACACAGTGCGTGTGTGTATATGCACACATGCACATGTACACAAATATCCCTACAGGTTATATGAGTGCTTGTACTGATAAGATAAAATTAAGCACAATCATGGAAAGATAAAATACTAGTTAAGAAATAAGGAAATTCAAAGTGTAATCCTATTTTAATTGTATTACATTAAGAAAATTGACTTTTCTTCCCTCCAGGACTCAGTTTCCTCATTTATAAAATGAAAATAATAGCACTCGTCACTGTCCCATAAATCCAGATTAGCATTTAGCCAGGGGTAGGAGCTTGCAGTGATAGCAATTTTGTCTTAGGCACTGTGCATCACTATTTAACATTGGCAAATGAGAGCGACAACAGTGTGACTGAGTGAACACCATGAAGCTTAATTAATGGATGGTGGGGCTGGGTGTGGATGGTGGGGCCAGGCATGGTGGCTCACACCTGTAATCCCAGCACTTTGGGAGGCTGAGGCGGGTGATCACCTGAAGTCAGGAGTTTGAGACCAGCCTGGCCAACTTGGTGAAACCCTGTCTCTACTAAAAATGCAAAAATTAGCCGGGTGTGGTGGTGGGTGCCTGTAATCCCAGCTACTTGGGAGGCTGAGGCAGGAGAATTGCTTGAACCCAGGAGAGAGAGGGTGCAGTGAGCCGAGACCAACCATTGCACTCCAGCCTGGGCAATAAGAACAAAACTCCATCTCAAAACAAACAAACAAACAAACATTAATGGATGGTGAAATAAGGAGACAAAGAATTGATGTGAATTTACCTCTGTGCAGGTAAATTATTTTCCAAAAATCAATGCAACAATATCTCGATGATGGCACTCCTTACAATGTGACTTTGAAACTACTCCCATAGAGAGGTGGGGTCTAATGCTCCCTTACCTGGAATCTGGGTGGACTTTTGGCTACAGTGGAAGTGACACTATGTGACTTCTGAGACTAGGTCATAAAAAGCAATAGAGCTTCCTCCTAATTTTCTTGGGGCATTTGTTCTTAGAATTTAGCCACTCTGCAAGAAACACAAGCTGTCCATGCAGAGGCTCACAGGAGACACTGACTGCCACATCAACTTGCAGGCTACGTGAGTCACCATGACAGTGAAAACCTCAGAGATGTCCTCCAATCCCATTGAGTTGCCCCAGCTGATAGACATTATATGGAACAGAGAGCTGTGTTGATCAAGCTCTGCCAAATTGCAAATTCACAAATGAATTCACAAACAATTTTCCCATTTTCTTGCTGTTACTGATTTCTAGTTTCATTCCATTGTGGTTGGAAAAGATACTTGGTATGATTTCGATCTGAAATTTGCTAAGATTTGTTTTGTGACCTAATATGTGATCTATCCTGGAGAATGTTCCATGGCTACTTGAGAAAAATGAATGTTCTTCCACTGTTGGCTGAACAGTTCTGTATATGCCAGCTAGGTCCATTTGTTACACAGGTCCAGTTGTTCAAGTCTACTGCTTCTTTACTGATTTTCTGTCTAGATGTCCTATCCATTATTGAGAGTGGGGTACTGAAATCTCCTATTATTATAGTGCTATCAATTTCTCCTTGCAGATCTGTCAGTGTTGTATATACTTAGGTGCTCTGATGCTGGGTGCATTTATAATTGTTATGTCTTCCTGTTGAATTGACCCTTTGTCATTAAGAAATGACCTTTGTCTCTAGAGACAGTTTTTGAATTAAAGTCTATTTTGTTGATATAAGTATTAACCACTCCTGCTCTCTTTTGGTTGGTATTTGCATGGACTACCTTTTTCCATCTCTCTGTGTGTCCTTGAATCTAAAAGTGAGCTTCTTGTAGACAGCATACAGTTTGATCCTGGTTGTTGTTGTTTTTTTTAATAATCTATTCAGTCATGCTGTATCTTTTTATTGGGAAGGTTAGTCTTTTTACATTTAAAGTAAATATAGAGACAGATTTACTATTGCCATTTTGGTGACTATTTTCTATGTGTCTTGTTCTTTTGTCCCTCTTTTTCTCCCTTGCGGTTTTCTTTTGTTTTGTTTCTTTTTTTTTTTTGTATCGATAGGTTTTGATTCCTTTCTTTTTTTATATATATAACTTCCATAGGTATTTTCTTGGTGGTTACCAGGAGCTTACACGAAATAATTTGTAACAGTCTGTTATAAGTTCACAATGTAACTTTACTTGCATAAAAACTCTGATTTTCCCTCTGCTCCCCCCAAGTTACATGCTATTGATGCCTCAGTTTATATCTATTTATATTATGTACCCATTAACATAATTTAGTTAATACTTATAATGGTTTTTAAAATACTTTTGTCTTTTAACTTTCTTCATAGACATAAAAGCTATTTACTCATCACCTTTATAGTAATATAGTGTTCTGATTTTGTCCATATACTTACCTTTACCAACGAGTTTCCTTCTTTATTATGCTCTCTTGTGCTATTTAGTGTCCTTTCATTTCAACTTGAGAAGCACAGGTTTACTGGGTATAGTATTGTTGGCTAGTAGGGTTTTTAAATTTTATTTTATTAATTTATTAGAGACAGGGTCTCACTCTGTCACCCAGGCTGCAGTGCAGTGGCATCATCTTGGCTCACTGCAGCCTCTACCTCCTGGGCTCAAGCGATCCTCCTACCTCAGCCTCCCAAGTAGCTGGAACTACAGCCACATGCCACCATGCCTGGATAATTTTCTGTTTATTTTTTGTAAAGACAAGGTCTCATTATGTTGCCCAGGCTAGTCTCAAACTCCTAGGCTCAAGTGATCTTCCTGCTTCAGCCTCCCAAAGTGTTGTGATTACAGGTATGAGGCACTGTTTCCATCAATACTTTGAATATATCACCCCACTCTCTTCTGACCTGCAAGGTTTCTGCTGAAATATCCACATCACTAATCATCAGGGAAATTCAAATCGAAGTCACAATGAAATATCACCTCACAACAGTTAGGATGGCTACTATAAAAACGACAAGAGATAAAAAGTGTTAGTGAGGGCATGGAGAAAAGGGAACCCTTATACATTGTTGGTAGGAATGTAAATTGGTACAGCCATTATGAAAAAAGTATGGAGGTTCCTCAAAAAAAATAAAAATAGAACTACTATATGACCCTGCAATTCCTCTTCTGGGTATATACTCAAAGAGAATGAAATCAGTACCTCATAGAAATATTTGCATTTCCATGTTCATTGCAGCATTATTCACAACAGCTAAGACATGGAATCAACCTAAGTGTTTGTCAACAGGTGAATGGATAAAGAAATTGTGGTGTGTATATATGTATATATACTACACACACACACATATATATATACACATATATAAACATACAATGGAATATTATTCAGCCTTTAAAAAGGAGATCCTGCCATTTTTGATAACATGGATGAAACTGGAGGACATTATGCTAAGTGAAACAAGTCACAAAAAGAAAGAAAAATATTGTATGATCTCACTTATTGCGGAATCTAAACAAGTTAAATACACAGAACCAGAAAGTGAAACTCTGATAGTTACCAGGGGTCGGGGAGGGGGTAGGGAGTAGGGAATGGGGAGATGTTGGTCAAAGGTACAAAGTTTTGGTTAGGTAGCATGAAAAAATTTAGAGATTGAATGTATAGCGTGATGACTATGTTGACAATATTGTATTATATACTGGAAATTTGACAATAAAGTAGATTCCAAGTGCTCTTACTATCAAAAAAAAAAAAAAACTATGTTAGGCAATGGATATGTTCATTTGCTTGACCATAGTAGCCATTTCACTATGTAAATGTACATCAAAACATCATTTTATATACCTTACATACATTAAAAAACAATGAAATCAAATTCATGAACAAAATAAATGTTATTTTAAGCTACTAAATTTCAGAGTTTGTTATGCAGCAATAGAATACCAGAATACTCAGCCAACCTAATGGCCTTCCCTAACTTGGGCAATGCTATTAACAAAAATGGGCTGCACAATCCAATCCCTGCCAAAGTCTTGGCTTAGGTAAGACCTTCCATAGGCTAGGAATGCAATTGTTTAATAGGTAAAAAAACAATACACCATGGAATCAAGAGACCTGAGTCACGCACTGGGGAGCCTGAGGTTGAAACTCAGTGCCTGTGTTCTAGTCCTGGATTAGTCTCTTTGGGCAAATGGCCAATTTGTTTCCTAAGGAACTGAAAGGCATCTCTCTGGAGCAGGAGGGTGGACAGACTAAAGCCTTGGAATACTAGATGACAATGCAGTTTCAAAAACCAAGTAGAAATGACTTCTCCTTGGTACAAAGTACAGGTTCTCCATGAAGCCAATGGCCCAAACTCCTGATTTTCCTCTGAGGGAACAATCCCAATAGCTCCAGCTTGGGCCTTTAAAAAAAGGCCTCAGCCTGATTTTATCCACATCCTCCTAAGTCCTCTGGCAAACACAAGCTTGGCTGCTTCAATCAGACAAATCGGAACCCAGCTTGGAAGCAGTCTCTTCCACCTCCCTCCAGACTTCACCTGCTAGTTGGCCAAAGCCCTGTCTAGTTATTTCCCTGGAAGAAGTTTTTCCAGCAAATGTAAACAGATCTAAGAAGCCATCATCTCTTATTCCTCCCTAGTTAAAGGAGGTTCAAACCTTTCTCTCGGGAGACAACTGTTTCCTGTCTCAGGCTTCAGAGAGCTGAAGACTGGACATCCAGTGGCCTCCTCAGCCTCATGGACTCGATTTCTCTGCTGGCTCCTTCCTCACCTTGGTCTTCATCTCAGGTTTCCCTGGAGAATACAGTTGTCTTTGAAAATATTTTCTCCAGCTTCTCACTAAATCCTTACTCTACTTCTTTTAGAACAAGGCTGGCAACTTTTTCTGAAAAGGGTGAGACAGTATATGTTTTGGGCTTGTAGGCTATATGGTCTCAGTCACACTACTCAACTCTGCTGTTGTAGAGCAAAAGCAGCCATAGATAATACATAAGGGAATGGGCATAGATGTGTTCCAATAAAACTTTATTTACAAAAACAGGCAGTGGTGGATTTGGCCTATGGGCTGTTTGTTGAATCCTGTTTTAGAATATTTGGCTATGTTTCTTCATTTCCTTCAGGCCAGGAAAAAAAAGATTTCAATGAATCCAGCTCAAGTTGCATTTTCCTCTGAGTCAGAGTAAGGACGCTGGGGCTGGCTGTGCTTCTCTTACAGTGCCATGGTCACCAAGGCCAGGGCAGCTTTGGGGACATGTGATTCAGAAATAGCAGCTCAGTGTCCGCTCCTGGCTGAGGGTGACTTCAGAGAGGATGTCATCTAGGTGCTAAGGCCTTGGGAAGGGTAGCTCATTTCTCCCACCCAAATCTGTACCAGAAAATCTTCACTTCTGATCTAACAGGAAATAGGATTCTTAGCCTAGTCCAGCTATCATGTTCAGAGGAGGATCAGTTTCTTGGACTTGGTGATATTTGCTTTTAAAAAATACAATTATTGACATGGATTCAACACTGTTTATAGGGTTGATATGACAACCAAATCCCATGCTGAGGCCTAAAAAAAGTAGAAGAATTGGACTGAATAATCCCACACCAAGAAGAGCAAACAAGAAGGCTATTTTTAAGCTGATTTGATCAATGCATTTTTTTTTTGAGATGAGTCTTGTTCTGTCGCCCAAGCTGGAGTGCAGTGGCACGATCTTGGCTAACTGCAACCTCTACCTCCTGGGTTCAAGTCTCGTGCCTCAGCCTCCTGAGTAGCTAGGATTACAGGCACGTACCACCATGCCCCGCTAATTTTTGTGTTTTTAGTAGAGATGGGGTTTCCCCGTGTTGCCAGGCTGGTCTCTAATTCCTGATCTCAAGTGATCTGCCCGTCTCAGCCTCCCAAACTGCTGGGATTACACGCGTGAGCCACCGTGCCTGGCCTAGCAATATATTTCTTGATATGCGGTATGACTTAGCAGAAGGTCTCTGCCCCTATGGTGAAGCATCCTGTCTGGATGACAGGAGTGACATTTCTGAACTGGTGTTCCTTCTATAGCCCCACACAAGTTTCCAGAGGCCCTAATCATGTAATTCATGTTTATAACCCCCAGCACCTAGCACAGTATTTAAATTTTTTTTTGTATTCATATAAATACCATGACCTGAGTGTAAGAGGTTTCTCCCTCCCAATTCTGTTTCAATGGGCTGTTTTCCCAGAATCCAAAACTGCCCTTCATGTGGCACGTTATAAGAGTGCAGGAATTTCAGCTCCATTCAGCCCCATGCCTAAACGAAGGAAGGAAAAGGCTCATTGCCTCTTAAAATCAAGGCATACACTGTTGCTTTCTAAAACATTCATATCCTCAAGAATCAATGAAAGGCAAATCGTTCATGAAATTAAAGCTGAGGAATCCTTCTATCTCAGGGTCTGTACAAATTGTCCTTCCAGATTTTGAAACCATGGAAGGATAAAAAAACCCTCTTGGTTTCCCTTTAAATACAAACCCGGCACCAATTTTGCTTTATGGTCCTGTGGAAAAACTAGAAATGACAAGTTCTGCTATCTTGGGTGTTTTTTTTACTCCATGGCTCTGCAGTTTGCAGAATTATCCCCTCTGCCCAAAGGCAACATTTTTAAAAACATGGTATATATTCATGGGATACAAGTGCAGTTTTGCCACATTGATATATTCTGTCATGGCAAAGTCAGGGCCTTTGGTGCATCCATCACTGGGCCAATGCACATTGCACCCAACAAGCAACCTCCCATCATCCACCCAGCTCCAACTTCCCCACCCCTCCATTGTCCATCATCCCACAATCTGCTTCTATGTGGACACATTATTTAGCTCCCACTTATAAACGAGAACATGTGGTATTTGTCTTTCTGTGTCTGAGTTGTTTCACTTAAGATAATGGACTCCAGTTCCATCCATCTAAAGGCATCATTTAGGCAATCCAGTTCAACCCCTGTGATAACTGAGCAGGGCTGACTGCTTGGTGAGGCCCTGGCCCCATGGGACTCCCAGCCCAGTGCTCTTCCTGGATCTGCCTGGGACTAGGTGGCCTTTTATGGGACACATTTCATGTCTCTCTATAATCACAACTTTTCATTTCAGCTCAAAACTCTCTTCTAGGGACTTTTGCACCCCAGGACTAGAAATTCTCCTTTTTCACCCTGGAATTTTTTGTGTTCTATGTTTCATTTTTCTTTTTTAGTTGCTGTTAATTAGTCAGAAGAGGCAGAAAACAGCTAGGAAGTTCAAATAAAGGGGCTGGTGCTGTCAGAGAAAAGAAAAAAGGATGCCAGCCACGTTTCTAAAAGCTGCTAAACCAGACATGGGCAGGCAACTGGGAGTGAGAAAAAAAATGCCTTAAAACCAGAGAGGATCCCAGCAAGACTTCTCCCCATCTATCTGCAAGAACATCCCCTAAATAAGGCTCCAGGTATAAGTGCACACAGCAAGGGCCTTGTACTTGATTTCCTAAATTATCTCATAAGATAAGAAAAGAGAGGCTAACGTTTCCTCCCCAGCCAGACACTGTCCACCGGGTGTGTTTAAACACCTCTCACCCCACACATACTTTTGCACAAGGTTTTCAATAGGACAGGATAATACAGAAGAAAACTCAATAAGCTTGAAGAGTTTGAGGAAACCATGATTTTCTTCTAAAAAGGGTTTCAGAAGCCTAGAATGCATTTTCCCCCCACAAATTGCAAAAATAAAACATAACACTGAAAAAGAAGTTTTGCAAATTCAACAGGTCACTTCAGGACATGGTCTAACCTTTGATGAGTCCCCTCTCCTTTCCCGTTGGGGTTAACCTTGGAGAAGAAGCCTGAGACAGACAGATAAGGCCAGACTTCTCCACTGGTCAGTGAGAAGGGTGAATTAGTTGTTTTTCTCACACATACTTCAAACTAGATGGTTTTCACATGTGTTCTGCCATGGTGCCCTCTTTGAAAAGAGTATTTACCCAGAAGCTGATACCCATAAGAGTAGGGTTGATCTGGGTCAAACAACATTGGAGGGCAGGAGCCTTTTCCTCTAACACCCCTTTCCCCTCCTGCTGAGCCAAACTGCTGCCCTGACTCCAAGTGTGCAATCTGAAATCCCCCAGTTTGCACGGTCTCAGGAGCCTGTCTGGTTCTGACGTCTGGAGTGACTCTTCTCCCTCTCCTCTTCTACTCTCCCACCCTCTTAGCCTTCCATTCCTTCTGCAGAGACGTTTAAATATAATAATGAAAATAAACCTTAGAGCTGTAAATAATGGCATGTTAAGCCAGCTGGGCACCTCAGCCGGGAAACTATTACCTAATGTCCAGGCTGTGCAAACAGTGGATTTCCATAGCATGAGCTATATTCCTATATGCATGCATTGAGGGGTGTGGGGTGGGAGGAGCTGTAGTGACGATTTCCAGCACAATGGAGACCCAAAGTGTATGGCTTCAACATAGTTAAAAATTACCATTAGACTAAAATAGCTCACTTTTCACTTGAAAGACAACAAAGTAAGACTTCTCAACAAAGCCGACACCTTTTCTTTCACCAGCTGTATATCCTCCATCTTGTCTTTTGAAAAGTAGTCACTACAAACATACCGTGGTATAGATATGTCACTGCAAATCACACATCATGCTCTCTTGCCCGTGGGGAATTCCCAGAGGGATTACAGAACACATTTCTTTTAATTTTATAGCTCTGCTGAATCTGCTAGTGAAGAAGCTCTGATATGATGCCCAATTTTTGCCAAAGGAACTAGCCTTGTGTTCTTCCAGAAGGGCTCTTTCAACTATTTACTATTTACTAAGCATCCACTATAGGCCAGGTTCTCTGCCAGGTGTTGCGGATCAATAGCAAATAAGATAAAATAGATCCCTTCCCTCACTGGGCTTCCATTCTAGAGAGGTAAATACAATAACAAGTAGACGAAATAACACGTTCTGTTAGATGTCACGAAGGAATCAAATAGGCAGCTAAGGCCATGCACGGTGGCTCATGCCTGTAATCCCAGCACTTAGGGAGGCTGAGGCAGGAGGATTCCTTGAGCCTAGGAGTTCAAGACCAGCCTGGGCAACATGGGGAAACCCTGTGTCCAGAAAAAAAAATTTTTTTTTTTAAATAGCCAGGCGTGGTGGCACACACCAGTGGTCCCAGCTACTTGGGAGGCTGAGGTGGGAGGATCACTTGAGCCTGGAAAGTCGAGGCTGCAGTGAGCCATGATCACACCACTGCACTCCAGCCTAAGTGACAGAATGAGACCCTGTGTCAAAACAAAGAAAGGCAGCTGAGTCAGGAAATACAGGGTAGTGGGAGAATGGTTCTTTGAGGAGGCAACATTTAGGCTGAGACCTAAAAAATGAAGAGCTGGCCACGGGAAAAGCATGGCAAAGTGCTTTCTAGATGAGGTATCAGCATATGCAAAGGGCCTGAGGCAGGCAGAGGCCTGGTAAGTTTGAGGGTGGTGGGAATGCAGTATGCGGGTGGCGCTGGCGAGGCAGGAGCCCCACTGTACAGGCTCTCGTGGGCCTTAGCATGTGTCCGGATTTTCTTCTGAGGGGGAAGGGAGCTCCTCAGCGGGAGGAGGTTATGCAGGGATGTGACCTGGTCTAGGTGACAAATGATGGTGGCCTGGCCTAGGGAATGGCAGCAGAGATGGAGAAAAGAGAAGGGACTCATGCTATCTGGGCTCATGGTGGTGCGGCTGGCTCCCGAGTTCTGGTTATATGGGTCCTCCCCAGATCTTCTCCCTCTGCGACAGACTAACAGGCATCTTTGGGCCTGACACGTGAGGGCCAGACACCCTAAAGATCCAGAGAGGTTCATCTGAGAGCCTGCCAGAACCCTTAGACCAGTGTTCTCCAACCTTTATGGCACCAGGGACCAGTTTTGTGAAAGATAATTTTTCCATGAACGGGCGGTGGAGGGGGCGGGATGGTTTCGGCACAATCTAGATCCCTCACATGTGTAGGGTTCATGTTCCTGTGAGAATCTAATGCCTCTGCTCATCTGACAGGAGGGGCGCTCAGGCGGTAACACTCGCTGGCCCGCTGCCCACCTCATGCTGTGTGGCCGGACTGGTACTGATCCAGGAGTTGGGGACTCCTGCCTAAGATGGTGCCATTGCGTCCCACCGGGGAGCCCACCCACGGGCCTGCAGAGACGGGACCCCCCTCAGAGGAAAGGATGTGGAAAGGCAGCAGAGCACCTGCTTCCTCAGAGCCCAGGTCAGACCTGCTCCCATGACGGCCTCATCCTCTCCTCACAACACCAGGAAGCCGGCTTCCCAGGAAGGGAACAGCAGGATCCAGTGCTGCCTCATCATTTCCGGGCTTCTCACATTTCCCTCATGTAATCCCACCACCACCCAGAGGCAGGCAGAGCAGCCGATGGCACCCCCAGTGACAGGTGAGGAAACAGGCTCTAAAGGGTGAGTGCTCTGGGCCAGGGCCCTGATCTCACTGCACAGCCTGTGCTCCTTCCCCAGAGAGCCCAGGGAGGAAAGAAGCCCCGGGGTTCTGGAGGTGTGGGCTGTATTGTGTGTCTATTATTTTCTATTGCTGCAGTAATAAGTTACCGGAGTTCAGCTGCTCAAAATAACACAAATCTATTATCTCACAGTTCTGTAAGTCAGAGGTCGGTGGGTTGTCTGGGTCTGCTCCAGGTTCTACAGGCCGAAATCAAGGTGTCAGCTGGTCTGGACGATTATCTAGAGGCCCTGGGGGAGAATCCACTTCCAGCTTTGTTCGGGTTTTTGGAAGCACCTGGTTCTGTGTGGTTGTAGGACTGAGGCCCCGTTTCCTTGCAGACAGTCACCTGGAAGCCTCTCCCAGCCCCTTAAGGTTGTCCACATTCTCGTCACATCACATACTCCATCTTCAACATCAGCAAAGGCATGCTTCAAGTCTCTCTGACCTCCTATTCCGCCTCATTCCTCCCACCTCCAGCTGGAGGAAGTTTGCTGCTATTAAGGGCTCGTGTGACTAGATTGGACCCACCTGGAAAATCCAGGCTCCTCTCCCCATTTGGAAGTCCATCACCTTAATTACAACTGCAAAGTCCCTTTTGCCATGTAACGTATCCAAATCACAGGCTCCAGAAATTAGGGCATGGACATCTTTGGGGGGCCATTCTGCCTACCGCAGTGAAAGACCTGGAAGCCCTGCTGTAGCCAGGTCTCTTTGGGGGCCTGCTGATGAAGCCTGAGAAGAGTTATAATTTTCAGAGCGCTATTCTGTGTACAGGGATTGAAGACAGGGCCTCTGTCATCACCATTGGTATGCTCAGCTGAGGAGGAGGGATAAAGGACCTTCAGGTGACCAGTCCAAGGACAGCATTGCTCCCTTCCCAGCACACGGACCAGCCAGGACTTCCCATGATTGTTTCATTTAGTTCCATACCCTCTGTTTCAGCAGCTGAGACCAACTAGCAATTAATTAGGAGTCAACTCTCTGGGGGGTATCACACAGACTCCCCAGGGACTCACCTGCAAAGGCCCCTGCAACAAGCTCTTTCTTAACTGGCCTCCCCATACCCAGGCACACCAATCTCCCTGAGGCACATCTACGATCTCCCCAAACTGCAAAATATGCCATGGTCTGTCCACCGTAGAATCACATCCAACTCCTCAGCCAGTGAACAAGTGGCTTCAGACTGCATGACTGAATCTCCAGTCCAGATGGCCTCTCCCCTTTCCCTCACTAGATATTCAGCCACGTGAGAGACCTTTAGCATCCATCAGCCCCTCCATTCCCTGAGGACCCAAATCCTACTCCACCTTTAAGGCTCTGGCCAATTCTCCTTTTCTCCATAGAACATCTTCTCCTCAGCCAGAAGTGGCCTCTGCAGTGAAATTCTTACACACTAATCTAAATCTCACTTTGTAAATTATTCCTGGACTGTCTGTGACTCCAATGAAGGCAGCAATGATTTATTTTTTCATCGAGGTCTTACATAAAGTAGACACACAATTGAATTGCTTCCAGCTTTATAGTCTTTTAAAATACTCCTCTGGTTAATGAAAAAAAGGTTGTCTTTTTCCTGCTATCAAATATGCCTCCCTTTCTGATGAGACAGATGCAGGTCTTTGCTTTCCTTAAATTTTGAAGGTGCAATGTGTGCCCATCAGGCTGTATGTACGGAGGCTTGTAGCATTCAAGCTCCACCGTCCCCAGAGCGCCCAGAATCCCAATCCAATCTCAGCATTAGCAGCAATCCCACTATTCACTCACCAGAGCCTAGTGCCAAAGCCCTATCCTGGAACCCGTCTTCTCCCAGGACTATGTACCCTATAGAGGGAAGGCTTGGTCTCCTGCCTGTCCTGCACATTCCTAACTCATAGCAAAAAGCCTCAGATTAATCAGTAAGCCTGTACTTAACATGTACTGGTCACTATCTCCATGTTACACACACAGTCTGTGCAGCGATTCCACTTTAATTAGGCCATCAGTGGGGGCAGACCCCAACTCTAAAAGGTCATCATGATTTGATCCACCCTTCTGTATAGTCCTGGGTACCAACATGGGCTCAGTGAAGAGATCAAGGCATTTAAAGTAGTGGAACCCTAATGTTATCTGGCAACATGACCTAGAGAGTTCTGATGAATTTATTCCTTCCTATGAAAGAGGTGAGATGCTCTGTGTCAAACTGTTGTGTATATATACACAGGTTAAAGATCAGCTCTGCTTCCTGCAGTGGGCCTCACTCTCAGAATCTTTCCTCCTCCTCAAACTGAGCCAACATCTGGAAGATTATCTTTTTTTTTTTTTTTTTTTCCCCATAATCAGGAAAAGGACAATAAGAAAGAACTGCTCTCCCAGAACTTCTCTCAGGCTCCTGGACAATCTTCCCAATCTAAGAACAATTTTTTCTTTTATTTTAATTTCAACCAAAGAATCACATGGTTAGAAAAATAATAACCCCCTGCCACATACCTCGCCATACTGAGTCCTCCTCTCCAGGGGCAACCATTATTACTCATTATTACCCACGTCCGTTTATGTTTCTTTTGATGATTATTTCCATATCTCTAGAAAACATGCTGATACTACTACTCGTTGATTTATCAGATCTAGACATTATTTTACTAAATTCCTTCCATGATAGACAGGAATTTATCTCACATAACGATCCCCACTCCTTCACCTCCATAATTTTGATGGGCAAATTATTAGTTTAACTCCTCTACTGTATCAGTTCTCATACTTTAGCTGCATGAGAATCACCCAGCCATCTTGTTAAAACACGGATTGCTGGCCGGGCACGGTGGCTCACACCTGTAATCCCAACACTTTGGGAGGTCAAGGCGGACAGATCACCTGAGGTCAGGAGTTCAAGACCAGCCTGGCCAACATAGTGAAAACTTGTCTCTACTAAACATACAAAAATTGGCCAGGCATAGTGGCGTGCACCTGTAATCCTAGCTACTCAGGAGGCTGAGGCAGGAGAATCACTTGAACCTGGGAGGTGGAGGTTACAGTGGGCCGAGTTCCTGTCACTGCACTCCAGCCTGTGTGACAGAGGATTCTTTGTCTCAAAACACAAAAACAAAAACAAAAACAAAAACATAGTTTGCTGGGGCCCACCCCATCAGCTTCTGATTCAGTGGGTCTGGGGTGGGCCCAAGAATTTTCTCAAATTGTCCCTCTTTGCAGATGACATGATTGTATATGTAGAAAACCCCTTCGTCTCAGCCCCATATCTCCTCAAGCTGATAAGCAACTTCAGCAAACTCTCAGGATACAAAATCAATGTACAAAAATCACAAGCATTCTTATACACCAATAACAGACAAACAGAGAGCCAAATCATGAGTGAACTCCCATTCACAATTGCTTCAAAGAGAATAAAATACCTAGGAATCCAACTTACAAGGGATGTGAAGGACCTCCTCAAGGAGAACTACAAACCACTGCTCAATGAAATAAAAGAGGATACAAACAAACGGAAGAACATTCCATGCTCGTAGGTAGGAAGAATCAATATCGTGAAAATGGCCATACTGCCCAAGGTAATTTATAGATTCAATGCCATCCCCATCAAGCTACCAATGACTTTCTTCACAGAATTGGAAAAAACTACTTTCAAGTTCATATGGAACCAAAAAAGAGCCCGCATCGCCAAGTCAATCCTAAGCCAAAAGAACAAAGCTGGAGGCGTCACGCTACCTGACTTTAAATTATACTACAAGGCTACAGTAACCAAAACAGCATGGTACTGGTACCAAAACAGAGATATAGACCAATGGAACAGAACAGAGCCCTCAGAAATAACGCCGCATATCTACAACTATCTGATCTTTGACAAACCTGACAAAAACAAGCAATGGGGAAAGGATTCCCTATTTAATAAATGGTGCTGGGAAAACTGGCTAGCCATATGTAGAAAGCTGAAACTGGATCCCTTCCTTACACCTTATACAAAAATTAATTCAAGATGGATTAAAGACTTAAATGTTAGACCTAAAACCATAAAAACCCTAGAAGAAAACCTAGGCAATACCATTCAGGACATAGGCATGGGCAAGGACTTCATGTCTAAATCACCAAAAGCAATGGCAACATAAGCCAAAATTGATAAATGGGATCTAATTAAACTAAAGAGCTTATGCACAGCAAAAGAAACTACCATCAGAGTGAACAGGCAACCTACAGAATGGGAGAAAATTTCTGCAACCTACTCATCTGACAAAGGGCTAATATCCAGAATCTACAATGAACTCAAACAAATTTACAAGAAAAAAACAAACAACCCCATCAAAAAGTGGGTGAGGGATATGAACAGACATTTCTCAAAAGAAGACATTTATGCAGCCAAAAAACACATGAAGAAATGCTCATCATCAGTGGCCATCAGAGAAATGCAAATCAAAACCACAATGAGATACCATC
Organism: Homo sapiens; assembly: GCF_000001405.40. Lineage (NCBI taxonomy): Eukaryota > Metazoa > Chordata > Mammalia > Primates > Hominidae > Homo > Homo sapiens. Next base: position 206,175 of record NW_025791771.1, on the reverse strand, counting down.
TCACACCAGTTAGAATGGTGATCATTAAAAAGTCAGGAAACAACAGGTGCTGGAGAGGATGTGGAGAAATAGGAAGACTTTTACACTGTTGGTGGGACTGTCAACTAGTTCAACCATTGTGGAAGTCAATATGGCGATTCCTCAGGGATCTAGAACCAGAAATGCCATTTGACCCAGCCATCCCATTACTGGGTATATACCCAAAGGATTATAAATCATGCTGCTATAAAGACACACGCACATGTATGTTTATAGCAGCACTATTCACAATAGCAAAGACTTGGAACCAACCTAAATGTCCAACAACGATAGACTGGATTAAGAAAATGTGGCACATATACACCATGGAATACTATGCAGCCATAAAAAATGATGACTTCGTGTCCTTTGTAGGGACATGGATGAAACTGGAAACCATCATTCTCAGCAAACTATCGCAAGGACAAAAAAACCAAACACCGCATGTTCTCACTCATAGGTGGGAATTGAACAATGAGAACACATGGACACAGGAAGGGGAACATCACACACCGGGGACGGTTGTGGGGTTGGGGGAGGGGGGTGGGATAGCATTAGGAGATATACCTAATGCTAAATGACTAGTTAATGGGTGCAGCACACCAACATGGCACATGTATACATATGTAACAAACCTGCACGTTGTGCACATGTACCCTAAAACTTAAAGTATAATAATAATAAAACTTTAAAAAAAGAGAAGGAAATAAGAAATTTAGGAAAAAAATAAAATAAAATAAAATAAAATAAAATAAAAACAATTTTCATTTCTCACAAAATCCCAAGAGAGGTTGATGCTGCTGGTTCAGGAATCACACTTTAGGAAGTGTTGCTCTACTGATGACCTCTGCAATTTTAAGCCAACAGTGATTTCCTGTTTCATCAAGTTTTGCAATCTCTTGACTCATCAATTTAAAAGATTAAGATATTAAGAAAACTTATCTTATTCTACTTTTACCTTTATATAATCAAGTTTAATGACATTTGCATTTTATGCTATCACCATAGCTCTGATTTTGGCTTAATTATAAATATTGAAAACCAATAAATAGTGCTAATTTTATTATGGTTCATGATTATTGCTCACAGTTGAGCCAAGACAAGTGTCATGATTATACATCCTCCTCTACAGTTGCAAAGTTAAAGTCCAGGAATATTCAACTTCTACTTCAGATAGAATATTTCTAGGATCAACATTCTTCTTTATACTCTTCTACTTACTCAAAATCCTACCACATTTTAAGTTTTTGTATGCTGTGTTTCCATTTTCATTTGTCTTAAGAAATTCTTAAATTTCCCTTTGAATTATTTCATTAACCCAATGGTCATTCAGGACCATGTTATTTAATTTCCACGTATTTGTGAATTTTCTGAAGTTCCTCCTGTTAATTATTTCAAGTTTTATACCATTGTGGTCAGAAAAGATACTTGATATTTCAAGGCTAAATTTATTAAGATTTATTTTGTGGCCTACTATGTGATCCATCCTGGAGAGTGTTCCATGTGCAGTTGAGAAGAATGTGTATTCTGTCGCTGTTGGATGGACTGTTGTGTATATGTCTGTTAGACGTATTTATTCTAGAGTGTAGTTTAAGTCTGATGTTTCCTTATTGATTTTCTGTCTGGATGATCTGTCCATTGCAGAAAGTGGGGTACTGAAATTCCCTAATATTAATGTACTGCAATCTATCTCTCTCATAAGATCTATTAATATTTGCTTTATATATTTAGTTTCTCTGGTGTTGGGTGCATATATATTTACAATTGTTATGTCCTCTTGCTGAACTGATCCCTTTATCATTGTATAATGATCTTCGTCTGTTTTTACAGTTTTTGACTTAAAGTCTATTTTTGACTTAAAGTCTACTCCTGCTCTGTGTTGGTTTCCATTTGCATAGAATTTTTTTCATCCCTTTGCTTTCATTTTATGTGTGTCCTTACAGGTGAAGTGAGTCTCTTATAAGCAGCATATAGTTAGGTCTTGTTTTTTGTTTTTTTTTTTTTAAATCCATTTAACCACTCCATGTCTTTTGATTGGAGAGTTTAATCCATTTACATTTAAGATAATTATTGATAAGTAAGGACTTACTACTGCAATTTTGTTGTTTTCTAGTTGTTTTGTAGATCCTTTGTTCCTTTCTTCCTTTCTTGCTATCTTCCTTTGTGGTCAAGTGATTTTCTCTAGTGGTATGGTTTGGTTCTTTGCTTTTTTATTTTTATTTTTGTATTACTATAGGTTTTTGCCTTGTGGTTACCATGAGGCTTACAAAAAACATCTGATAGTTATAACTGGTTATTTTATCACATTTTAATTTGTTTTATATTTTAACCATGACATAGAGACGGTCTCCAACTTATAATGGTTCAACCTACGATTTTTTGACTTCACAATGGTGTGAAGGTAGTATGCATTCAGTAGAAACCATATTTCAAATTTTTTATTTCAAAAGCTTTTCCCAGGGTAGCAATATGTGGTACAATACTTCCTGTGATGCTGGGCAGTGGGAGTGAGCTGCAGGTCCCAGTCAGTTATAGGATTAGGAGGGTAAACAACTGATAGCTTTCTACAGAACACCATGCCTGCTAAGCCATCAACGAGTGTTAATACCGCAGTGGCTTCTACCAGCTATTCTTGAGACTCATCAGAAGAGAGAGAAATGGATGACCCTGTTACACTAGTAGCCCCATAATCCAGCAGTTAATTTTAGTTCAAATATTCTTTAGGTCCAGTGTGCTTTCAGCTGTGTGTGTTAATGGTGAGTACCCATACAACCATTTTGTTTTTCATTTTCAGTATAGTGTTCAATACATTACATGAGATATTCAACACTTTATTGTAAAATAAGCTTTGTGTTAGATGACTTTTGCCCAACTGTAGGCTAATGTAAGTGTTCTGAACACATTTAAGGTAGGCTAGGCAATGATATTCAGCAGGTTAGGTGTATTAAATACATTTTCAACTGACAATATTTTTAATTCATGATGGGTTTATTGGGACATAACCCCATCGTGAGTCAAGGAGAATCTGTACAGGTAATTATCTTATTTCTATTTTTCTGAGAGGTCTTGAATGCTTTTATTTTTTTCTTACCCATAAAAGAAACATATTCAATCTGCACTATATACTGAATATTTGCCACTTGCTCATCATTCTATTGCTTAGCTTCATTCTTCTGGAAGTTAATTGATCTCCTCTTCTCAATAGACTTGGCTGCTTTTTAGACTTGCTGCAGTTATCATCCTGGGATTTCTTGTCATTAGACTTTTGAGAGTTAGTTCCAGAGTTTCTTGTATCCCACATCTTGCTCCTTCTGGTTGTCATTTTTGTTTTGTTGAAGTACAAGATAATTTCCTTGGAAGAGTTACTAGGGAGGTAAACTTTCTGGGTTCTTGCTTATCTGAAAAGTGACTTTATTTTTACCACATACTTTGATTGTGTGGCTGAAAACAAAATTCTAATTTCAAAATCATTTTCCCTCAGAACATTGAAGCCTTTATTTCATCATAGTTTAGTTTCTAATCTTGCTTATAAAAAGTCTAATGGACTACTCAGTCTGACTCTCATTCTGTTGTAAGCTGACTTATCCTCCATGATCAACATTCCTGCATTCTTTGCCCTCGAAACATTTAGAATTTTCCCTTTGTCTTTGAAGCACTGACATTTCAAAATGATGTGTCTATGATAATTTTGGTTTATTGTGATTGTAAATTGTTGTTTACACCAATTTTAAAAAATAGTCTCCCTCTTTAACTCTGAAACATGCTATTCTATTATTACATAATTTTCTCCCCCTTCTTTCTCTTTTCTTATTACTGGTATTCTTACTTTCTAGTATTCTTATTACTTGGAGATATAGGACCCCGTAAATTTATTCTTTAGCTTTCTTTTCTACTTGTCTTTTAGCACTTCCATTGGGAAATTATTTACCATTGTCTTCTAATACTTCCACTGAGTTTTTGGTGCTGCAAATATATTTTTAATTTTTAAGAACACTTCCCTTGCCTTTCATTCCTCCCTTTAAAAAGGAACAGAATCCCATCCATTAGAAAATGAAAAGAATGGAATATATTCCTAAATCTCCTTGGGTCTACTGCATAGACATTAAGGTGTTGCATTTTTAAAATTTTTTAAAATAATCTCTTATATTCCCTAAATCATTTGTTTCCTTTTAAGTTAGTTATTCTCCTGGTTTATTTTAGCCTTTCCTTTCATGCACCAAATATTCCTCAATCTTGGGTTTCCTTGGTTGTCCATTCATATTTCAAACTAAGGTAAAAGGACTGAGTAGAAAATCTGTGAAAGTGTTTGGGTGGATTGTGGGAGAGAAAGCTAGCTCTTACGTTGGTGACTTCAAATGCCAGAAGTAAGGCTTTCTTTTCTCTGAGAACGAGGCCGCCCACACTATCTTAAACAGTTTATTTAACACTTTAGAGAAGGCGATGCCTGGCTGCTTGCTATTCTGCATGCCTGAAGCCTGTAGGGGTGGGGACAATGGTGAAAAGTCAACTCTAACCCTTCTTCATACCAACCTTCACATTTCACTGACCTCCCTCAATACCACCACCACTTGCAGTCCCACTTCTTACTCTGGCCCCCTCTGTAACTGTTGGCCTGGCTGTGGCTGCAGCTTCTCTGTTCCCTGGGTAGGCAGGAAGCCAGCTCTTCCATGTACAGTTCAAGTTCACCCACTAACACTCTTCCATTTACTTCACTCATACCAGAAAATTACTGGACTCTTATTATTAGCTGATGCCCTTTCTTTCACAGTGTTGTCCTCCCTGTTCCGATCTACTCATTTATAATCATTGCAATGGGGTACCAGAAGGCACAGACATCAACATTTGTGCTTGGTTGGCCATCTGGAACCAGAAGTGACCAAGAACATCATTTCAATACTAATCTGTCCCTCCATCTCTGGCTTTGATTGGGCTGCTTAAATCTAAAAATGTCAGTAAAGGTTCCAAGATGCTTTTCACTAAAGAAAGTCCACATCTGTGCCACTGACAGACTTGCAGGAATGAGAGATAGGTTCACTGTGGAAAGTATGTCCAGGCTAGCAAGATGCTGGACAGGGTAGATGACTACCTCACTGGGTCAATTCAGAAACAAATAAGCACAGAGGACCCTGAAATTCTTCCCAGGACCCCGAGTCTGGGTAACTTCCGTAACCCAAGTATGGGTAAGTTTATCAGTCCAGTAAGATTTGACCTTAGAAAGCAGAATAATTCTAGAACTAGAGACCAATTATGTAGAAGTTACCATAATACCATGCTTTACTGTGTCCCCAGGCCAACCTCTTCTCCCCACTTCCCTGTCAGGAGGGGACCTAGGTCTGTACTTCCCAGTCAAGGCAGAAGCCATCAGCTTCCTGCCCTGCCTCTTCACCTTATCTTCTACTCTTCTCTAGCCTTCTCCACACCTCAGAGTAAGGCCAGCCCATCTACTCTGCCCACCTGCTTAGACACCACGTGTCCTCCCTCACTCCCCCAGGGCCTGTTCCAAGTATCAATGGCCAGTGGGACTTACAGGCCACTCTCCTGGGGCACTTGTGTTGTGAAAGAAGGTTCGTGTTTTAAATCAAAACCTCTTGGCAGCATTCCCCAGAGGGTGTGTTTTGATGTGTAGTGGGCACTGTGAACTGTGGCCCATCTCCTGGCTGATGTGTGTGTAGGCTGCTTATGGCTCACATCTGCATTCTTCTCTAGAGAACCATCCTCAGCTGAGGGGATCTCCTTTCAAGGAGGGTTACACTTCCCTTCCCCCCCACAGCCAGTCAATGGCTGAATGATATGGGGCACAAAAGGGAAGCCCCTCTTGCCTCAAGGTGAGGACAACTCTTTGGTGTAATTTTTGTTCCAGAGTCCCTCAGCCAGACTTTATCTGAGACCACAACCATTTTGAGCCCCCATGCCTTTCCTTTACAGGTTTTCCCTAAGAGCACAGCATCATTAGACCATGTGTTCCCAATTCCCTTTCTCAGGCTCTGCTTCTAGGGAACCCCACTTAGGATGATGGGAAAGAGGCTTTGGGAGATAATGCGATGCCTTGGTAAAAATCTCAGCACTTACGTGAACACCTGGATGGATATCTCAAATCCCAAACCCTTCTCTGTGGTTCAGTCTACAACTCTAATCTACAAGGCATGGGTCACAATCTGCTAGTTTTCCCCTACACTTACAGTGGTCTGAAGCACTGTGAAAGGTGGTTCCACAGCTTTGCCCCAACCCTGCCTAGGAGGCTGGGTTAGCCCACAGTTTTTCCTGATCTTCCACAGGGTTCTGAATCTGTGGTGATCTTGGGTTTCAAGAAAAGATTTGAAACAGACTTGGGATTGCAGATTCCTTGCATATTCCTGCACCGCACTCAGTGCTGCACGCCTCAGAGCTGGCCAGCGCTGCTGCACAAAATCAGGCACAGGCTCACTCCTACTTCATACGAGTGATACACCCATCGCACTAAAGCTTCTCTACACAGCCGCACATCCCAGAATCTGATGAGTGTGGACCACCTGTACTTGCCCCAGTGCTCTGGTTTCCAGGGACTCTTGGGTTGAGCATTCTGTAACTCAACTGCCAATTCAGCAAGCTACCATTCTTGCTTCTTCACCTCACTCATTCTCCCACCAATAAAACATTCATTAAGCACCTACTATCCACCAATCTAAGCTCTGAAAACAGTCTAGGAACAGAGGCAAGTTCAGGGACCAAGTGGCCAGCCAGTTCACGAACTCGAGGGGATTGTAACTTCTAACAGCCTGAGAATTGTCTGAAAGTGTTTAAGTCCCACAGTAGTCACAAGTAACCCCTAAGACTGTTTATTTTATCATTTTGCAGATCAGAAAAGGGAGACCCAGAGAGGAGGTGTGTCCTGGCTGCGGTCTCCTGAGCAGCCAGGCCCACGGCTCTCTCAACTTTTGGGCCATTATTTCTGCTCTGTGCAGCTGCCACCTTGGGTGCTGAGTATGAGCTTTAAGGTTCTGACCTGATTCTTTTGGGCAATCTTTTGTCCCTTTTTCCAGCGGAGAACTGGTGTCAGAGGCGGCAGTTCCCTCTCCTCCTCTCCAGTCACATGCTCACTGAGGCTGTAGGCTGCTTCAAACACGATCGGGCTGATGACGTCCTGCACCCTCCGCTGAAACAATAAACAAATACGTGCATTAACTACTAATCCTGGCTGACAGTCGTAGAGCATTTCACAGTTTACAAAGACCTTCTACATGAATTGCCTCATATAATCCTCACAATCACCCTCGTGAGGTAGGGTTTTATGACTTTCATATTTTAAATGAGGTAATTGAGGCCTAGGGCAGCTAGTGTCTTGTCCAAGGTCATTCTGTTGATGGGTGGGGGCTCTCCTTCTCTACCTTGCATGGTGCTAAATCATCTTCTCTTGAGCATATGGAAGACATTACTTTACTCATCCTCCAAATATTCTTAGAAACCAGTTGGCAAATGGGAGAACATCTGTGCTCACTCTGCTAACCCTTTGCATTCAGTGTTTCGATGACCACATCTCTTTTGCATTGAGATAAATATGGATTTTGTGTTAGGGCAGGGAATCCAAAGACTGAGTGGCCCAGCGTTATCCCAGAATTAGACATCAGCGGAGGCAAGGATGAAATTCTGACTCCTGGCCCTGTGTTCTTTCCTTTGGAATCCAAGAATCTCAAGCCCCAAGGGAACAGTCGATTGACAGTCACGATGGGAAAGGAAGGGAGGAGAGCAAACATGCCCTGAACATATGAGATGCCAGGTACTGTGCTAGGTGCTGCAAGGAGATGAGAAACACACCCACGCCCTGTGAGTGAAGGCTTGTTATCCTCCATTATACAGAAAAGGAAAGGGGAAATGAAAGGCTCAGTTCCCCAGGGCACATGGCTGGTAAAGATTTTCAGTCACATCTGTTCAGCCCTGGAGCTCTTGGCTTTTCTGCACACAGCGTCACTGCCTCCTGGGGACTCTGGCCCCCACAATCTCACAAGTTAGAGTTAGACGCAGGAGTAAAGCTGGTAGGTGGTCCCACATTCTGAGACAGTGAGCTCGGCGGGGGTGCGTGTGGGCTGCTCCAAGGACTTCCAAGTGGAGCAGGGCAAGTCTGAGACGTGTCAAAGGAAAGTGGCTCAAACAGCCGAGTCCCTGGGGAGACAGGAGAGTGGCAGCAGGGAAGAATGAGAAGAGAAGCTGGGCGGGCAGGCTGAGGCCAACCTCAGGGCCACAAGTGCAGAGATGAGGACTTCATACTACTCTCTGTGTGAAGTTTGGGGGCGTTTGGAGCAGAGTAGCACTGTGTTCAAAGAAGTAGAGGTTCTAAAGGCCCCAGGAGGCACACGGGGAGGAATTTGCTCCCACCCCTCCCCGACACCCAGCCCCCTTCCCCAGAGGCAGATGTGCCTGCCAGTTTGGGGGTACTTAGGTATCCATCCAGTCCAAGCATCTGCAGCACATGGTGGCATCTCATGCTGCACTTTGCTTTAGTCACTTAGCATATATTCTGGAAATTGTCTATGTCAGGAACACCTTCTTTTTGATGACATACAGCATGTCACTATATGGATGCCCTTGCTGACCAATGTTTGGGCTCAAAGCTACCTGAACAAGCAAATGGGGAGCAGCCCATCCACAAACTGTAGCAGCATTCACCCAGATTGGTCCTATGAACCTCAGTTCCCTAGGACTGGGGTAAATAAGAGTCTGAAATTAAATAGACTGCATGGGACACCAAGTTAAACAAAGTTAAAGAGGATTTTATTCTGTTTTGTTTGTTGTTTCCGTTTTTACTGCCACTGCCTCCAAGTAAGCGGTGGTAGTCCTACGTGTACGGGGCCACAGAAGCTTGTGTTTCTTCAGAGTTCCTCGGGGCTGCGGGGGGAGAGGAGGTGAGTAGAATGCATGCAGAGACACTGGAGGGCAGACTGGAAATCTCCCGCAGCAGCCCCAGAGAGGAGACGGCCATGATGAAGTGGAGTGGCAAGGGCAAGAGAGGCAGATATGGCCATGCCTGTGGCTGCTGAGCTGTGAGGCATGGGAGACCAGGCAAAGGGGACAGATGACTCCCGGGGTGGGAGCCCGAGTGACTGGCAGATGATTTTTACTGGTGTTCAGGAAAACATTCGGCTGGGAATAGATTCAATCATTCAGCATAAATAAAACACAGGACTTCTCCAAGAGAGTGATAGGGGAGCCTTTGGACAAATTGTTTCCAGAAAACGCCTCTTGAACTCCAGATATCGGGGCAGACCTTTGATACTCATGTCCCTCTGGGAGCAAAGCACACAACCCCAGGATCCAGATCCTCCCTGCCCGCTGACTCTGCTAACCAGAATTTGAAGACTGCCCGCGGTGTGGAGAAGGATGAATGAATGCAATCTTTATGTGTTTAAAAATAAATTCTTCAGTGTTTCCCTAAGGCTGACTATCTTAAGGTTTTGCATTTAAATCCTTAATGATGAAATAAGTCAGTTATGATGTTGTTATTCTAGGGGAGGAGGTGAAGATGGGGGTAGGGAAACAGAAGTCATTTACTATTTCCTGGCTACCAAATGTGTTCCAGAGACTGGGCCAAGCTCTTCACAGACACTGTCTTTCTTAATCCTTACAATACCTGAGCTGGCAGATTATTGACCCCCACCTTCCACTTTTTTTTTGAGACAGAGTCTTGCTCTGTTTCCCAGAAGTGGGACAATCATAGCTCACTGCAGCCTTGAACTCTTAAGCTCAAGCAATCTTCCTGCCTCAGCCTCCTGAGTAGCTGGGACTACAGTTGGATACTACCATGCCTAGCTAACTTTCATTCTTTTATTTCTTTTATTTATTTTTTATTTTGTAGAGATGGGGTCTCACTATGTTGCCCAAGGTGGTCTTGAACTCCTGGCCTCAAGTGATTCTTCTGCCTCATCTTCCCAAAGTGCTGGGATTAAAAGTGTGAGCCACAGCACCAGCCATTGCCCCCCGTTTTATAGACAAGATCACAGAGGTGCAGAAGCTCAAATAAATGTCCCTCCATCCCAAAGCTAGCAAGTGAAACCAGAAGCAAAACTACTTTTCTTGCTGTCCATAAAATACTATTTTAAAACCACCCCAACTACATCAGGTTCTGACATCATCCTAAAAAATTACTTGTTTACATAACAGCATATAGGGTGAGGGGAAAAATGTTTCACACACAAGGATGAATGGGAATAAGTGACAAATAATTAAGAAATAGGGGCTTGAAGTAAGGGCTGTTTCTAAATGCAGCCATTCAAGCCATGGTGGCTGAGGAGGGAAACCTGAGTCGTGGCATATCTTATTTTGGATGAGTAATGCATTTGGACATGTAGGGGTGCGAATGCTGCTTCCTGGCAATGGCTGCCGGAACCTATTTTAATTAAGAAGTCTGAAAAGCAGCTTCTTATTACATGTCCCAGTAGCTCTGGGCAGAAGGGACCCAAACCACACTGAGGCATGGGTGGAGGCAGAGGAGGGTGCAGCAATTAGAAACAGGCCAACACCCCCAAAAGGACAGCCCCTTCTTCCCACACTGGGCCTGTTTTATCTGAGCTGCAAAGGAAAAGTAGCAGCACAATTTAGCGGTTTCCTTTTCATTTTTGGATATGCAGCTTCCCTGAGCTCAGCACTGCAATTAAGCAGAGAAACTCCTTAGGATGGAGAAAGAGGCTTAGGGCTCTGGCACAGACCATAGTCGCTGAAATTTTACTGCTTAAAAAAAATAACGCTACAAACTGAAAATTCTAAAATTGAAGCTTCTGCAGTTCTAAAGCATCTAATAAAGTGTCATTCTGACAGACTAAAAGGCAAGAATCTACCTTTTCCTGCTAAAAATCTATGGGAGTCTCCTGTCTCTGAAAACTGAAGGAGTCCCCACAGAGGAGAACACCCAGGCTGGTGGCAGAATTTGCAGCAGCTGAGGTTTTATAGGGAACTTAACATATGCTCCATCTGAAATTTATTGGGTGCTTACTTTATGCCAGGCAATGTGCTGGGCCACAGGGAAACAGAGATGAAAGACCTTCAGGGAATAATGAGTCTCAGGGGAAACAGACAAGAGATGACAACGCAGTGCAACACATACCAGGACAGGGGAGGCTTTGGGGACCCAAAGGTTCAGACTGAGGGCTGGCAGGCTTCCCAGAGGAAATGCCCCTGGGCACAGTCAAAAGACAGTAGGACATCAGGCAGAGAGCAGGGGCAAGGCAGGGGTGGTATAGCCACATGGAGAGGGCATGGGCTGTCCAGCGGACTGCATCTGACTCCCAAAGGTGGGAAGTCAAGTTGATAGGCAGCAATAGGGTAGAGAAGATTCATGCAGAACCAGATCTCAGGGCACTTTGCAGGTTATGTGATCTTAAAAGCTAGGGAGAGCTGGGAAGGGGGTAGCATGATCCTAGAGGCTGTTATAGAAAAGTCCCTCTTGGCTGGGCATGGTGGCTCACGTCTGTAATCCCAGCACCTTAAGAGGCTGAGGAAGGCGGATGACCTGAGGTCAGAAGTTTGAGACCAGCCTGGCCAACGTGGTGAAACCCCATCTCTACTAAAAATACAAAAATTAGCCGGGCGTGGTGGAGCACGCCTATAATCCCAGCTACTCAGGAGGCTGAGGCAGGAGAATTGCTTGAACCCAGGAGGCGGAGGTGCAGTGAGCTGCAATCACACTACTGCACTCCAGCCTGGGTGACAGAGCAAGACTCTGTCTCAAAAATAAATAAATAAAATAAATAAAAATCCCTCTGACAGGGGCAGGGAGGCCAACATGGAGGCAGCAGGAGGCTGTGTTCTAGAAAGGTCCCTGTAGCTGCCGTGTGGCAGTGGACTGATGGGTGCAGGACTGGGGAGAAACAGGCTAAGGAGGAGGCTGCCACATGGGTTTAGTGGAAAGAGAGTAAGGGCTTGCACCAGGACCCAGCAGCAGAGATGGAGAAGAGGGGACCTCATCTGCCCAGCCAAAGGAAGACACGCATTTCAATTCGGGAGAAATATCTGAGTGACTTGATTCCCACCCTCACTCTATGACCCGAAGAAAGCTGGACCTGGGAACCCTGGCACCCCTAACTGGCCACCTGACCTAGAAGCCTACCTAATTGCTGCTTGTCTCCATTAAAAAAAAAAAAAAAAAAAAAAAGGGTTTTTTTTCTTCCTTAGCTAACCAGCAGCTGCCGGGGTAAATTAAAGGAAAACAGGAAGGGTTGGCCCCACTTTAAATTTGTAAATAAAGCAGAAGGTCAGCAAATAAGCAGTTAGCATTAAGCCAGATAATTAGTTTAGGGAAAATCTTCTAAGTGTTTTTAAAAGAGGATTCACCAAACATGTGATCTTTTTATCCCCTCCATCCTCCATCCTTTCTTACTATTTCTCTGCATCCAACCCTACTTTCACCTATGATAATCTTGTAGACACTCCTAGAAACGAGAAATCTTCAGAAGTGGGATGCCTTTTCCTTTATCTCTATACTCATAATAAATAAGATCACAGTTAAAATGTTATAAGCTACTTTAAAATTTTCATCAGCTTGAAGACTCTTTTAAAAGAAAACAGGATTTTGCATTTCCAGTAATGATAGAGTAACTTACTGAAACCGTCCTCCCACGGACAACTCGAAAAGCTGGACACACACACACACACACACACACAGACACACACACACACACATACACACACACACCCCTGTTTAAAATTATCATGGAACTTATGTTTGAAATGCCAGGTTCATTTAAAAAAATTAAAAATATATAAAGTTATCAGGGAACTAACTATCAAGACAGCCAGGACTTCAGAGTATAGGGTCCCAAAGAGAAGGAAAGAATGTGGAGGTAACCCCAACATTTATGGGCACTTTTCCCTTGAGGTGTTTCCAGATTTGTAAGCAGTGTGGGATGAGAGGCTATGAAACTGAAAGTGAAGCAGTGGCTAAAAAGCTAAGTTCTTGAGTTTCTAAGCTGAATTTCTGGAAGTCTTATGACTCTGTGAAGACAAAACTTAAGAGCTCAGGGCTAATAACGCAATGAGGACTTGAGGGGCGAAAATCCCAAACAGAAATAAGTATATTGAGGTATGTTTACTGTACGCCACAATTGTCCTCAAGGCATCTGCCAATTCTACAGCAGCACGGGGCTGTGAGACTAAGAAACCAGGCAGAGGACAGTGGTTAAGGTGCTGACATATTTTACTGGAGATTGAACACAGCAGAAAAGACGACCAGTGACCCAGAAGTTGTTTGCTTTTTAATTTATAGGATTGTGAATGAAATCACACTGGGCCTCAGTGTATTCTCTCAATAGGAAATATCCAGATCAAAGCATGGAGAGGAAAAAGGAAGGAAAATTCAGAAATAAACATAACAGACATACAGGACACAGTGCAAGGTATAACATATTTGTAATCAGATAATAAATAATATTTATAATTATAAAATATACCTTGTATAATGACTGACATACTGTAGGCAAGCAATAAATGGTGATCATTACCATTTTTAATGCATTTTTTTTTTGACAGAGTTTCACTCTGTGCAGTGCAGTGGCGCAATCTCAGCTCATTGCAATCTCTGCCTCCCAGGTTCAAGTGATTCTCCTGCCCCAGCCTCCAGAGTAGCTGGGAATTCAGGCACACACCACCACGCCCAGCTAATTTTTTGTATTTTTAGTAGAGACGGGGTTTTCACCATGTTGGCCAGGCTGATCTCAAACTCCTAATCTCAGGTGATCTACCCGCCTTGGCCTCCCAAAATGCTGGGATTGCAGATATAAGCCACTGCGCCCGGCCTTTAATACAATTTTTTAAATGGCAACTATGATATTAAAATCTATAAAAAGCTCCCTATTATGAAATAAATCCTTATTATAAACTGTACCTGTAGCAAGAACCTATTTCCCAGAGAATAAACTGAGGCCAAGTATAGTTTCATTTACAATCCTATAAATTAAAAAGTAAACAAGGCTGGGCACGGTGGCTCACACCTCTAATCCCAGCACTTTGGGAGGCCGAGGCAGGTGGATCATGAGGTCAGAAGATCGAGACCATCCTGGCTAACACGGTGAAACCCTGTCTCTACTAAAAAATACAAAAAAATTAGCCAGGCCTGGTGGCGGGCGCCTGTAGTCCCAGCTGCTTGGGAGGCTGAGGCAGGAGAATGGTGTGAACCTGGGAGGTGGAGCTTGCAGTGAGCCGGGGAAAAAAAAAAAAAAAGTAAACAAACAAAAATTTAAATTAAAGCCAAAGAAGAAAATTCTAAAATAATTTTAAACAAAACTTTATGACAAGCACAGCTGACTACAACAGTCTTCTAAGACAGAACTTCAACCAGAAAGGAAGAGACAATGCTTGAACTGTTTGAACTAGTTCAGTTATAAATATTGACTTGACAGAGCTCCAAAAACCAGGTGAATTCAAAGAACTCCAGAAATTCTGTCATGAGAGCAGGAAATAAGTGGTAAGAAAATCAGTGTACCTTGTTTCTGAAAATTTCTCAATCAGATTAGAGATTTTAATATGACTATATATTAGTTTATAAGCAATTGCACATATAGTAATGGATATCATCATTAGTCTGAAATGTATAACCCTTTGGCAAGCATCAGTGCTCAGGAGGGTCAAAAAAGCACCAATTACTCTTCAATTAACATATTTGCAAAAATTGTTCATCTATGAAAATCACATAACCCCACTGATGCTTTTTTCTCTTCAAAGGTAAAACAATATGTAGCTGGATATTTGGGAATGGTTTGATTTTGCATTGAAAAGTCTGTGTGTGTGTCGGGGGCTGGGGTGTTAACTGTGGCTGTAGGAACTGGATCTCAGCTCTGTCTTGAGCTCCCTGGGTCTCCTGGACAATACTGAACATGCTCTTGTCCAAAAGCATGGAATATAGCAGCAGTGGCCAGGTACCGGCATCCAGGCAGGGCCAGGGATGGCAGGTCTGTGGGTATGGGGGAACAACGAAAGAGTGCATGGACATTTTGTTAATTCTCTGGAGGAACCTCAATTGGTGTATTAGTCTGTTCTCATGCTGCTGATAAAGACATACCCAAAACTGGGTAATTTATAAAGTAAAAGAGGTTTAATGGACTCACAGTTCCATATGGCTGGGGAGGCCTCACAACCATGGTGGAAGGCAAAAGGCACATCTTACATGGCAGCAGACAAGAGAGAATGAGAGCCAAGTGAAAGGAGTTTCCCCTTATAAAAGCATCAGACCTCATGAGACTTATTCACTACCATAAGAACAGTATGGGGAAAATCACCCCCATGATTCAATTATCTCCCACCAGGTCCCTCCCACAGCATGTGGGAATTATAAGAGCTAAAATTCAAGATGAGATTTGGGTGGGGACACAGCCAAACCATATAATTTGCCTTCTGCCAACACTTGGTTGCTGTGTGCCTTATGCCTGGCATCATGAGGCATAGGGAAGCTGAGAAGAGAAAAATAGGAGGAGTGTGAGCAAAAAACTGTGGTGCAGAGAAGGTGCCCTTACAAGAATGGTGGCAATCCAATGAGGGAAGAATAGCTTCTGACCCAGAGTGGGTAGAAGTGCAAGTGTCAAGAATCCTTGTAGAGGGGTGACCCTGGGAGTTCCTCAGGCTGATGGGGCACCTTCTCAGTTGGTGAAGATACTATGGAGGTCTAATAAACACTAGACATCTGAGGAAGAGAGGTGACAGGACCAGGCAAAGCGACAACTTTGATGTCAGCCAGTTCAAGGTCAGAGGGGGTCCAAGCTCCATTTCTTGCAAACTGCAACCTTGGCCACTTTACTTACTCTCTCTGAGCTTGTTTTCTCAGATGTAAAATGGGATGACAGAATCAACCTTGCATGCTTGTTGTGAAGATTAGAGAAATGGATGTCAAGCACCTTGGAGAGCTCCTGACACTCTAAAAAAGCCAGTTGCCCCTACAACACCATCACCACCGCCACCTGAGAAAGGTCTGTGGGGCAAGATCACGGGGGAGGGGCAGGGAGGGACTATGGACAGGGAAGGAGAGCAGGCTGGAACCAGGTCACGGGACCTCAGTGCCCTAGCCGCTACATGCATTGCTTATGCCCACAACTTTCTCAGGAGAACTGCCCTTGGGTGACAGGAGCCATCTCCTCCAGCGAAGCCTGCAAGTGACGCCCTGTGACAGGCAGAATCCTAAAATGATGCCAGTGACCCATGCCCCTGTATAATCTTCTCCCTTTGAGGGTAGGAAGGACTGGACATATGATGGTTCTCACTCCTGTGATGTTACATTAAATGGCAAAGGTGAGGGGAGTTTGCAGATGTAATTAAAGTTCTGAATCAGCTCAATTGAGTGAATCAGAAAGGATGGCGTGAATTGGCCTACTCAAGTGACCCCTTTCACAGGGAGGAATAGCTTCTGACCCAGAGTGGGTTGGAGTGCAAGTGTCAAGAATCCTTGGAGAGCAGTGAGCTAAGAGACTGGAAGGCTGAGCTAAGAGACTGGAAGGCTGAGCTAAGAGACTAGAAGCAGCAAAAAGAGTCTTCTGCTAGTCTTGAAGAAGCAAGTCACCCTGGGCTCCACAGCTGCAGGAGTGAATTCCAGCAACGGCCATGAGAGCCTGGAGCAAGACCCCAAGCCGCATAAAAGATCTGGCTGGCACCTTGAGTACGGCCTTGTGAAACGCTAAGCAGGCCATGCTCAGACTCCTAACTGACAAAAACTGTGAGATAGTAACTTTATGCTGTTTTAAGCTGCTAAATTTGTAATTTTTGAAGTGGCCTAGAAAACTAATACCTGCCCCATTCCCTAGCTGGCAGATGCAGCAGGATAACACCCCATCCCCCTTGCTGCTGGGTGGGATAAGCTCTGCTCCAGAGCTTCTGCACGGGATCAGGCTGAGGCTAGACTTTTCCTGAGACCACATCCTTACTCAACATTTTTTTCTCTGTCCCTTTCTGTTTTCCTCACTTCTGAGAGCACTCCCCCAATAAATCTCTGGCAAAAATCCCCATCTCAGATTCTGCTTCTGAAATCCAAGATACCATGTAATAAATTCCATACTTAATTTGTGGGCTTAAAATTCCTAAAGAGGTGAGAAGAGCTGGATACAGTGCTAGGGTCACCCTAGCACTCCAGGATGATGTGGACCAGGCAGATCCATATCAGTAGTGGAGAGGCATGGGGAGTTACATGCAGAGTCTCATTTTGACACTTCCTTGCCATTAAGTTCAACTTGGAGTTTTACTTTGTCCTTTTAAAATTTATTCTTAAAAATAACAGCGAAGACGGCCAAATAGGAACAGCTCCAGTCTACTGCTCCCAGCATGAGTGACACAGAAGACGGGCGATTTCTGCATTTCCAACTGAGGTACTGGGTTCACCTCACTGGGGAGTGTCAGACAGTGGGTGCAGGACAGTGGGTGCAGCACACCAAGCGTGAGCCGAAGCAGGGCGAGGCATCACCTCACCTGGGAAGCACAAGGGGTCAGGGCATTCCCTTTCCTAGTCAAAGAAAGGGGTGACAGATGGCACCTGGAAAATCGGGTCACTCCTACCCTAATACTGCGCTTTTCCAACAGTCTTAGCAAACAGCACACGAGGAGATTATATCCCGTGCCTAGCTCGGAGAGTCCTACGCCCACGGAGCCTTGCTCATTGCTAGCACAGCAGTCTGAGATCAAACTGCAAGGCAGCAGCAAGGCTGGGGGAGGGGCGCCCACCATCGCCAAGGCTTGACTAGGTTAACAAAGTGGCTGAGAAGCTCGAACTGAGTGGAGCCTACCGGAGCTCAAGGAGGTCTGCCTGCCTCTGTAGACTCCACCTCTGGGGGTAGGGGATAGCCAAACAAAAGGCAGCAGAAACCTCTGCAGACTTAAATGTCCCTGTCTGACAGCTTTGAAGAGAGTAGTGGTTCTCCCAGCAGGCAGCTTGAGATCTGAGAATGGACAGACTGCCTCCTCAAGTGGGTCCCTGGCCCCCGAGTAGCCTAACTGGGAGGCATCCCCGAGTAGGGGCAGACTGACACCTCACACGGCCAGGTACTCCTCTGAGACAAAACTTCCAGAGGAATGATCAGGCAGCTACATTTGCTGTTCACCAATATCCACTGTTCTGCAGCCTCCGCTGCTGATACCCAGGCAAACAGGGTCTGGAGTGGACCTCTGGCAAACTCCAACAGACCTGCAGCTGAGGGTCCTGACTGTTAGAAGGAAACCTAACAAACAGAAAGCACATCCACACCAAAACCCCATCTGTACATCACCATCATCAAAGACCAAAGGTACATAAAACCACAAAGATGGGGAAAAAACAGAGCAGAAAAACTGGAAACTCTAAAAATGAGAGTGCCTCTCCTCCTCCAAAGGAACGCAGCTCCTCACCAGCAACGGAACAAAGCTGGATGGAGAATGACTTTGATGAGTTCAGAGAAGAAGGCTTCAGACGATCAAACTACTCTGAGCTAAAGGAGGAAGTTTGAACCCATGGCAAAGAAGTTAAAAACCTTGAAAAAAATTAGATGAATGGCTAACTAGAATAACCAATGCAGAGAAGTCCTTAAAAGACCTGATGGAGCTGAAAACCATGGCACGAGAACTACGTGACGAATGCCCAAGCCTCAGTAGCCAATTCGATCAACTAGAAGAAAGGATATCAGTGAAGGAAGATCAAATGAATGAAATGAAGCAAGAAGAGAAGTTTAGAGAAAAAAGAATAAAAAGAAACGAACAAAGCCTCCAAGAAATATGGGACTATGTGAAAAGACCAAATCTACGTCTGATTGGTGTACCTGAAAGTGACGGGGAAAATGGAACCAAGTTGGAAAACACTCTGCAGGATATTATCCAGGAGAACTTCCCCAGTCTAGCAAGGCAGGCCAACATTCAAATTCAGGAAATACAGAGAATGCCACAAAGATACTCCTCGAGAAGAGCAACTCTAAGACACATAATTGTCAGATTCACCAAAGCTGAAATGAAGGAAAAAATGTTAAGGGCAGCCAGAGAGAAAGGTCGGGTTACCCACAAAGGGAAGCCCATCAGACTAACAGTGGATCTCTCAGCAGAAACCCTACAAGCCAGATGGGAGTGGGGGCCAATATTCAACATTCTTAAAGAAAAGAATTTGCAACCCAGAATTTCATATCCAGCCAAACTAAGCTTCATAAGTGAAGGAGAAATAAAATCCTTTACAGACAAGCAAATGCTGAGAGATTTTGTCACCACCAGGCCTGCCCTAAAAGAGCTCCTGAAGGAAGCACTAAACATGGAAAGGAACAACCATTACCAGCCACTGCAAAAACATGCCAAATTGTAAAGACCATCAAGGCTAGGAAGAAACTGCATCAACTAATGAGCAAAATAACCAGCTAACATCATAATGACAGGATCAAATTCACACATAACAATATTAACCTTAAATGTAAATGGGCTAAATGCTCCAATTAAAAGACAGACTGGCAAATTGGATAAAGAGTCAAGACCCATCAGTGTGCTGTATTCAGCAGACCCATCTCACGTGCAGAGACACACATAGGCTCAAAATAAAGGGATGGAGGAAGATCTACCAAGCAAACGGAAAACAAAAAATGGCAGGGGTTGCAATCCTAGTCTCTGATAAAACAGACTTTAAACCAACAAAGATCAGAAGAGACAAAGAAGGCCATTACATAATGGTAAAGGGATCAATTCAACAAGAAGAGCTAACTATCCTAAATATATATGCACCCAATACAGGAGCACCCAGATTCATAAAGCAAGCCCTTAGTGACCTACAAAGAGACTCAGACTCCCACACAATATAATGGGAGACTTTAACACCCCACTGTCAACATTAGACAGATCAACGAGACAGAAAGTTAACAAAGATATCCAGGAATTGAACTCAGCTCTGCACCAAGTGGACCTAATAGACATCTACAGAACTCTCCACCCCAAATCAACAGAATATACATTCTTTTCAGCACCACACCACACCTGTTCCAAAACTGACCACATAGTTGGAAGTAAAGCTCTCCTCAGCAAATGTAAAAGAACAGAAATTATAACAAGCTGTCTCTCAGACCACAGTGCAATCAAACTAGAACTCAGGATTAAGAAATTCACTCAAAACCGCTCAACTACATGGAAACTGAACAACCTGCTCCTGAATGACTACTGGGTACATAACAAAATGAAGGCAGAAATAAAGATGTTCTTTGAAACCAATGAGAACAAAGACACAACATACCAGAATCTCTGGGACACATTCAAAGCAGTGTGTAGAGGGAAATTTACAGCACTAAATGCCCACAAGAGAAAGCAGGAAAGATCTAAAATTGACAACCTAACATCACAATTAAAAGAACTAGAGAAGCAAGAGCAAACACATTCAAAAGCTAGCAGAAGGCAAGAAATAACCAAGATCAGAGCAGAACTGAAGGAAACAGAGACACAAAAAACCCTTCAAAAAAATCAATGAATCCAGGAGCTGTTTTTTTGAAAAGATCAACAAAATTGATAGACCGCTAGCAAGACTAATGAAGAAAAGAGAGAAGAATCAAATAGACACAATAAAAAATGATAAAGGGGATATCACCACCGATCCCACAGAAATACAAACTACCATCAGAGAATACTATAAACACCTCTACGCAAATAAACTAGAAAATCTAGAAGAAATGGATACATTCCTCGACACATACACCCTCCCAAGACTAAACCAGGAAGAAGTTGAATCTCTGAATAGACCAATAACAGGCTCTGAAATTGAGGCAACAATTAATAGCTTACCAACCAAACAACATCCAGGACCAGATGGATTCACAGCCGAATTCTACCAGAGGTACAAGGAGGAGCTGGGACTATTCCTTCTGAAACTATTCCAATCAACAGAAAAAGAGGGAATCCTCCCCAATTCATTTTATGAGGCCAGCATCATCCTGATACCAAAGCCTGGCAGAGACACAACCAAAAAAGAGAATTTTAGACCAGTATCCCTGATGAACATCGATGTAAAAATCCTCAATAAAATACTGGCAAACCGAATCCAGCAGCACATCAAAAGCCTTATCCACCACGATCAAGTGGGCTTCATCCCTGGGATGCAAGGCTGGTTCAACATACGCAAATCAATAAACATAATCCAGCATATAAACAGAACCAGCGACAAAAACCACATGATTATCTCAATAGATGCAGAAAAGGCCTTTGACAAAATTCAACAATGCTTCATGCTAAAAACTCTCAATGGATTAGGTATTGATGGGACCTATCTCAAAATAACAAGAGCTATCTATGACAAACGCACAGCCAATATCATACTGAATGGGCAAAAACTGGAAGCATTCCCTTTGAAAACTGGCACAACACAGGGATGCCCTCTCCCACCACTCCTATTCAACATAGTGTTGGAAGTTCTGGCCAGGGCAATCAGGCAGGAGAAGGAAATAAAGGGTATTCAATTAGGAAAAGAGGAAGTCAAATTGTCCCTGTTTGCAGATGACATGATTGTATATCTAGAAAACTCCATCATCTCAGCCCAAAATCTCCTTAAGCTGATAAGCAACTTCAGCAAAGTCTCAGGATGCAAAATCAATGTGCAAAAATCACAAGCATTCTTATACACCAATAACAGACAAACAGAGAGCCAAATCATGAGTGAACTCCCATTCACAATTGCTTCAAAGAGAATAAAATACCTAGGAATCCAACTTACAAGGGATGTGAAGGACCTCCTCAAGGAGAACTACAAACCACTGCTCAATGAAATAAAAGAGGATACAAACAAATGGAAGAACATTCCATGCTCATGGGTAGGAAGAATCAATATCGTGAAAATGGCCATACTGCCCAAGGTAATTTATAGATTCAATGCCATCCCCATCAAGCTACCAATGACTTTCTTCACAGAATTGGAAAAAACTACTTTCAAGTTCATATGGAACCAAAAAAGAGCCCGCATCGCCAAGTCAATCCTAAGCCAAAAGAACAAAACCGGAGGCATCACGCTACCTGACTTCAAACTATACTACAAGGCTACAGTAACCAAAACAGCATGGTACTGGTACCAAAACAGAGATATAGATCAATGGAACAGAACAGAGCCCTCAGAAATAATGCCGCATATCTACAACTATCTGATCTTTGACAAACCTGACGAAAACAAGCAATGGGGAAAGGATTCCCTATTTAATAAATGGTGCTGGGAAAACTGGCTAGCCATATGTAGAAAGCTGAAACTGGATCCCTTCCTTACACCTTATACAAAAATTAATTCAAGATGGATTAAAGACTTAAATGTTAGACCTAAAACCATAAAAACCCTAGAAGAAAACCTAGGCAACACCATTCAGGACATAGGCATGGGCAAGGACTTCATGTCTAAAACACCAAAAGCAATGGCAACAACAGCCAAAATTGACAAATGGGATCTAATTGAACTAAAGAGCTTCTGCACAGCAAAAGAAACTACCATCAGAGTGAACAGGCAACCTACAGAATGGGAGAAAATTTTTGCAATCTACTCATCTGACAAAGGGCTAATATCCAGAATCTACAATGAACTCAAACAAATTTACAAGAAGAAAACAAACAACCCCATCAACAAGTGGGCAAAGGATATCAACAGACACTTCTCAAAAGAAGACATTTATGCAGCCAAAAGACACATGAAACAATGCTCATCATCAGTGGCCATCAGAGAAATGCAAATCAAAACCACAATGAGATACCATCTCACACCAGTTAGAATGGTGATCATTAAAAAGTCAGGAAACAACAGGTGCTGGAGAGGATGTGGAGAGATAAGAACACTTTTACACTGTTGGTGGGATTGTAAACTAGTTCAACCATTGTGGAAGTCAGTGTGGTGATTCCTCACAGATCTAGAACTAGAAATACCATTTGACCCAGCCATCCCATTACTGGGTATATACCCAAAGGATTATAAATCATGTTGCTATAAAGACACATGCACACGTATGTTTATTGTGGCACTATTCACAATAGCAAAGACTTGGAACCAACCCAAATGTCCAACAATGATAGACTGGATTAAGAAAATGTGACACATATACACCATGGAATACTATGCAGCCATAAAAAATGATGACTTCATGTCCTTTGTAGGGACATGGATGAAGCTGAAAACCATCATTCTCAGCAAACTATCGCAAGGACAAAAAACCAAACACCGCATGTTCTCACTCATATGTGGGAATTGAACAATGAGAACACATGGACACAGGAAGGGGAACATCACATACTGGGGACTGTTGTGGGGTGGGGGGCTGGGGGAGGGATAGCATTAGGAGATATACTTAATGATAAATGACGAGTTAATGGGTGCAGCACACCAACATGGCACATGAATACATATGTAACAAACCTGCACGTTGTGCACATGTACCCTAAAACTTAAAGTATAATTAAAAAAAAAAAAAAAGAACAGCACAAGGTCTCCACAAATAAGTCTTAAGGCTCAGATCAGCCCCAGGCCTCCTCAGGGTCATGTTTTGCCCCCATTTTTAGAGCCACTCACAAAATATCTTTGTCTGATGTGTGTGAAGCACTGAGATTTACAAAAGGCAAAGCTCAGAAAGAAAAGGGCTGGGATTAGGACTATCCACAGATTAGTAATGAGCTCCTCAACTCTGAATTGCTAATTTATTACTGCACATCACATAAATGGTCAACTTCTTTTGGCTTGTTTTACTACTGTCAACCAAAAGCATATCTTAAACCAGAAGTTCTTAACCTCGAAGAGAATTCAGGGCATCTGTGGATTTAGATAGAGGAAAAGAATTTTCCTTCTTTATTTTTATTAACCTCTAACTGAAATTTAGCATTTCCTTCCATTATAAAATGTAGGCATCAAACCACAAAAGTATTAGAAAGACCTGTGACTCTACCGTCGATAGAAATCTGAGATATTACACACTATATTATAGTTGTAGACACCTTGAAATATTGTTTATGCTTAACAGTACTCAAAATGTCTGTAGATCTTCTTATTTCATGCATCAAGAAAAAGCTGGTATATTATTATATCATAAAGTGGTCTTTAAAAATTTTGATAACTCCATTTCAGTATAACTGAATTTCTTTGTAATTCTATGTATTTTATTCTATGTATGTAAAAGCATATTCTGAGAAAGGATCCACGTGCGCTTCCCAACGGCCAAAGGCGTCCACGCACAGAAATGGTTAAGAACTTTTGTCTTACTAGTAATGCCTAATGAGAGAGACCATCCTCTGGTTTTTGAAATGCTTCAAAACTGCAGAAACATTATGTTGTTTCAGTCTTCATAGGTTATGTGAACTCTCTGGTCTCAGCAGTTAAAAATATATCATCCATTACATTTTATGACAGGTTCAGGGCCTGGGCTGAAAATCACCCCAGGGCCCCTGGGGTTTTAAGAATTTGGTCCTGGATAGATGTTTCGGCCAAGGCAGAGCAAAGCTGCTTCAGTGCTCAGAGTTATAGGAAAGCATCTGTTTCCCCGTGTGAGCCCATAGGAAGGGAAGAGCGCAGAGAGTGGGCTCTCTGGGCTCCATGCAGTGTTCTCTGCTTTTACAGAAGAATCCTGACCTTCCCAGGGCAGGCCTGCCACTTCATGAGCCCTGAGAGGGTATCCAGAAAGCTGAGAAGCTTCCCCTAGACCTTAGTGGTGTGTGAAAATCCTGAACCATGACCAAAATGAAGAGAGTCAAAACACTGACCCCACAAGATTTCCAAGTTACTCAAACCACAGTGGGCCTGTCTTCTCAGCTTGGGGGCTAACTGAACCAGCACAATTACCCTGAATGATTTGCAGTTTAGAGAGTGAAGAAAGTAGTTGCTCCCAAACCTGTAATAAAAAAGGTCATCAAAATTCCAATACTTTCATCAAAACTCATTCTTTCTTATAATCTGTTCTACTCTCCTTCTTGCCACCCCATTCCTACTGGTTTTAACAAGGTCACTAATGGCCACCATATTGGATCCAAGGGACATTCTCTCTCTGTCCTCATCTTTCTTGACTCCCCCAGGAGATGGCTTGCTCCTCCTGTCCCCACTGCTCCTTATCCTTCTGAGATGACATCTAAAGCAATAAATGGCATTTACTGGCTAACATATTTATCCCCAACCCCCAGAATTAGACTGAACTCTTTGGTGCAGAGGCCACTCACACTCATCTCAGCATGTCCACCCTTTAGCACAGTGCATAGAACAGAAGTGGACATTCAGCCAATAGGAAGGCACTGGTGCATTTTGAGACCACCATTCCTAAGAAAGGCAGCTTTATTCAATAGACTAACCCTACACCTACAGTCAATATACATGTATAAACATTTTATTAAATATTTACCTGATGCTTTACTTTTTTTTTGCTCTACCCTTACTTCCTTTCAGTGTTTACATCTCACATCTCTTTACTGTTTTTCTTTTCAGATCTTCCCTCATTTTTAACCTTAGCTATTTTAAGCATCTTTAAGCTCAAAAGAAATGGTGTCATACCTATCCACAAAACTTTATTAAAACCACTTAATAAATACCACCTATTACATCTCTTACCTACAGCATTTGGGTTTACTGGATAATGTGAGATCCTGATGCAATAACAGAGACAGACACTGAGCTCCTCTTTGCGGGAAAGGGTGGAAATACTGGCAGATGGATGACTGAGTGAGATTTCCTTTTGTTCCTTTCAGCATCTGCACTCGTAATATTTGGATTCAGCTAACATTGATTGATCACCAATGTGCATGACTGGGCTACCTGCTTTTATAGGTTATCTGATATTATCTCGACATAGGTATTATTTTTCTCCAAACACTGAACCTCGGGCTCAGACAAACTAAGTCTATACTTGTATCATCTTAGAGTTTGCCAATATGATCCCAGGAGATTGTTTAAGCTGTTAGGATTTATAGCAGAACACTCTGAACCATCATTACATTTCCAGAGTCTTTGCAAGTAGGAAGTAAAAAGAACAGAAATCATTGATCATATTTCCTTTTCATTTCTCCCTCTTCTATTTTGGTAAGTTTTATTTCCTTTACCACCTCACCATTAGATGGAAACTTTGAACAAATTTAACATGAACTATGAGTTTTAATTAAACAATTTAGAGAATGAAAAAAATAATCTTCCTCTGGGGTAAATACAATATTAAGTAGCTCTGCCCTCAAAAATGTAAAATCTAATTTAGGAGACACAACAAGCCATTTCACCCAGCCAGCCATTCTAGGTCTGTCCCTCTTTTTCCCCAAAACAAGGCTGCTTATTCCTACTTATCCATCTTGCCTTGGACCTCTCATCCCTCCCCGTCCCCCAGCCAGAGGTCAAGGCAAATCCCAGCATTTCCTCCCTCATGACATTTTCTCCATGTGCCTCTGTCACCCAGTAATAATCAGTGTTGGTGCCACTCATTTGGGCATTCACTTCAGACTGTATTTTCCATAGATGCTTGTAAAGTATCTCCGACTCCACATGCTCTTCTGCAACATGAACTGGCTAATTCTCCCATCAAATGTAGGGTCCAATTCCCCAACCTTGAAGAGAATGCTGGGGGTCTCAGGCCCAGCTAAGCCCAGGCTTCTAGGCCATGCTGCCAAGGTGACAGGCATGTGAATGAAGAAGCTTAGACATGGATTCACCAGCCCCCAACTGTTCAAGTCTCTCCCAGCTGAGGTCCTAGGCATCATGGAGCAGAGACCAGCCATCCCCAATGTGCCCTGTCCCGAATTCCTTGCCCACAATGTCTGTGAGCATGATAAAATTGCTGTTGTTTTACATCATTAAGTTTGGAGTGGTTTGTTCAGCAGCACTAGATAACTAAAAACAATGCATCACAAATTATGGATTTAACAGTGTCATGGGTGGGGACCATGTCATTCCTTGATAAATCTTTCACTGTGCCTGTCACAAGAATGTGCATATAAGTGTTAAAAAAGAAACTCTACTTCAGTCATTCAATAGACTTTTATTTAGATTGTACTCTGAGCAGGGCAGAGTGTGATGAGGTTTTCAAAGGTAAATAAGATACTGTCTTGCGTCATGGGGAGCTTACAATTTTTCTTTAGATAAGCCAAGACCTGTTTGCAAATAGTTCCAATACAAACCTAAAAAGACACAAAGTGAGGTAAAAATTCATAGGAAGAAGAAACCCTTCCCTATTAAAGGGTAGAACATTCTATAGAAGGGCAGGTGTGAGGGGCAGCAGATGAGAGTGGGGTATGTGAGGAGAATGACTGTGTGAGTGTTCCTGATGGAAGAGGCGGGCAAGCATAGAGCATGGCCCGTCTCACAGGCAGGGCAGACAGAGGACAATGGTGTGATTCTCATGAAGAATGTGATGTTCAGTGGAAGAAGGATCAGAGTATGACACCACTTAATTTGGGCGAGTCACACATTTTGGGGATGTTGACCCATACTTTACTGCAGCATGACACAGAGGGCAGAGGCTCTTCCAAACACAAAACACCAGCTTCCAGTGCAAGGAATCTGGAGTTCTGGGGTCCATCAGTCCACCTAGTCCCCCACCTCCCTGAGACAGATAACACTAGGTCTTAATAGCCTCCACTTCAAGGACTACCTTAATCTGAAGTTTCAGAGAAAACCTCAAAGAAACAACAACAACAAAAATCCTCTAGACGTATAAAACACACCATAAAAGAGTTGGTCCTGCTTACAATATAAAACAGTATTTATGTCTTCAACTTTATGTCACTGAAACATCTAGTAAAAGCCTTTTATTGGAAGAGAGAAGTGTCTCCAAGAACTTTAAACACAGCACGATTTGTACTGAGGACAAACTCATCTAAAATGATTCACAAATGCCAATGTACTATCTGGGGCCCAAGGACAAACCTGTTTAAAATGATTCACACAGTTTCAGTGAAGTGTCTGGAGTCCATGAACCAGCATTCTTTATAAAACTACAACCAAAGATGATGAAAACAGTTTTGTTTGTTTGTTTTGTAAATCTTACTTGGTTGAGTCATTTTCCACTAAATCTATGTTTGTTTGCATTGGTATCCCATAAACTCACTTTCTGTTAGTAGAAATAGCTGAATTTTATGTTCCTGAAATAGTATTCATGTGTGTTTATGATCTCTTTGATCTTAACCTTTTAAGTGGGTAAATTATTAACACTTTTTATATTGGAAAGGGAAACATAAATGTTTGAGGTTTTTATAAGTCACTATCTTCCCTAACCAAGGTAAATGTGACCACAGTCTTTAAAAGCATATTCTGGAAATATAGCCATAAAGAGTACACAGATGCCCCCATCCACACCCAGAGTGCCTGTTTATGTGCAGATCAGCTCAAACCAGGCTGCGCACAAAGATGTGCCCGGTAGAAAAAGCCCTGGCTGCAGATCGGATGCTCACCTGTAACTGAAAATCCCTGCTTGGCTTTCTCGTGTCTGGCCATCCCTCACAGGAATGAAAGTAGCTTTGAAGAATGGCCATTAATGGTGAAGACGGAGTTACCCCCAAATTAAAAATGGTTCCTATTCAATTTGAATTGTTAAAGAAGAACCTTCGGTCCTTTTGCAGGACCACATCTATCAGGTCCCCGCCCCCTGATGTCACTCTGAGGTCTAGGCTATTTCTGGGCACGATGTTGTTTCTACAAGGTTCATTGGGCTTTGCACAACTCATTACTGTGACAGATGGCACCAGACATTTTAACCCCTTTCTTCCCTGTAAAAGTTATATTCTAAATCTACACCATGCAAAAAAACCAAGCTACTGGCCATGAGACATTCATCTGTTATCTTTCAAGGGTCTTTTGCCATGTAGAATGTCAATTACTCCCTCTTATGCTGAATGCTGGTGCCTTAATCTGAGAGGCAGGACCCTCTTATGCTGAATGCTGGTGCCTTAATCTGAGAGGCAGGACTTGCCCAGACACTGGATTCCAGAAGAGAATTACATGCCATTCCCAATTAACACCCATCCTACCATGAAGCTTGGGCACACTGTCAATATTTTTTTCCTCACTTGTAGATAGAAAAAAAGTTTTTTGTTCTTACACTGTTTCCCTATCTGCACTTGAGTAATGTTCAACTTTTTCCTCCATGAACAACTGAGTTACCCAATTTCTAAACACAAATCCAAGCATCCTCCTGAGATAGGATGATGGATGTATTAGCTCATCCATCCACCCAACTGCCACTCATCAAAGGCCTTCCAAAAACACTCATGTTCCTAAGGAAATGGACAAACACTGAGAGTTCCTTGCTGAACATAAAGGAAGCCACATTAGCCAGGTACGGGGGCACATGTGTATAGATCCAGTTACTCAGGAGACTGAGGCAGGAGGATCCCTTGAGACCTGGAGTTCGAGGTTACAGTGAACTATGATCACTCTATTGCACCCCTGCCTGCCTGGGTGACAGAGTAAAACCCTATCTCTTTAAAAAAAAAAAAAAAAAAAAAAAGGAGCCATGAGCCCTGCTATTGTTATGGCCCCTCACACAAGCCAAGATGTGTCAAGAAACCATTGATTTTCAAGCATCTGTGCCAGAGGGATGATATTAAACACCAAGAGTAGGAAGTGACAAATACTCTCACTGAGGACTTGCTGTTCTCCACAGTCACAGCTGAGGGCCCAACGAGATCAAACAGAAGAAAGCCCATGCTCGGAGTAGTGGTCATTGAGGGGGGCTGATCCCCTCTGTGGACAGCCTTCTAATGACCCCCATTCAACATCACCATAATCTCATACCGAGGACAGCGGTGAAATGCTGAGATGGCAAAAGCAATCCCCCATAACTGTCCAACACAAAGTATGCACCACAGCATTCCCTCAAATCCTGGTGATGATCTTCATGGACGTTAGGGGAGTCTGTGAGCTCATGGATCCATAGGACCCCTGGGGCTCAGAGTTGGGGTTTTCCATGAGAGAAAACATCCTTCTACAGCTGTGCTGTCCAATACAGCTGTGCTCTTTAAATTTAAATGACTCATAATTCAATATATTAAAAATCAGTTCTTCTACCCTGATAGCCACATTTCAAGGGCTCAGCAGCCGCGCAGTGGCTGCTGTACTGAACAGGGCACACACAGAACGTTTCCACCATTGCAGCTCCGTTCCAGTGAACATTTTTCAGTTGGTCTCTCTGGGCACCTTGAGGCCCTCTTGGATGACAGGGCAGCAAAACTCAGTATCTGCTGAGACACCACAAAGAAAACTGCATTTGAAACAGTGTATTTCCTCATAACATATGAATTCTAAATAACCCATACTATGATGAAAAATAGACTTGCTTTGTTCAAAGCCATATAAGACTTATGAAACTTTATCCTAACAATGTTGTGGTACAGGGTGCAAGAATACAGCAATCTGCCGGACTAGCGAGCACCACTGACTGGTGCTGAGAGCATGTGGCCTTCTGCCTGCAGGGCAGTTTCGTGGGTCTCCCTCTGGCATTCCTCACACTCGCAGCATGTCACACATGCACACTATATCATACTCATGCACCACCTACAGATGGAGAACAGAGACATGAAGCTTTAAAAAAAAAGGGTTTAATCATTTCAAGTTATTACCCCTATAAATGCCCACACCATGTGATTTTTAACCAGCCGCCCTCCCTTAGAGAGACACTGATGGCAGTAAAGAAACAAAAGCATCTTTTTAGTCTCGGACTGTAATAACATATTCCTTATATAGGGGCAGCTGAGTCGTTTTCCCAACATTGCAGGAGTCCCCCTCCTTTCAATATGAATCATATTATAGCTCAGATAAGCATATGGCCCAAGTTTATAGAGGACTTTACGAATACTTATTTGTCCTAGAAACCACATGAGAAAATACTTGTCCTCATTTTATGAGGGGTGAACAGTTGAGAGGCAGAGAGATTAGGAAACCTGCCCAAAGTTGCATAGGAATGAAGTAGCAGAGGCAGAATTAGAATTCGCTCCAGTCTGCTGGGAGGACAGGGCATTTCTTGCACCTCAGACTCTCTGCTTGCTCTCCTGCTCCTTTCCTGTCCATTCTCCAAACAAGACCCAGTGTGATCTTCTTAAGGTACAAGTAAAACCACATCCCCCATTGCTGGAAGCCTTCCCATGGCTCGTCAAATGAAACCCCCACTGAGCATGGCCCACCAGGCCCCTCAGGGAACTGGCTCCACAGACTTTCCCACTATCTCCTCCCACTCTCCCCGCTCATCCTCCAAACTCTAGTCCCGAGGCTCCCTACTACTCTTGGAACACCATTCCTGCCTCCAAACCATGGGCATTTGCTGTTCCCTCTGCCTGCAATGCTTCCCTGACCAACACTTAGCAGTACTGACCCCTTCTCAAACATGTCACCCTGGCTATTCCCCTCATAGCACTCGTAACAATCAACCCCTAATTATTTATTTATTATACATTCACTTGCTATCATTCCTATTAGACGGTAAGGTCTGTGAAGAGTACTCATGTCTATTTCATTGACCTCTGAATAGCCGGCCCATCAAAAGCTTCAGAAATAAGCTGAATAAACTAATGAACTTGATAGACAACTGACATGCCTTTCTTAGGCCTCACCCATGAGCCTTAGAACTTTCATGGAAGGGGAGAGGAAGCCTCTCTGAACATCTGAGAACCTCTGCATGATTTCCCTCAACTTTCTGAAACTATTAATAACTCTCCCTTTAGGGTCTTAAAGGGGTGAGTGAGAAATACTGAACCCTACAAAGGACATCTGCCAAAAACTACATCCTTTGGGTTCCTGTTCGACAGTGAGTAAAGAAAAGAGAAGGGACATTCAGTAAAGGTGAATCATAATTCAAGACTAAGCACGTGATTTCTACACCATTCCCAAAAGCAACACAAGGCCCTCAGTGTGGAAACCCTTCCGTTAAAGATTTGCTTCTGTAAGGTTTTCCTAAATGTTTAGCTCATGTGTCTGATCTCACAAGGAACTTGTTTTCTGCTACCCTCCAGTTATACACAATAGCCTATAGATTCCCATGAACTGCTTTTAAGACCCACCCAAAGGTGTGGCTTCTAAAATTCACTTGATGAATGGAAGGATCTATCTCTGTAATTGAGTTTAACACAAAGTATTTTGAAGGGTAGAAAACTAGAAAAACTAGAAAAATGTGTCTGACTAAATGGGAGATTCGACTCATGACTACTTAGTTAGCATCTCTCTAAGCCTCATGTCTACACTTCACTGTCAGTTTCTCCCCACTCCTTCTCCATTTAAAGCTCAGATACTTTCTAACTCCAGATGTCTCAAACAACAAGCTTCTCCCTGTCTCTGCCAAAGGGCTGTGCAGTGTGATGAGGAGCAGGGGTTGGAGGAACCTTGATGATGTCTTACAACAGAACCAGCATCTGATAGAAGTGCTTGCCCATCCGTATCCTCTGTCTGCTTCCTGGATAAAATAGGTAGCCTGCTTTTCAGTTCCATCATAAGACCTAAGAAAGACTTGAGCAGTTAGGACTGGGCTCAGCACACCTTGAATGGGAATGTAGCTGCTTCTTTCATCCAGCAGTGGGCACCCTCTTTGCCCTTCCCCAGCCCAACAAGACAAAATAATGGCAGCAGGGTGTGGAGGAAAGAGCAGGGCTCCAGGTCAGAAACCTTGGGTTGGAAACCTTTGGGTGAGGAATTGAACCTTTCTGAGCCTCAGTTCCTTCCTCTGGCAAGGGAAGAGATATGTGAAAGGAGTTACATCTCATGATGATGTCTGGCACACTGGGTATAGGGGGGTCCATCACTACGTGTTTGGTGAAGCAAGAGCTCTTGCCACATGGCCCTTTGTCTGATTACTTTTTGGTAAGGAAACTTAGAGATGCTCCATTTAAAGCTTAATAGCATGCCTCAGTTCTCAGGAAAGATCACACATCCCTTCCCTATTATAACCTGACGGGAGAACCACTTCTGTTGGGTAGGGGAAGCACAGTCATTCCTCAATGTCCATGGGGAACTGGTTCCAGGACCACCCTGACACCAAACCCCAAGAACACACAAGTCCTTGATGTAAAATGGTGTAGAATTTGCATATAACATACACACATCCTCCTATATACTTTAATCTCTAGATTACTTATAATACCCAATACAATGTAAATAATATGTAAATCATTGCTATACTTTATTGTTTAGGAAATATTGAAAAAAGTCTGTATATGTTCAGTACAGATGCAACCATCCATTTTTTTGGAATATTTTCACCCCACAGTTCTTCAAATCCATGAATGCTGAACTCATGAGTACAAAGGGCAGACTGTACTGAGTGACTAAACCCCATTCGATAAGGCCTAGACCTTAAAGATACTTGAGTGGCTGAAATACATGATTCTCCATGAAGTAATAAAGGAATTGAAAGGCTAGGGTGTAGCGTGCTTAGTGACTTTGGCTGTATCCAGATCATTATATCATGGGTCCAGAGCAAGACATGCCATCATTGGGGGTGAGTGATCCACAGGGAAATTCTAGGTTAGGTGTTCCACCCTCACAGAACATTAGAGGGTAGCAGCCAAAAATCACAAGCTTTGCAGCAGTATAGACCTTTGCCCCAGCTCTGCCAAACAATGGCTGTGTGGTCTTGGACAACTTATTTACCCTTTTTGAACCTCAGTTTCCTCCTTAGCAAAAATCAGAGGAATGGTGGCACCCATGATATAGAGTGCTGGTTTTGATTAAATGAGATAATGTATACGAAACACCTAATGTGAAGCAAGGTCTTGGTAATACAAAATGCCATTATTAAACAAAAAACTGTTATTTACAATGACAGGATGAACCCATTCACTCTGTAACTGACCTCACTTTGAAATGATCAAGAAATGCAAAAAATAAAAATTAAAAAAACTAGAAAAGTATATCTGATTTAATAAAAATAAATAAAAAAATTCAAATGAATCCTTTAAGTATGATGCTTATTGTGGGTTTCTGCTTGATACATTTCATTAAATTAAGGAAATTTACTTCAGTCCCTAGAGTTTGCTGCCTGTATTTTAGCTCTTTGGTATATGTGCCTCTATTATTACAATACAGTGGCCAGGAACCTCACTGTTTCACCCAGTTTTATATCTCCTATTCATAAAACAGTTACTGCCTTATAAAAAGTCCACAGTGAATGTTAGTTGAATAAACTGATGGGATATAAGAACAAACATTTTTTTTTTGTTTTGTTTTGTTTTTGAACAATGTTTTGGAGATATTTTCCCATTTTTAGAAAAATAAAGCCATCAATTTTGATTTTAAGATTCTAATTGCTATGGTTTGAATATGATTTGTTTGGCCCCACCAAGTCTCACTCTGAAATCTGATCTCCAGTGTTGGAGGTGGGTCTGATGGGAGGTGCTTGGGTCATGGGGACGGATCCATTGTGAATGGCTTGGTGCCATTCTCTAGGTAGTGAGTCAGTTCTCACTGTGCTCCTACAACAGCTGGTTGTTAAAAAGAGCCTGGCACCTCCACTCCCCGCTTGCTTCCTCTCTCACCATGTGATCTCCACACGATGGCTCCCCTTCTCCTTCCACCATGAGTAGAATCAGCCTGACGCCCTCACCCAAAGCGGATGCCTGGCATCATGCTTCTTGTACACCCTGCAGAACCATGAGCCGAATACACATCTTTTCTTTATAAATTACCCAGCCTCAGGTACTCCTTTACAGCAACACAAATGGATCAAGACACTGACTAAAGGAAAAAATACAAGTTCTGATACATATGTGAGAATTTCATTAAAGCCCATGCTGATGGTGTTCAAGTTTGATTGATGTCAGAGATAAAGACTAATACTGCTCATGTTGATGAGGCGTGGAAGCCATGGTGTCTGAAAATTATCAATATTCTTTCTGGAATTCTCAGAAAAATGTCTACATGTAAGTTGCTTCTGGAGATCATATGAAGCTACCTCAGGAATATGCTGCTTCTAGGGAATTATCAACAGTTCATGGAGTGTTTAACAGTGAATTCAGATGTTTATACCCCATCTCCATTTTCCCTAGTTGCCCTCTGGGAATAACACCTGGGGAGACAAAGGACTCTCTGCTCTCTCATTAGCTTTATTCCTCCTGACCTCTGTGTTCTTTGCAGCTGAAGGAGCTCTTTTCCAGAGACTTGCTGTTTCTGTTCACATTGCACCCTTCTGCACCCATGGAACAGATAAGGTCTGGTTTAAGAGCTGTTCTGTTCAGCAAAGATGTCACGGAGGGAGAAATAGGAGTCTCCAATGGAAGGTGGAGGCGTGGCAGAAAGAAAGGAACCACTGTTCCCTCTTTTCCATCCAATAAGGCTAGGAGGTACGAGGGAAAGGAGTCTAGAATCTCACAAAGTCGCTGGTGGGTCTTTAAAGGACTGGGGTGGGGAAGAGAGGGATCCCAAAGACCCACCATGGTCCATGGGGAAAGCCACACCCTAAGTCTCCCTTCCACAGCCACGTGACTGATGTCCAGGGACACTTCAATGTCTTTATGCCATTTACTAAACTAGCATTTGCATTTTACTATATCCTACTCTTTTCACCCAGTAATTGCAGGTTAAAAGAAGAGGATGGAGCAGGCTATGTAGCCTCTCATTCCCCACACATGTGGGAATGTGTATATGTGCACACATGGGGTTGGGGGTTCCTGTCATTGCCTGTGGGGCTCCTAGGAAGGGGTGCATACCGATGGGAGGAGGATGTTGTAGGCAGAAGAGAAAGAGTGCTTTCTGCCCATGGAGCTCCAGTGGGGAGATGAGACTGATCCACAGACCACTTTAAGGCTGGCTCTGAGGAGTTGTAGATCACAGTGAGTCATGAAGGGAAGGGAGGCATCCGTAAGGGCTTCTTGAGATGGAGGTGACAGTGTCATATCTCAATGCTGAACCCCTGCAGATGGTGGCCACATCCAGCCAGGCCCCCTGCTCTGCCTGGCTGTTCTCTACCGCGGGCCCTGCATCGTGGAGCCCATTCCTTCTCCGGGCCTGCTTGGAAGAATGGAAAAACAAAGAGTATGTGTGGGGCTAGGGAAGAGGCCACCTTGGCTCGAGTGTAGCACAGGAATAGGCCACAGAGGAATAGGACAGCAGGTTAAACTGAGATCATTAGGGAAGGGGCTTGACATCCCACTTAAGAATCTATAACCAGAGGTGATGGGTGGTTCTCATAGTTTTCTGGACAGGTAATGAAACTGAAGTCCTTGAATATGGGAGAAATACCTTAATTCCTTATTCCTCTGTATCTCTGGCTCCTAGAACAGAGTCTCGTATACAATAAGTGCTTATTTTTTATTGACTAAGTAATTTCTAAAATTATTGTATTTATAATGTTAGGATGTTAAGGAGGTCTTGAGGAAGGCTCAGTAATGAGAAAGGATGAAATGCCCATCTTCTGTTTACTGAAAGCCTCATTTCATAGTGACTTCTGCAAGGATAAGAGTCCCGCTTTCCCACATAGTCCATTTCCCTTTCCCAAATTTCCAGTATAGCTGACTATGCATTCCTTACTGCTTTACGAATCTCAACTCCTGAGTTCATATTATACCATTACAGAGGTGATGATCTCCCCTACTGCCTCAGGGAAGGGTAAACCTACAGAGACTACATTTTCCAAACTAAATAATTAGAATGCACAATCAGTTTATGAGAAACATGCAAAATACATAAAATGTTATTTTCTACTGAGAATTTACTATGCATTAGGTACATGTGCATTTACCTCAAAATGATCTTGTGAGATAGATTCTATCAGTGTTTTCATTTTATAGACGAAGGTTAAGTAAAGAATCATGGCTTGAGAGCCCCATGGGACTCCAAAGCCCATGGGCTCAGTCCACTGCATATGACCACAATGTTCTACCTGTCCCTACATATGTGTCATGAAAAGATGATACAGTAGCTCCTCCCATCATCAGGAAGAGGCTATTTTCCCATCCCTTGAACTTACTTTGGCCAAGAGAATGTGTAAGAAATGACATCATGCCACTTCTGAAGCCCATGCCTCAAAAGGCCTTGCCTACTTCCACTCTCACTTGTAGAACCTCCTAACCATGTAAACAAGCCCAGGCCAGCCTGCTGGATGATGATAGGCATTGGCCCAGCCACACTGTCACCTCAGCCAACTCTAAAACATCTGACTGAGCCAGCCTCCAGCCAGCCTGCAAGCTGAACCCTAACACATGAGTGAGCCCAGCCAAAATCAGCCACGCCCCACCCAGATCAGCAGAACTATCCAGCTAACCCAGAGACTTATACACAATAATAAATGGCTGTTGTGTTAAGCCATTAAATTTGAGGAAGGTTTGTTACTCAGCAAATGCTAACTGACACACTATGCCGTGCACCTATGCACTTCTGTTGCTCAGGGAAAGAACTGAATCCTTCCTATAAGAATGAGGTTCTTAGCAGCAGCCATTCCTGCTGGCTTCTCAGTCTTAAGGCAACTCTGCTTCTCACCACATTTGCTTTCATTCCGTGGTATTCTTTATTATAATTCTTGACAAATTCTTTCCAGATGTCTGCATGAAAAGTAACAAAGGAAAGGCATCACCCACTGGGCTTAACTGGTCACTGGTGCAGCCCTCCCCACAAACCCACGGATCCTTTAAAACACACATGCCAAAGTGTCCCAGCCTTAGGTTCAAGTGGGGAGATTCCTGGTGGGAAGGACCCTCAGAGACTTCTGAGCTTCCCCTACTTCAGTTGCTTCCTCCTCAGCCCACCATTATGAACCACCTTTGGTTGTGAAAAATAAAGTTTTGTAAGCAGAGGGGGCTTGACACACTTGGGGCCTAAGGGTAGGCCCTCTGCTTGTGAATGAGGGGCAAAATCCCATAGAGCAGCAGTGTATCTCAGGGCTAATACCCCTGGCCAGCCAATCTTGACCTCTCTCACTCTGACCTCATTCTGTGCCAAGATCTTCCTGACCCCCCTGACTCTCCCACTGGACATTGATTAATCACTACTGTCTCCCAAGCATCTTAAAGAATACCTTGCACATCATAGGTGCCAAATAAATGTTTGTGGAATAAAATAAATCTCTCCCTTCCTACAGAAATTTCCATGGCTCCCCAGTGCCAGCAAAATACAATTAGAGCTCCCTGGCACCATCCCCTCCCCCAGGGCAGAGAGGCTTCTGCCCACCTTTCAGCACACTCTCCCACCTCTTCACTCACACAGCCTTTGAACATGCTCTTTCTTCTGCCTAGAATTATCTTCCCTTCATTTGAGCTCTTTTTAATCTTTTCATAGTCTTTTTTATTTCTATACCTGCGTCATAGGCAGAATTATTTACCCTCTCAGGATGGTATAGTGGGAATGAGATGTTATTACTCTTATGTAATCCTGACTACCCAGTGAGATAAATTTTCCTAGCCCCATTTTACAGATAAAGACATTAAGCCACAAAGTGTAAAATAAATCACCGAAGATCACATGATTAGTGACTGTTGCAAATAGGGTTCAAATCTACATCTGCCTCTGTGTTAGGATGATCTTATCAAGGGCCCAATTCTGCCTTCTCGTGCTTCTCAGTCTCCACGTGAATATGCCCAGGCTGGCCTGTTGGACAGTGAGATATGCATGGAGCGGTGCTGAGTTGCCCCAGTCACCCCAGCCAATGCCAGTCTAGATAACCAACAGCTAGCTGACCCCTAGCTATATGAACAAGCCCTGCCCAAATCAGCAGAGCCAGCTAGCCAAGCCACTGCTAATCCCAGCTGCACAAACTATATGCTTTGTATTGTATGCCACTGAAGTTTTGAGTTTGTTCTGCAGCATTATTATTGTAACACATAACTGAAATAGACTCCAATGCTCACTTTTCTCACTATATACCTTATTTAAAACACATTCATTCACCAGTCATTTACTGAGTACTTACTACGGACAGGTGCACCTCATAGGTCGTAGGTGGGAAAGGGAAGCTATGTTAGACCCTGATTACTATGTACAATAGAGATGAGGAAACTGTGGGAGTTCTACCTCGTATCCTGCCTTTTCTGCAGCCTGCCCTCTTCTCTTCACCTCCACCATTAGACCACCGCAGACTTCTTACCTGGTCTCCCTGCCTCCACATTTATCGTTTCATATCTGTCACCTATCCTGCAGCTTGGCTGATCTGCTGAAATGCAATACTGATTGCACTCTCTTGCACACCCTTAACCCTTAGATACTGAGGTTGGCCCTTTCTCCCTGGCCTCCTGGATGAAACCTTGAGCAGGTCCCACTATCTCTTGGATCACTCTTAGATCATGAAAAGTCTTTCCATTGCTTTAATCTCCAGAATAATCCCATTCAGTATCAAAATGACCAGTCCTGCGTATTAGTGAAAAACTCCAAATTTCATTTAAAGTTAAACTTCCTCGCCTCTTCCAACTTGGCCCTACTTCAGGCTTTGAAGGTTGCTAGAGGGTGGGAAGTGGGAGATAAAAAAGCTGCAGTCACTTCCTCT
Source organism: Homo sapiens (assembly GCF_000001405.40). Taxonomy (NCBI): domain Eukaryota; kingdom Metazoa; phylum Chordata; class Mammalia; order Primates; family Hominidae; genus Homo; species Homo sapiens. The sequence goes on along the minus strand of NW_025791771.1, from coordinate 166,864 downwards.
CACCCCCTTTCCCAGCAGCTGCTTAGAACACCTTTTGAGGGGAGGAGAGGAGGGGAGGAGAAGCCACACCTAGTTGGAACTGGTGTCTTTGGGTGTTGGCTTTTCTCTGGCCATGGCAGCTGTTTAAAGCTGAGTCGCTCTAGAGACTTCTGTGGCTTTGTGGCATTGCACGCTGACCTCCCTTAGCTTGGTGGGTATTCCAGGTTGACTTTTTTTCAGGCACACTGAAGGTTCCCTGGAGCTTCCTGAGCATTGGGACACTCCCCTGCAACTCCCAAGAGGGAACAAGGTCTCCTCCGCTGGCCCCAGACCCCTTGTGTTTTGGGTATGGTCCCATCACCTCTCCCTAGGGTCACCTAAGGTACAACCCCTTTTAAATAGCTCCTAGCCAGCTTTCACCCTGAGATGCACTCATATGTCCTCCTCCGGGGGAGCAGGACATTCTCAGGGCTCCATTAACTCCCCTTTAAGCTGTACATCAACACACATCTTTGTGCTCTCCAAGACTCTGGAAGAAAGTCAGGCTAGCTCTCAGGAGCTAGACCTGTCTGGTCTCCTCCTTTCTCTGGGCTGGAGGAAGAACACCCTTTTCTCTCCTCCAAGGGGCTCAGGTCGGAAAACACCCCCCAGCCCATCAGCCTTCTCCAAAAACGCCTCTCTCCAATGTCAAACTTCCTGGGCCTCTCTGATGTCAATCCTTCTGTACCTTCGATGTTGATAAGGGACTAAGGGTCCAAAACTGAGTTGTAGCCTTTCTCTTTTCAAGTCCTAATAAGTGGTCAAGCATCTTGACTCAGGATTTAGAAAGACTCACCACCTCTTTTGCACTCAGGGAAAACCAACAAGAGAATGTCACATGTGAGTATCTGGTTATACTTTAATAGTAACATGTTTCTTTATGGCAGGTATCACAGCAGGAAGGGGACATTTGTTCACAGTTATTTGATTTTTAGTGGAACTTTCAGAAGGGTAAGGTCTATGTCTGCTTTTCCTCATCACTGTATTCCTAGCACCTTGCACAATGCTGGCTCCAGTGGGTGCTCAGTAAATGCTTGACTGACCTGATGAATCAATGAAGAAACCATTTCCAACCAGGAAGCAGCGGTTTGACCTTCCTGCCATGCTGAGACACACAAATGGGGCTTCTAATGGCCTCTCGGGCCTAGGCACAGAGGGAGACAAACACACAAGGTCGGCGGTCCAGGCTGAGGGCTGGATTGCCTTCTGCTGCCACACATGGGGCAAAGAGAATGTTCATAAAAACTGGGTGGCAGGAAACTGCCCCAAAGCTTTCTTTGTGCATACATGGCCATCCTGCCTACAAACCCAAACACCACGCCGGGAAAGGAATGGAATGGAGAAGCAGACTTAACAAGTTGTTGGAACATGGAGGAAAAGCCAAGTGAGGTCAAGGGGATCTGAGTCAAACTCCACTGTTACCAGCATTCCCAGTGCCACCTCTAATTACTAAAATAAAGGGATTACATAGCTGGATTTGTTTTGCAGTGTTTATGCTGTTCCGGCATTTTCTGAATTGTATGCTCTGGATAGGGAGAACAGGTTTCTCAACTCAGAGTCTGTTTGCTTTCAATTTTGGTTGTTTGCTCTGTGTAGCTTTCGGACTCCCATCTGGTCCCTGGCCACCGGAATCCCCTGCCATCTGCACTTCTTCCTTGTGTGGCCTTTTCTTCCTAGATTTTCTTCTTCCCCAGCCTGGTCCACAGGTTGCCAAGGGTACTGTCTGACCTGGTGGTGGAGCTGGCCATAGGAGAGCTGCTGACACTGCCCAGCTACCTGGAAAGCTGAGGTGGGAGGATCACTTGGGCCTGGGCTGCTGAGGCTGCAGTGAGCGGAGACTGTACCACTGCACTCCCGCCTGGGTGTCAGAGTGAGATCCTGTCTCAAAGTCAAAAAAAAACAAAAACAAAAACAAAAACAACAAAACAAGGAAGCGGATCTTCCAGGAGAAGTAACTGGGAAATTCTTGAGGGAGATGACTAGGGAGAACCAGAAATTATCACCACTCTGGTTTCTACTCACTCTTCAACAAGACTTAATTTTTAAAAATTTAGCTGGGTGCAATGGTACATGCCTGTAGTCCCAGCTACTTGGGAAGCTGAGGAAGGAGGACTGCTTGAGCCCAGGAGTTGGAGGCTGTAGTGGGCTCTGACTGTGCCTGTGAATAGTTACTGCGCTCTAGCCTGGGCAACATAGCGAGACCCCGTTCCCCAAAATATATATTTAACACCCACCATATGGCACTTATTAAGTGAAGTGTTGTAAGTACTCTATTAAGCGTTGTTAGCACTGTATCAATGTTTACTCATTTAGTCCTCATAATGACCTTAGGAAGGTACTGTTATCACCATTTACAGACGGGAAACTGAGGGCTGAGCAGTTCAGGGACCTGCCTAAGAGTTCAGATTCAAATCCTGGCCATGGGGCTCCCAAGTCTGTGCCCTTCACCTCTGTTATGCAGCCTCTCAGACACTTCAAGCTTTATTTGGAAGTTAAAAAAAAAAATACAAACTTCCTTAACAGTGACCCCTGCCTAAAAAACTCTATCTGCTCCTCACTGTCAAATATTAGTCCTTACTGTTGAGTCCTCTCCTTATGCTTTACCAGAAGGAAAGGAAGAGGCAGAGGAGCTTGCTGAGAGCAAGGGGAGATATCAGCTAGAAAGCAGGCCATACTCTCCCTCACTCTGCCCTGCTTCCCACAGACAGAGATGTGAGTCCCCTCCCCAGCTCCACTTGCTCCTGGTATAAACGTACATTAATGAAGACTGCCAGTCAGGCAGGAATGGGGCCAGACCCCTATCTCAACAACCCCCACGTGAAAAGCCTCCCCAGATCCCTGCTCCAATGACTGCTGCTGACCCAGAGCTCAGATGGCCCTGGAACTCCGATCCCAGGCTCCCTGGCAACCTTGTCACCCTTGGCCCCACGTGTGGCAGCAGCAGCGTGGGTGAGCCCAGTGGCAAAGTGGCCTGTGGCTGCAGCCCAAGGTGTCACCCTCAGCTGGCTCTCCCTTTCTGGGGAGGAGCAAGAGGCAGCCTGCTTGCCCCTGGTCAGACTCCTGAGTCATGCCAGTTTCGAGCCCTTCTGGGCATCATATCCTAAAGCAAAGAGGCCAAGGCCAAGGAGAGCAGAGGAAGTTGTGTCCACACGAGGACAGCAGGCATCCTTCTCACCTGAAGTGGATGGGCCAGGACACCAATCTGCTGCCTTCCCTTTCCCCGCAGCTTAGAGAGACAATACCCAACACAGAAGAGGACTCTATGCCTGGGGAGACATCGCCACTGGATGCCGTGGACTGAATTGTGTCCTCCAACACCACATTCACATTTTTAAGCCCTAACTCCCACTGTGATGGGCCTTTCAGGATATAATTCGGTTTAGAGGAGGTCATAGCCTTCATGATGGTATATAAGAAGAGACACTAGAGAGCTTTCTCCCTCTCTCTCCCTGCCATGTGAGGACATAGCACGAAGGTGGCCGTCTCTAAGCCAGGAAGAGAGCCCACACCACACACCAACTATGCTGGCACCTTGATTGTGGGCTTTCAGCCTCCAAAACTGTGAGCAAATTAATTTCTGTTGTGTAACCCACCCAATTTATGGGATAGTCAGCCCTCTGTATCTATGGGTTCCACATCCATGGATTCAACCAACCACAGATCAAAAATATTCAGGAAAAAAACAATAAAAATAACAATACAACAAAAAACCCAAAATACAGTATAACAACTATTTACATAGCATTGACATTGTTGTAGGTATTACAAGTAATCTAGAGATAATTTAAAGTATACAGGAGGATATATGTAGGTTATATACAAATACGATGCCACCTTATATCAGGGACTTGAGCATCTATGAATTTTGGTATCCATTGGGAATCCTGGAACCAATCTCCCATGCATACTGAGAAACAACTGTACCTTTTTTTATGGCAGCCTGTGCAAAGACATGGGGCTACTGATTATGCTTTTTTCCCCCTGGTTATTCTAACTACTAGCTTTGTATTTGAAAACAGATTGGTCCAATTTCATCAGGTGCTATGGTTTCAGGCTATGGAGTACAGCTACCAAACAGTTTTTCTCCACTATAGCTGCAAGGGGTTGGCAGAAGGGACTCAAGTTCATTCACTACTGTTTCTCCTCATTCCTGCATTCACAAAACATTCTTACAGCACCCACCCCTGCTGGGCACTTGACAGATGAGCCTTCCCTCTCAGCATCGTCCATCTTCCTGTTAACTCCATTGCCTTCAGAGGCACCATCCACCCTGTTCTCCAAACCAGAAACCCAAGGGGTCCTTGGACTCCTGGCTTCGTCCCCCTACATATTCTCAATCCACCCTGCTGACTTGACCTCGCCGTTTCCCAAGTACACCCCCTCCTCTCCATCTCCTACCACTGATATGTGGAGTCATTCCCAAGGTGGTGCCCAGCCTGGACCCACATTTCCCAGCCTCCTCTGAGGCCGGCTGTGGCCATGTGACTAGTTCCCACCAATGGAAAGTCGGTAGAAGGGATGTGGGTCATTTCTAGGCTGGAGTGTTTAAGGGGTGGGTGTGCCTTCTCCACTGCTTCTTTCTCCTCCTGCCCCCAGGAGGCAGAAATCCTGGAGGTCCTAAGGAATTGCAGCAGCAGCAATGGAAAGCAACTGCAGTCCCAGAATCACCACGTGGAGGAAGCTACCTTCAACGAGGAATAGCCTTATTTGACTGACACATGAGCAATGAACAAACATCTAGTAGGTCAAGTAATTGAAAACTGAGGGTTTGTTGCAGCAGTTAGCATTGTGTTAATACAGGTATACACAGGGTTACCTTTTTCTTAATGGAGGCTAATAAGCATGTTTAAGTAAAAAACTGGTGTAAAGGGAGATGTCTCAGTCCATAGAGGGATGAAAGAGACAGGCTGGAGGAATGAAAGGGTTCTCTACCATCTCAGAATATGGGGGCGTGGGGAGGGAAGGCAGAGGTTGCACCCCCTCCTCAGCCCACCCCTATCCACCCATGACTAAGTTCAGGGCTCCAAAACCCACTCTATATATTTGCCTTCTTTTAAAACCCCAGGCAGGCAAATGTCCAGGCCCTCATAACCTAGAAAAACATCCCATCCTTTGTCAAAGTAATTCCATGCAGACCCAGACAAGGCTTCTGAGGAGAAACCCAAGGCGCTCAGGCTGGGAATCAGGGGTAGAAACATGGCCCTCAAGGCCAGTGCTGCTGGGGATGGGTTAGAATGTAGAGACAGGTTCCACAGACAGCCAAGAAGGAAAGTGCCAGAGACATTTCCCTAATCCAGCCAAGGCTCAAGCAGTGAGGCTCAGGCTGTTGGCTAAGGTCCACAGACAGGCTGATAGGAAAGGCCTAGGCTTTGTGTGCAAGGAAAGTCTGGACCCCCGAGGTCTACAGCTGAGGAGGAGGAGACAGCCCCAAAGCAGATCTATGAATCCAACCCCCCAGAGAAATCTTCCTCCTGACTCCATTCTAAATGCTGCCAACTCCTTCTCTATCACTCCAGCTCCCCAGCTCCCCAACTCTGGCAGCCACAGAGGCGACTTGAATATACAGCCAGGGGGGCACTCAGTCCACTGCAGGAATGGCTAAGGGTGGGGTACACTAGGGTCCCCAGATGCCAATGGGATTTGTTCCATCCCAGTTACATAACCTCCCTACTTCAGCCAAGGTCTAAACTGAATATGAAAATGGAAAATGCTCCAGCAAATAAATTCCAGGGACATTAGGCAAATGGTCCTTTTACATAAACAATAGCTTTCGTTTTCACACAGACATGATGAAAAGGAGGTGGGGAAAAAATGAGGAGAAAGGGATCCTTCCCAGATCACAAAGCTTATCCTCAGCAGAGCCCAGCACCTCTGTTTACCCCAAAAATCGAGAGCCCTGGAGCCCAGGGGCAGGAGGGGTGGCATGGAAGTTTCCTCCAGGCCAGCACTGCCCAGTGGAGGCAGACTCTCCCATGGGCAGGGCCTCCCCTCTGCAGGACAGGGTGGGGCAGAGCAGGACAGCAGAGGCGAGGACTTCCTGCATCTGAGCCACCCTGATAACCCCCAGGGCTGCGCTAAGGACATGGGGTTTCCACTGGCAGAGTTCCTCCTGAAACAAAGCTGCAGGGTGCCCTGCATCTATGTGGAGTAGGGGTGGGACAGTAGGCATATCGGCTGGAGGCTCTGACTCAACAGGAAGCCCTCTGACCCAGAGGCCACCCTCATCTCTGTGCCTGGGAGCCAGGGGTAAAGCATGCCTTAGCCCTCATCCATCCCCCACTAGGGCCCACCCACAGAGTGGGAAAGGGGGACATCTGAACTTTGGCAAAGAACCCAAGAGAGCCTTCCAGCACCAGACAAGGCCGCCCAAGCCAGTGCCAAGGGGCAGGGTGGGTATCTCTTGGAGGGTGTCTGGACTGAGGTCTACACCACAGTTATAAGCAGAACAAGGGCTGGTGTGGCCGTAGCTAAATATTTGGGCTTGGCTACACCATGCACAGGAACAATGTGTCTTCGGACTGAGCTGTGAAACCCCATGGGAGAGCCATGACTGGGAATTGGTCAGAGAACAAGAACCCAGCCCTCCTTCCTGTTGGCTCCCTCATGCACACCCTCACACAGCTCTACTCCACCCTGACTCTCCACCCAGCTCTGGAATATCTTCCTCTCATCTTCCTGTCCTCTGTCCCACTGCTCAGCGGGATAAAGCCAGCCAGGAGAACAGGGGGCTAGGGTGGCCTGAGGACAGCATGAGGCTCCATGGGGAGCAGGGAGAGCCCAGTAGAGTCAAGGCTCATGAAAGGGTGGCCACAACCTGCTTTTTCAGAAATGAAGCAAGCACCCCCAGGCTGCCTGTGTCCTGAACTCCCAAAGCAATGTAACTCCTTTTTAAAAAGGAGCTCCAGAATACTATGCATCACATCCTTGGCTGGTAATGCAGCTGGGACTTGAGGGAGTGGACCCAGGGCACACCTCTACCTGTTAGGGGATGGCGGCTGCAGGTAGAGAGGGGTGTGCAACATGGATGGGGGCAGTGAGCCTGGGGCAGGAAGTCAGGGAGGACTAACAGTGCAGAGGCAGCCTGCGGGCCCAAGGCGTGGGAGGAGATGCAGAAGGTCATGTCATTTGTCCCCTCCGTACTTTGCAATGAGTAAAAGCCAAGTCCTTTCAATGGTCTACTAGGCCCTACACGGTCAGGCCTCTGTCATGTCTCTGACCTCGTCTCTTAATACCTACACCCTCATTCTGCTCTAGACACACTGGCCTCCTGACTGTCCCTGGAACAACAGGCACTCCTGCCTCAGGGCCTTTGCACCGGCTGTTTCCGCTGCCTGGAATGCTCTTCTCCCAGATCCCTCCACATGGTTCTCTCCCCTTACCTCCTTCAAGTTCTTGATTAAAAACCTCTTTCATGAGGCCTACCCTAACCACCCTATTTAAAATTACAGCCCACCTTGGGTCAACCAAACCCCTTTCCCTTATCCACCTTTTTCCATAGCACTTATCAGCTTTCGTGTTTCCATACTCTATATTCCATATGTTCTATATCTCCATGTTAATTATGTTTATGGTTTATCTCTGCCTCTACCTGCTAGGATGTTAGCTCCACTATGGCATGGAATTTTGCTTCTCTTGTTCACTGGTAAGTCCCATGCTACCAGAATAGTACTTGCACATGATAGGTGCTCTATGAATATTTGAGTGGGTGAATCAGTGAATGAACGAATGGCAGCGTCTTCTCAGTGGGGTCCAGGACACCTGGTGAACAATAGTAGCAGCTCCAGTCACAGTGGCTACAATTCGCTGATGTTCCCTTTGGGAAAGCCAAGTGCTGTATGAAGATTTCTACAAACATCTCATCTTCCACCTACACAACTCTACCTACAGATACCATTTTATCTCCAATTTCTAGACGAGGAAGCCAAGGCTCCAGTTGAACAAAAATCACCAAGCTGGTCAGTGGGGCTGCTAAGATATGCACCACAGCCTGTTTCCAAAGCTACAGCTTTGTGTAAACATCTTCTGTAATCCTGTCCCTGCAGCAGAGCCTGTGTACGTAACTACAGTCATCCACTCAGACCCAGCCTTGGGTCCTCATGCTCCAGAATGCCACGAGGATGATGCTCAGAAAGGCAAGAGCAGGACAGGGCACTTGCTAGGAAACTAAGGACCCCCAGGGCTCCAGCCATCACTGAGATTTACCAGCCATGCTCAGTCTCCCTAAAATGACAGAGGTGGGTCATATGGCTTCCGCCGAAGTCCCTTTCATCCTCTGACTTGGCAGAAATGGTATCACCCTGGGTAAGACCCAGGCAAGAGGGGCCCTTACTCTGAACCCCATTCTCAGGAGACCCTCCTGGTTATTTCTTTGCAAGGGGCAATGAGTTTGTGAGACCAAGGTCAGTCTCCACATCTCCCTCTTGCAGATATGCTCTGTGTGCCCAGGACAACAGAAATCCCTGCCCCAACAGCCCTAAGTCCTCCTTCAGGGTCCATGTTGGGCTCTACTCCAGGGTTTGTCCCCTGCACTGTAAAGTGCACCATGAGTGAGTGTACCCTACCTGAGGTCCAAGGGCAGCCTCTGTGGGGAGGGGGTGGACGAAGCTTGGATGGGTGTCCACACACGCATGCACAGAAGGCCCATTGCCATGCGGGATGGAGTCAGATGGAAAGGGAAGTGGGGGGGTGGGCTGGGGGCTGGCTCTCCCCAAGCCATCCATTTCTACACTAAACTCTGAGAGGCCTGAGAAATCAAAATTCAACCTAGGGCTTCCAAGTTGTTATAAAGGTATATTTGTCAAGGTAGGATGGAACACAGTTTACTGAACAGTTACCTTGATTTGTAATCTTTAAATATTTAGATATTCGCTAAGTGGACCTCCATTTGTACTCCTGTACCATCAAATGACAGGATGAATCCAGATAGAACTCAAGTTTCTAAGAGGCTGTAAAGAGCAAAGCCAAGAAACAAGAGCTGATCCCTCTCCCTTTTTCACTGATAGCAGGAAGATTTCCCAAGGAGAGAAGACAACAAATGAGGGCTGTTCCAGCTCCAATTCTGCCACTGCATGCCACTCTGGATGCTAACGTGGGCCTGGGTCCGGGCAGGAGAGTCCGTTTAACATAAAATAATGAAATGTTGTTCTGGTTCTAATGTTGCAAGGATGCCTCAGGCCTGCTCCGCCTTGACTGCCTGGTGACCCAGGCAAGTAAATTAGCTTCTGTTCTCTCATAAAACGGAGAACATAATTCCTACATCACAAAACTGCTTTGAAGATTGGAAACTGCTCAACACATAGTAGGTTCTCAATAAATGATGGTTATTATTATTATTAGACTTTATTTTTGCACCCCTAGCAAATAAATGCAGTACTCAGTACCTTGTAGGAACTGGTGAATGTTGAAATGGATGGGTGAATGGATGGATGGGTGGGTAATGGGTGGGTGGACAAATGGAGAGATAAATGGTGAATGGGTGGGTGGGTTCTTGGTTTGGTTTTTTGAAGGATATTACAAACTATTCAGCATTCAGAAATCTTCCCATCTGATAACAATTGATTCAACATTGTCGTCAAAATACCATGGCATAAAACTCCCTTTGTCTTTCAGGAAGAAAAACAATAACAAGAAGCTTGAAATTCATTACTGGAGTTAGGACCTGAACTTAACTGTTTTCTCCCAAAGCCTGTGCTGTAAGGTCGAAAGCAAACAGTTGCATACTCAGTTCTGGAGAATGCATGTTTCGGGGTCTATGGCCCTAAGGTCTCAAATGCCCACCATAGCCTAATCTCTGTCCTGGGGCATACATACCATTTTTAATATAATAATTATTGGTTCAATTAATTGAGGCTTGAATGTTACTAGATGCTATTGTAATGCAAAATGAGAAAATAGATATGCTACTTTCCCAGATACATAATGCAACATATGCTAAACCAGGGATGCTGAAAAATCAGCTTCAACCCAAGGCATCCCCAAAAATGAGGGAAACATGCCAACACTAAAACATGTGGGCATCACAGCTCTCATCCCTCCAAGTCCTTGGGCTTATATTATTCATTCAACAGTGTCATAGATTTTGCAAAAGACAGAAGAAAGGGTGTGGATTTGGGATGGAAAGGAAGAAAAGGAGCTAAATGTCACAAACAAAGCAAGTGTTGGACAACAGAAAAATGGAACAGTCCACATTCTGAGCGAACTCAGCTTTGCCAGCAAGACATTTCCTCAGTGAGCCTCACAGGCAATAACCAGGTGACCCGTAAGTTAAAAGGCAGCCCAGGCTGCCCAGCAACTCTAATTAAAATTCAATAACATGATGTTTTCCCCAATACAATAATTAATAAAGTTTGGAATTTTCCCCCCAAAATTCTCATAGCACAATCACAATGCATTTGATACTGAAGGCCGCAAAGCCATCTGGTATCAGAGTAATTATAAATTTTCTAGGCATGGCTTTCTGCAGAACTGCTGCAGAAACTTGAAATGCCAAATGGCATTCCTAAAAGAGACTTCGTGACCTGTAAGAAAGCAAGGCCAGCATGTCCTTTTTTAGGAGGGAACATCTGTGTTCCTCTCCAGAGATCAGTTAGTCAGAGCTTCCCCCTGCCTAGAGCCGTCTGTCAGAGAAAGTCCTTTGCAGAGCTTTCTAGAAACACCTCTTTCATGATCCAGGCATAGGGTAAAGTTGAAAGAATCTTATCAAGAAGTCATGTAGTGGTTCTCAAAGGGTGGGCTAAAGGCTGTTTGCTTGGGGCTTTCATGTTTATAACATGACGGTTTCTACGTCTTTGCTTCTGGTATCAATTAGAACATCTAAAAAAATCTGCTGGTACCTTTCTTTTCATTCAATTCTGGTAAAATACTGTTGGCACAGGCAATATTAGACAAAACAAGCTCAGAAAGAATATATGTAAAACCTCAGCAACCAGTTACAGTATTTCTAAATGTGACATGCTCTTGTCTGCCACCATCACCATCATCACTCTCATCATGGCACGTCTCCTCAGTCACAGACCAGAACGTGAGAATCATAAGCAGAGCCCAGTGCTTCCCAAATATGACTCAGGATACACGTTGAAAACAGATTCCCAGGCCCAACTGGATCTGGATCAATGGGAATCTCAATTTTTAACAAAATACCATCTTCACTAGCGAAGCTTGGGAAATACACCATGGTTCTTAAACTCATTCAGTAAATTAAAATTGGGGGGGCCCCCTTCTTCCTGCTTAAGAAAACCAAATACACTGCTCTATGGAGTCAGGCATATTAGTGTTCACCACCCCTTCGCAAATAAAGTAAGGCAATTACTATTGTTACGTTTCACCTGTAGTTTCCTTGTGTTGAGACTTCTTTAGCCACAAACATTCTTCATGTTCCCTTCTTGGAATGTAATATGGCATAAATCACATCTGGGAGATAAAACCCCCATAATTGCTAGAGAAAATGTTGTACTTGAAAGAATCCCTCCCTAATTGTCCCAACGGGCATGCTAAGAAATCCCAAAGAAGAAAAGTAAAACCTTATTTATTTGAATTCGCTCTAATGAATTTACTGTGCCAGGTTCTTGGGAGAGGGATGGTGGTTGGACAAGTTATGGGGAAAGAGGGAGGGATTCCCAAGCTGACATTCCATGGGCTCTTCAGGCTAGAAGAGAAGTGACCATTTAGTGATGTAGAGGCCAGAGGAGAGGAAAAACAAGGAGGCCTGCTAATCAACCATGCACTTATTGAGCACCTACTGTATCCATGATGGTCCTGGCCAGAAGCAGATGTTTCCTTCAACCAGGGAGACAAAAAGAATTCACTGAAGGGACTATTTACAACAGTAAGGGGGGTCAGTTTAAAAGAGACCCCTGTGGCAAAGCAGGGAGCCATTAATGCCCTAGGTCGGAAGGAGCAAGGTGGGGAGTGGTCACTGGAACCCCTAAGTTATTAGAACTAACCACCTGGCAGAAGCTATGGCCTTCCGTAGAGAGCCATGGTCACTATGGCTGGCCACTCTTCCACCCTCTTTTTCCAGTGCTCCCCTCTGACTGAACCCAACTAAAAGGCAGAGGGGAAGGTCAGCCTCCCAAGGGCACAAAGCAGGAGGGATAATGGTGGAGAATGGATCTGGAGAGGGGAAGTAGAGAATAGCCAACATAGCCACTAAGGGCTAGATACTCTATGCTGTATGCCCAACCTTATGGTCTTCAAATAATTACACTGCCTGTGATCGACTGTATTATTATTAATAATAATATTATTATTATTTGAGATGGAGTCTCACTCTGTTGCCCAGGCTGGAGTGCAGTGGCGCAGTCTTGGCTCACTGCAACCTCCGTCTCCCGAGTTCAAGCAATTCTCCTGACTCAGCCTCCCGAGTAGCTGGGACTACAGATACATGCCACCATGCCCAGATAAATTTTGTATTTTTAGTAGAGATGGGGTTTCATCGCGTTGGCCAGGATGGTCTCAATCTCTTGACCTCATGATCCACCTGCCTTGGCCTCCCAAAGTGCTGGGATTACAGGCTAGACTGCATTACTTATCAGCTGCCCCCTACCCACCACCTGGTACTCCTACCCTTTGTCATTGACTCTAAGGTTCCTCTCACTAGAGGCTGATCTATTTCTACTCTATTTCCCCACTCTACTGATGGATTGGGCCTCATGACTTGCTCTGGCCAATGGAATGAGGGCAGAAGTGATAGTGCCAGTTCTGAGCCTACCCCTTAAGAGGTCTCACATGTTTCTGCATGCCCCTCTTGAATTTTTGCCATCACCATGAGAAGAACCTGCCCCAGTAGCCAACTGGTTCTAGAAAGATAAGAGACATGGAGAACAGCTTCCCCAGCCAACGTGCAGACCTGCAGCAGAACTGTCCAACCATCCCACAGATCCATGAGAACATAAATGCTTCTTGATGTGTGCCATGGAGTTGTGGGGCAGTTTGTTATGTGGCAATAGCTGACTAATACAGTCAGTCTACCCAGGGAAATAAGCCATCTCATTCTGTAACAGAAGTTACAGGTTATCTAGATTCAAGGGAAAGCATGAGCACAACTGATAGAATCAAGTCCAACATGACAATGAGAGGTCAGTAGTGTCCAGAAGGGAAAGAGAAAACATGTAGTCCCAAGGCTAAGACATGAAACCTGTCCTGATGTGGAAGCCTATTCTCAGTGATTATATAACCTCTCAGAGGAATGGATGCTTGATTTGTTTTTTAATTTACACCCAGCCTTGTTCCAACAGGATTTAAGGCTGCTTACAATAATGCTCACAACAAAATAAGTGAGAAAAGTAGAGAAGCAAGGAAATTATGGCATGTGAAACCAAGGGATCAACAAATCGAATCCAAGTCCTCCTGCTAGACATGAACTACATAGTTGCCTCTGAGCTTCTGCAAAGCTAGTGCAAAGATAGAAATAAGATTGGGGGCATGAGTAAGGTACAGATGAACCAGTAATTCAGAAGAAGGACAGCTATTTTCTGGAACTGAGATCTGACAGACATGTCTTTCATGAGGCCTCATAAGACATTGGGTTATGTCATGAACAATGTCCTCAATGGAACCCTCAACAGAAAATACATTAAACATGCTGATGATGATGATGCTGATGATGATAGCAATAATAGCTAATGCTTACAGGGTGCTCATCATGCACATGCATATGTTTTCTAGGTGCTCAACATACAATTTATTTAACCCCTTTCTTATTATCCTCAAATAAAATACAGTGGCTATTTCTCATCATGACCCACAGGTGAGCTACTCTGGGAGGACAAGGACCTATGCACAGCAGTCTGGGGACACCTCTCCAGAAAAGAAATCTAAACCAAGAATATATATTAGAGCAACCCAGGAGAATCCAGAAATAAAGATTTGTAAACAAAGTATCCCAGTTTTCCAATATTGGCAATTGTATAGGTTAACACTTTGCCAGGCAAGCAAAGTGGGACGGTGAGGAAGACTCAGCCTGCGGGCCACTAGTTTTCAACCTCTGGCCTACAAACTAATGGAGGGAAATAACTTCACGCACTCCACCAAAAACAGAATTCATTTCCACCAAGGTTTCAATAAATATTAAAGGGCAGGAGGTTTGAAGGCCTACTGGTTGACAAGTTTTAAGATGGTGACATTCCAATGTTGTTAAGTATAGAGGCTTGAGGATTGCTTAGGCCAGAAGTGGAACAGACATCTTCTTTTGTGGGTTGTGGAACAGTAGAAGACATAATTCCTGACTAGAAATGGGACAAAGAGGGTCCAAAAATCAGCCAATCAGTCTTGGAGAAGTCACACTGTTATTTCTCCAACTACAGGTTTATTCCTTCAACTTAATGGGATTGTACAGAACCCACTAAGACCAGATAGTTAGTCTACCCCCACCACTCCATGGACTAACAGTCATCAAATGTGCCATCAATAAGTAACATCACCACTACCATCCAAAATCCTGCCACCTAGGCAGTCACTACTTACTCTACTGAGAAAAACAAACTCTCCTTCCTTTTCTTAAGAGGAAATTTGGAATGGGGTTGGAGGTAGGAAGAGTAAGAGCAGAAAACAAGAAATACCATATACATTTAGCCATCTTCCTCCCCTTAAAAGTCAATCCCTATTTGGAAATGTTTGCTGCCCCTTCTTAAACAAGACAAATGACCTCAGGGCCAGAGAAATAAAATCCCCTGCCCATCTTGACTCAACAGGTTCTCTGACAAGCTAAACACAGCTGCACTTCAACTGCTATTTTTAGATTCTATAAATTCTGGCCTCCTTTTTCTCTTGAAATATGCTTTAGAGACTTGCCAAACACTTTTATCTAGGCTCTAACTCCATGACAATAATTTCATGAGTATGAAATCACCACTATGGTGTTTGTTTGCTGCTATTGTCATTATTAGGAATATACTCATAAAACACGTGGAGGGTTTCTTTCTCCTTGGAGGGGAGGCTGCCTGCCTCTAATTGCTGTCGTAGTCTGAATTATGGACAGGAAGGGGAGATTTTGCCACCAAACTGATTTCCTTTTTAAAAAGTGGAAGAAAAAGAACCAGAACAGGGGCTGCTTACCTCCAGGACAGTGTTTCTCAAAGTGGTTTAAGACCCAGATTTCCAGGTGAACACCTCCTACCAGATGTATCCAATTGAATTTTGTGGAAGTGGGGTCCTGGCCCCACCTGTAATAGTCATGCCACTACAGCACCCAGCTTTGAGAATGCTGCTCAGTTCCAAAGCCCATCCCAAGTCCCACTCTGAGTTCGCTTTCACTTTGTTCTGACAATTAAAGCAGACGGCTGCAGGGAGGGCACCGAAGTCATCTACGGTGTTAACAAGGTGGATATCAGGGGTCCTGATGCTTTTGAGACATTGTCTTGCTTTCCAGATCTTGCTCAAAACTGACCAACTTGATTCTGGAAGCTGCCATCTAAACAGGGCAGATAATTGGAACACAATCTCTTCAAAGCAAGAAATAGAACCGGGTCTGTCCCACTGCATTCAGCATCCAACATGGCCTAAGAACACGCATTCTCTCTTTCCTCCAGATAGTCATGAATCCAGCCAGCCAGCCAACATCTTGTGGGTGTCATCCCCATGCACAGTCCTGGGCTACACTGTCAAACAGTCCTCACCAATCACGCGCTCAAGACCCAACCTAAGATCCATGTTTGAGTGTTCTCTTTCCCTCCCTTTTTCACATCTAAGACTTCAGCTACTCCTAGTGTCTTTACCTCCAAAAGTTCTCAAGAATCACTGCTTCCGTCTGTTCCCTCTGTGACCACACTAGTCCAGCCGTCTTGTCCACTGTTCTTGCCTCCTAGCTGGGCTATCTGCTTCCACTCCAGCTCCTGTCCTCCATTCACTCCACAGGCCCACAGTGATTTTTTGAAAATATCTACAATATCAGGTCACTTCCCTGCTTCCCAGAGCACTGTAAATAAAATCCAAACTTCTTAGTTTAGCCTATGTAGCCCAGCACACTCTGCTCTTCATCCCTCTCGCTGGGTTTTCCTTCACACATTATTTTGTTCAATCTTCCTAACAACGCTTTGAAGCAGGAATTAACCTCAAGTTCCAGGTGAGATTCTAGAGAGTCAGAGAAGTAAAGCAACTCGTCCAGAGTCACAGAGCCAGTAATGGTAGAGTCAGAATTCATACCCGTGTCTTTTGGACACCAAAGTCCAAGTTCTTTCTACTCAACCTCTTAGCTCATGTTAATCAAATTCAAAAACAGAAATACAGCAGGAAGCCCCTAGGATTCCTTATTACTGTACGTATTTCCAAAGGTCAGACCTGAGTTGATTTAGAATGGCCATACAGGAGCACATCCAGGATAAAAAAGAGAAAAGGTAAGAAAGAAGAAAAGGAGGGAAGAGGAGAAGAGAAAATGAGGAAGAATAATGGATGCTCTGGCGAACATTTAAAAAAGAATTACAAAACACAGCTCAAACTTCCATCTGCTGTGGGCCAAAGCCCTGTTAAGCTTCCAATGCTAGAGGGTGGGGCCAACAGTGATTTTTCCCCTTTCCCTAGAAGTTGCAGTCCCTGGTTACATCACCTCTCCCAAGACTTAGCGGACAAAGTGAATCAGCCAGTCACATAGTAAGGCTCACCAAAGACACTTTCCGACTGAGAAGTCTGGCTGTCAGAGTTTCCTTCCCTTCCAGAGCAAAAGGGAAAGCCCCGCCTTCCAGCCATCCACTGATTTTTCTTGTGGTGGAACATAAATTTATGTAACTAGATTTTCAGAAGGATTCCCTGTCCTTTTACAAACATGAAGTACTGACACAAGTTTTCTCAGACATCTCCCATCTTTCCACAGTCAGTTCAAACTTGAAAAAAAGAGTGAAAAGTGGCATTTTTCATAAAGATTTCTCCCCAACAATCTACTGATACTGACTAGTGGTGAAACCCTTCTGTCTTGTTTTCCTAATATCTGGAATCAGGTAGTACTTGGTATGTACTTCATATGTACCATACTGCTAATTTTCATGCCTAGAATTACTTTTCCAACATTATTGATAACTATTAGATTCTTTATCATTAAAAACACATTAAATGGATAATTATGTAAAAGCTCTCTGGGAAGAAGTTAACCTTTTAAAAATGCTTAACAAGAAATCATTTATAACTGCATATCCATGGTGAGGGATATGGGAGGCAAGGGCTGAATCTGAATCAATTGAACAAAGATGGGCTATAACTCCAACATGTGGGCCCCTGGCTTGATACAAAGAGGAGAGGATAAGCTCCTGGCTTCCAAATGGCCTAGGATCTGATAGGAGGGTTAGATATTATAAACAGAATATTTGGCAGAATATATTAAGGTTCACACATGAGGTTCTTCATATATTCTAGACCATGGCAGAGACTATATGCCTAACCAATATCCATTCTCTACTTTTCCCTTTTAACCAAACTCAACTTTATTCCAATCTACAATATGCCTACCTAAAAGACATTTTCTAGTCTCCCCTGGAGAAGAGGTGGTCAAGAAGATACAAGCAGAAACCATAATGTGAGGCTTCCAGGAAAACTCCATAAATAAAGACAAATTAGCTGGGAGATAATTTTCTTTTGTAATCTTCTCTCTTCCTTCTTTTTCCTATCTGGAATTTGGATGTGATGGCTGGAGCTCCAACAGCCACATTGGGCCATAAGGTAACTTTGAAACTGGAAGCCATGTTCTGAGGATGGTGGAACAGAAAGAGGAAAGGATCCTTGATCCTTGAAGTCCATGGAGCCACCATACCAATGCTGAATTACTTCGGTGTGAGAATAAACCTCTACTGCATAAACTTATTTGGGTTTTCTGCTGCATGCAATTTGACTTGGCTTGAAAGAGTGGTGGCACCATGTGACCATTAGGAGAGGAGTCAAGAGAAGGAGGGGCTCATGAGACGGCTTCCCTGGGACTATGCACACTGCTGGGGAGGCCATTTCCTGGATACCAGAGGACAAGTTCTCAAAACTTCTCTTGGGAAGGATGATATACTAAATCATGATGGAGGGGACAAGCCTCCTATCCTTAACATTATTTAACTTCCACTAATCAATTACGAACCATCTCATTTGGCTTCTTCCTCTTCTCCCTCTCTGCTTGCTCCCCTTTCTCAGCCCTAGGTGACTGGCACATGACTATACATGGCTAAACCTTACAAGGAATAGGAAGCAAACATCTTAGGACTTACCTTCTTTCTTCCCTCCCATCATGATGAAGTTTTCCCTGTAGCCCTCTTGGGGACCTGGATACAGAAATAGCTCAGACACAGGAGCCTGCTGAGATTATGACTTATGGGAGGCAGATTTCTCTCATCATTATTTTGTTTAAGGCCAAAAGGATTCCAAACAAAATTCCTGAGCCCATCTAAATCCAAATCAGAGTGGTGGTCCAGGGCCAATGGGAGAATGGTCTCTCTTGCCCAGTTAGTAGATGTAAGCAAGCAAGACTGTTGAAGCCGAGGGACCACTGTGGCATGGCCAAGCCATGGGGAGAAAAAGATGGGTGAAAGGAAGGAACTCCCTAAGGGAATGGCAAGTCAAGACTGAAGATGGACAGCTGCTGTCTTCCTTGAAAATTCATCCAAAAGCTGACTGGCCTTTACGTTTCCCACCAAAAAGCAGTGGGTCATTCCATATCCCTCTAGGAATGAAGACCCTTCTGAAGGAGGCAAGCTTCTCCACCCCTTACCCCACACTGGCCTATAAGGCACATAAATCCTTATGAAATGAGCTCATCCAAAACTTCCCAGCAACGAACTAAAATTTAGCAACATCATGCAGTACATTTAAAACTTCCAAAATCAAACCTTTCTTTCCAACAGAAACACAAGTTTTCAAAGAGCAAATGGAACCACAGTAGAGTGTCTTCCCCTCATTGAACATTTCTTGTACCTCTCAACTGCAGCCTCCCACCCCCCAAAACAATTCTTTCTAGAACTAAAAATATCAAACTTTATTAAGTATCAGTTCCTCACTAAAAACCATGTTTGGGCTTGAGATTAAATAGCAAGAATTCTTTAAAACTACATTATTTTTTAAAAAGCAAATAATGACCAAGGGAAAAAGAATCCCAGATTTTTCCAATACAACATAAAGATGACAGCATGAGATAATACTGAAGCCCTCCAGGAAGAAAGACCAGCACACGAATCATAAAGGGCTCTATTTCTACTCCAAGTGACGCTCATGACTAAATAAAAATGTGTTTCTGTTTCCACAAATCTACTTAAATTTCACATGTTCTGCGCACTTAGCCATCATCACACGGGAAGAAGTCACAGAGTTTCACAGTAGATGTGGAAATGGAAGGTTTTATTAATTGCTCCTCTTGTACCACAACCTAATTAAAAACAGAACAAAAACAGTTCAGAAGTTTCTAATGCATGTAAGGGGGTTGAAGGAAGGCTGGTTATTCCAAAATTAAAGAAGCCACCAGAAAGAACTTAATCTTTCCAGCCATCATCTATGCCACTTTTTTATGCCTTTTAAGGGTATGTTAGAAATGCACCAGAAGATGGCTGGGAAAACCCATTTGGATGATACACCAGAAGCAGCAATAGCTGGTTCCACTGTTAGTGTTTGGGCTTGGAGATCCATTTGATGTCAGCTATGAAGGTGCCAACACCACTCTCAGCTCAGATGAGGCCAACAGCATCATTTGGGTTTTATGATTGTATTCACTCAATGCCCAGCCAGGATTCCTTTTATACTCAAGAAAACTCAAACAATTAACTGAGGCTCAAGGCATTCCCACCCAAGAAAGAAACTGGAAGTGGGGCAGAAAGGCTGAAGGGCTTGGCCATATGTAACTAGCAAACATGGGAATCCCCATTCATCCCACAGGGTGGTGTCATGTCTGTACCACAGGAAGGAAATGACTTCTGTGGATGTGGCCCTCATCTTTCTGTCTTCCCTGCCCCACTGACCACCTGTGCCACATCAGAGGAACAGAGCCCAAGGACTGGACGACCCCAAGGATGGGTCCTGAGGGGAAAGGATCAGCCTGTGTCAGACTGGACCACATGGTGTCCTAGCCACACATGACTGTGAATGAGCAAGGTGACTTGATTCTACCATTTCTGTTTCACTCTATTTTCATTTTTTAAAACAAGAATTGTGGTTGGAGGTGGAGTGTGGTGGCTCATGCCTGTAATCCCAGCACTTTGGG
This sequence comes from Homo sapiens, assembly GCF_000001405.40. Lineage (NCBI taxonomy): Eukaryota > Metazoa > Chordata > Mammalia > Primates > Hominidae > Homo > Homo sapiens. The sequence continues at coordinate 146,694 of NW_025791771.1, read as the reverse complement.
AGGCCGAGGTAGGTGGATCACTTGAGTTCGACACCAGCCTGAGCAACATGGCGAAACCCCTGCCTCTGCAAAAAATGCAAAAAATTAGGCAGGCATGGTGGTGGTGCGCCTGTAGTCCCAGGTACTCGGGAGGCTGAGGGAGGATGGCTTGAGCCTGGGAGGCGGAGGTTGCAGTGAGCCAAGATTGCACCACTGCATTCCAGCCTGGGCGATAGAGCCAGATCCTGTCTCAAAAACACATTATGGTTGAGACCTCCATGCTTGGCTGTGGCAGGCACAGCATGCCTGTCATGCTCCATGGAGTCTTCCCCCTCACTCTCTTCCCACCTCAACCTTTCCATCAGGACTTTTCTAAGCAAAAAGTGAGCCCAGGGGGAATGTTTCCTGACCACCCACCTCACACTGTTGTAACTGAAATCTCTCATAACAAAATGAAGATCCCAACATTGACATATAAATTATTAATCAAAAGCCTGGCTTTCTCTTGTTAAAGAAAAATATATATCAAGACTCTTCATTCACAGGAAGTGCATCTGCAGGAAAGTTACGCGTGTTTCTGTTAAAAGGCTGCTCCAAGCCAAGGCCAAATTCATCCTTTTCTCCTCTCAGTTCCCCTAGCCCTGTGTGCCCAGCTGCAAGAAGGCGCTGGCCCACATTTTGTCATTACCAGCTATGTCCTCCCTGGAGGATGACGCCCTTGAGGACAAGGACGCTGACCTGTTTACCCCTGTGTCTCTGGAGACCACCAGCATCCAGGGAAGAATTAAAGCCACCTGAAGCTCCACTGGCTCCAGGCTGCTGGCCAGTGAGCTTTCCCGGGGTTATGGCCGAGCCCTTCATGGCTTCTTCTGAGAATCATCAGTTCCAAAAGCATCCTTTTACTTGACTCTGGGTTTTGTTTCTTGAGACTGATTTTCAGAAAGTCTAAAATTAGCCCCCCTAAAACTCAATTATGAAAACCTTGACCTATTATCAGAAAAATAAACGTTTGGAGTTGTAACGGCTGGTTTCCACAGTGCTCAAAGCATTTTGCAGGTAGCCCTATTTTTGGCAAGCAGATACTCCAGGGTGGATGATGCACAGCCATGCAGCCATGCATCTGTAGCCATCCTTTTTCACGTGGGTCACTGTCTCCCTTCTACCAGGATGACCTGGGCACTCAACAAAACAGCCAAAGACTAAGAGAACTGAGTACTGATTCCCCAGTCAACACAAATTGGGCTTGGGTCCTGTCTTGGTGCTCTCTGCTTATAACACCTTGGGCAGAGCTGCTTTCCTTTCTTGGCCTCAGTTTCTTCATGGGTATATGACAGCACACACTTCCCAGGGCTGTGGTGAGGACTAGCAGAGACAACTTGGGTAAAGAGGTTAGAATGGTGCCTGGGTATAGTCAGCACTCAGTAAACGCTAGTTGTCATCATTGATGCTATTTTTGTGACTGTCACTACCTTTATTTACTCTTAAATAGGAGACAGCAGAGAAAGTCAAAGTTACACAGCAGCCTCAACAAAACACTAGTAGGTGAGGCCTGATGGAATATGCTGTTAAATGCCCGCTGAAGGTCAACCAGTGATCTGGGACTCCTCCTCCTTGCGGCACTCTGCAGACCCCTGCAGCCCCCAAACCAGCAAACAGGACAATCTAGAATCTGCTACTGCCAAGCAGGAATGCCCTAGGATGAGTGGCACCAGCAGCACAGGGCACGGGTACCTTGGGGTGAGAAGCATCTGTGGTCGTATAAACTTCCTCACCACCAAGATGCTCACCAACGGACACCATTTTATCATCAAACACTGAAATGCAACTGTGTATAGCTGCTCCCACCCTATTACCCTTGACTCAAGGGGCCTTCAGCAAAGCTGCCTCCAAGGAAATATACTCTGTACACAGATGAAAAAGACCCTTGAAAGCAATTCCAGGGCAGGGTCTTCTGGAAGGTTCTGAGAATGAGTTCCAGGTCCAGAAGTCTGGGTGAAGTCATTCTGATCCTGCTGGAGCCCCAATCCCGATATGGACCTGCTCTCCCAGTGTGACCTCAGACCTTCACCACCCGGAAGGGCTGAGCACAGCCCCACCCAAAGAAACCCCCCTTCTGCAAAGAAGAAACACAGCTGTGGCGCCTGTGACCTTAAGTGGTTTGCACAGTCAATATTCCCCACTCTGACGGGAAATGGCTGTGAAACGGCAAGGAACTTTCCAAAGGCTCAATAAGAAATCAACTGTGGGGCTAAAAGGAGACAATGCAGGAAGTTTAGGAAAAGGTAACTACATCCCAGTGGGAGTTCAACAGCTTTATAGCTTATTGGTTAAAACCATAAGTTTTAATTTCAGATTGGATCTTAATGTAACAATCCTTGGCTGCAAGACCTGCATGAATATGGAATAACAGGAAAGAATAATAGGAAAAAAATCAGCAAAGGTGACTCTTGGGACTGATATTTTATTACACCACACTTGATCCTAACCCAAAGGTCAGAAAGCAATAGGATTTTACTCTCTACTTAACCTGGAGCTTCTCCAACCATTATTTAAAGTTGGACGTTCTGAAGATATGAAGCTGATTCAAAAATAAAAGAGGGTTTATTTTGGTGGGGAGTGGCAAATAAAAAGGAAATACACTATTAACAGTCTTAAAAGAAATATCTACCCTATGAAGAATATCAGAACCAAAAATAAACTTCACATAAATGTAAAATAAACTTTTACAACCAATCTTCTCCTGGTGTGGATTTTTTTCTTCCTATCCAACTTAAACATAAGCAAGACAGGACATTGACTGGGATGAACTTTTCCCTTTTTAGATAGTACATGGAACTTTTAAGGCCTGAGCTAAATATAAATAAATCTTTAAAAGGTCAAATTTTCAACAGGATAAGAATATAATATGGAGTCCTAGGATTCCCATGTGAAGTGATTATCCAGAAGAGCCATTAGATTGGTGCCCTGCTCATTCTGCCTAGTTCAGAGATAGATGGAATATTTGTGGGGTGAATGCATGACCCGGCATCCCTTGTCCTTGTCCACTGCTGCCACTGTGTCCACAGTGACCTAAGCCTCTACTCAGGATCTTCACAGGTGGCTCCCCGTACCTGGCACACATGGCTCATATTCTCTTCTTTCAATGTAAAAATATATTTCCTTCCTTGAAGCTATTGCCAGATCACAGAAGTGCCAGACAACCGCACTCTCTCGGAAATCTCACTAGGAATCAGGTTGCCATGCTCTGAGGAAACCCAAGTCAGCCCAGGCAGAAAGACCACATTGAGAGGCCACACGTAGGTGTTCTGGATGACAGCCCATCTGAGGTCCCTGTCCTAACCATGCACCTGTGGGACACGTGGGCAAAGACACCCCAGGGGACTCTAGCTCCTGTGGTTGAATCACCCCTGCTGAGGCCCCAAATATCATGGAACACTGAGTCTGAATAACCCACAGAATCCATGAGCAAAATAAAATGATTATTTCACAGCCCCAAGTTTTGGAGTCATTTGTTACAGAGCTAGAGTAACTGGGACATCATCTCTCAGTAAACAGAATCACGAATCTGAATGAGAACCCCAAGTGAAAAACCAGCCAGGGGTTTAAACACACTGGGAACAATGTGGTCCCTGAAGCAGAAGATGAAGTTAAAATCCCAGCTCTGAGTGTTATGGCTCTTTTAGAATTTGTCTAGCAGGTTTTCTGGTCTTTACCAGAAAAGTCTCCCCTATTCCTCCACAAAAAAAAATCCCAGCTCTGTCATTAACTGCCTGTGGAGCCTGGGCCAGGTTCTTCTCTGAAGTCTCCACTGTACAAACTGTAAAATGGGACTAACAGAAGCTAATGAGACCACTTCAGGGATTAAATGGGACAGTTTAAGTGAAGTGTGAGGCCAGATATGTAAGGTATTGTTATTAACATCACATGTGAGATCTTACCAAAGCCTACACATCTTCATTTTACAGACATGATTTATGACTCCATCATGCTTTTCAGGCTTATTAGAAAATGAGAGTGAGAGGTGATGATGAAAGCAGTAACAGGTAAAAAATTAAACGAGGCTTAAAGAATTTTAGAACTGTGCCATTTTCCTCCCTCCAGCTGATTTTCTCTAGAATGTACACTGTTAGCATCTACAAAACATAACCTTGAGTAGGTAGGAAACTAAGGATTGTAGTCCTTAAAAAGCATATACATAAATATCACACATTACAGTATGAGACGTCTTTGGATGTCTCAGTCTTACAGTAAGAACTAAAATGTATTGCCTTCTATCTGTAAGTGACAGGTCCAATTCTAACTGCATGAGCTATATTATCTTATTTGGTCCTTACAGCAATCCTACTAAATAAGTTGTAGTATTATCCCAACTTTAGAGGTGAGGAAATTGAAGTGCAGGGAGGTCACATCACTGGCTTAGGATCACACAGCGATGATGTGACAAAACAAGGATTCCCAATCCAGGCATTCCAAAGCCAGGCCATGCTCTTAACCACCCCACAGTAAGGCCTTCTTGCGGTCATTTTCCTGAAGATAAAATGTGAACTCCCATTCAGTTCATTTCCTATCTAATTGTTGGGAACTTAAAAAGTACTCTTAATAATAATCCTGCCACTCAAGCTCCCTCGAAGAAACAAAGGGAAAGACAGAAAAGACTTTCACCAGAACACAGGAAAAAAACAAGGTTTTCTGTTGTCTCTAACACACTTGGTGTGTGAATGACACGCATCCATCCTCAGAGACCCCTGGGCATGTTTACAGGGCAGGATCCAGGAGGTGGCAGCTGAATGATAATGGTCCATGTCACATGGTTTGGATTCCGCTGAAATCCTGAGACAAAACTCAACGGGCTACCAAAATAATTTACAAAATCCCCATGATCCCCACTAGCCCAGAATTCATAGAGCAGACAGTTCAGTTCCCTCCTTTCTTTAACCAAAAATGCAGGGTCATAAGCTGTCTTTTGGAATTTCTGAGACTGAGGGCAAGCAGAAGGGCAGGATGAATAAAGGATGACAGCTCCTCAGATGGTGAGACACGATGGACAAGGACTCCTCCCTTCCATGCTCCCCTGCCACCTTCCAGCCCCAAGTATCTCCTTGCCTTCCTAGTGCCTAAGAAAGCAGAAAGCGGATTCCCTCCCCAGGATCCAGACCTCCTTCATGGTCTAGATTACTGTATCTCAGAGTGTGGTCCCAGGACCAGCAGCATCAATATCTCCAGAAAGTGCTTTGAAATGCACTCCTAGTCCCAACCCCAGACCCACTGAATCAGAAACGCTGGGGTGGGGCCCAGCAATTTGTGCTTTAGCAAGTCCTCCAGGTGATTCTGATCCCTGCAAAAGTTTAAGAACCACTGGTCTCAAATGAAAGCTACAGGCCTGAATGATGGGACCACAAGAGGGCTCTAGTTCATCTTGTCCAGCCCCACTTCCAGCTAATGTCCAGACAGAATGTCTGGCCTCTTGAATCACTTCCCACTCAATACCCACCTAAGAAGGCCCAGCCTTTTTGTCCAATTGTCCTATCTTAATCATCATTTCATTCATTAAACATAAACCATGGGCAGCATGGGTGTAGTTTTGTGAGACTCCGAGCTTCCCATAAGCACAGCTCAGATTTTGCACTCTCTCTCCATCTCTTGGACAACTAGTGTGTGATACGCTGCCTCCAGTAGATCTCCCTGCCCTGAGTTGGACCCTAGCCTGGGAACAACAACTCTGGGTAGGCAGTATTGCTATGCAATCCCTCCTGCCCCCAAAAAGGGCCTCTGCTGAGATGCCTCCCATAAGGGACTATTCATTGGGCTTGTTCTTTTCTTCTAAATTACCACTCCTAAAGGGAAAGTTCCTTCTCAGAAAAAGTGGGTCATATGTTTCTGGCCTGATGGGCCTCAGTGTCTTAAGCAATTGGAGAATGGCAGGCTTAATTTATAAAAGGCCCACTGTTTCTGGATATATTCCTACCGTGCAATACAAACAGCCTCATCTGAGCCCTGATTTAGATCACTGAATTTGGGCTTTTTATTTCTGCATGCCTCTCATCAATAGGTTCTCATAACTTGGATTCTCATCCAGCTCTACTTCTGTACTATTTTTTCTAATGTTTTCTCATCTCTCTACTCCCTGCAGTTATTCTATCCCATTATTATTTCCCTTCTGCAGTTAAAAAGAAAAAGGATTAAAATAAGAATCTCTGTATTTCTGGAAACTCTCACATGTCAAAGTTTGCAATGGTGAAAGGTGCAAATGTTCCCAGTGGTCCTCACCCAGGTCAAGTACAGAAGTAGATCCTCCTCCTCTGGGAATCTCACATACTCCTTTATTAGATGAATAATGAAATACTCTCAAGTGAGTCTGATAGATGAGACCAGTGGGCAACATACTGGAAAAGGAAGCCACCTGCTAGACACAGGCAACCCAAATCTATCCACTTCCAGCAATACCAAGCCTATCAGTTGTTCAAAATAAACCTATAAGACAACCTGGTCCCAAAACTCCTCTTTGCAGTTAACGACGGCATTATTCCCCTACTCCTGTCCCAAAGGGTCCCACCCAGCTGAGATGCAGTTCACGAATCTTTTGGACACTCAATATTTAAGAATAGCAACAACCAGAATAACCCACAGGACTCTAAAGCTGTCCAGTAAAAGCTGCCAACCACTTGAGAGGTGCATCCTACTGGGTTTTTGCTGCATCCATGAGAAGTCAGCCAAGGCCAGGGGTGGCCAAACCCCGGGCAGAAATGCCGGGGCTCTGAGGGATCAAGGCAGCTGCTTTGGCGCATAGCAAAATCACTGACCAACCCTACGCATTTCAGGGGAGCTGGGCTCTCACAGTTGTGTGATCTTCAGATAGTTTAAAACCTCCCACTAACATTATTCAATGATATGCATTCTCAAGGCAGCTGCAGAAGTACACGTTGCATATCCCTTAATTGAAATATAAGGGACCAGAAGTCTTTCAGATTTTGGATTTTTTCAGATTTTGAAATATCTCCATATAATAAAGAGATACTTTGAGGATGGGACTAAGGGCTAAACTTCATATTCATTTATGTTTATATACACCTTCTACACATGACCTATAAAGGTAACTTTATACAATATTTGAAATAATTTGGGGCATGAAATAAAAGTTTTAACTGTGACTCATCACATGAGGTAAGGTGTAGAATTTCCACTTGTGGTGTCATGTCAGCACTCAAAAAGTTTCAGATTTTGGGACATTTCAGATTTCAGATTTTCAGATTAAGGATGCTCAATCTGTACCAACATTCTGTCAACAGCAAAGTAAGCTAGTGGCCAAGTCTAATTCAGCTTCATGCTCAGCCATTACTTTGCACCCAGAGACCTACAGTCTTTCATACCAAGGTTTATCAATATCTCCTTTACACATAAAGGCCATGCCACAGGACCTTTGCATGTGCTATTTCCTATCCCTGGAATGTTCTCTCCTTCCCTCAACTCTACCCCCATGATATGGTTTGGCTGTGTCCCCATCCAAATCTCATCTTGAATTGTAGCTTCCACAATTCTCACTATCATGGGAAGGACCCAGTGGGAGGTAACTGAATCATGGGGACAGGTATTTCCTGTGCTGTCTTCATGAAAGTGAATAAGTCTCATGTGATCTAATGGTTTTATAATGAGGAGTTCCCCAGCACAAGTTCTCTCTCTTGCCTGCTGCCACCCATGTAAGACATGTCTTTGCTTTCTACCATGATTGTGAGGCCTCCCCAGCCACATGGAACTGTGAGTCCATTAAACCTCTTTTTCTGTGTAATTTACCCAGTCTCAGTGTCTATCAGCAGTGTAAAAATGGACTAATACAGTAAATTGGTACCAGGAGTGGGGTATTGTTGTCTTTATCAGCAGTGTGAAAACGGACTAATACAGTAAATTGGTACCAGGAGGGGGCTATTGCTGTGAAGATATCTGAAAATGTGGAAGCGACTTTGAAATTGGGTAACAGGCAGAGGTTGGAACAGTTTGGAGGGTTCAGAAGAAGACAGGAAATGTGAGAAAGTTTGGAACTTCCTAGAGACTTGTTGAATGGCTTTGACCAAAATGCTGATAATAATAGGGACAACGAAATCTAGGCTGAGGTGGTCTCAGAGGGAGATGAGGAATTTGTTGGGAACTGGAGTAAAGGTGATTCTTGCTGTTTTAGCAAAGAGACTGGTGGCATTTTGCCCCTGCTCTAGAGGTTTGTGGAACTTTGAACTTGAGGGAGATGACTTAGGGTATCTGGTGGAAGAAATTTCTAAGCAGCAAAGCATTCAAGATGTGACTTGGGTGCTGTTAAATTCATTCAGTTTTAAAAAGAAAACAGAATATTAAAGTTTGGAAAATTTGTGGCCTGACAATGCGATAGAAAAGAAAAATCCATTTTCTGAGGAGAAATTCAAGCTGGCTGCAAAAATTTGCATAAGTACTGAGGAGCCAAATGTTAATCGCCATGACAATGGGGAAAATGTCTCCAGGGGATGTCAGAAGTCTTCATGGCAGCCCCTCCTATCACAGGCCTGGAGGCCTAGGAGGAAAAAATGGTTTCATGGGCCAGGCCTGGGGTCCCCCTGCTCTGTGCAGCCTAGGGACTTGGTGCCCTGTGTCCCAGCCACTCCAGCCATGGCTAAAAGGGGCCAAGGTACAGCTTGAGCTGTTGCTTCAGAGGGCACAAGCCCCAAGCCTTGGCAGCTTGCACAAAGTCAAGAATTAAGGTTTGGGAACCTCTGCCTAGATTTCAGAGGATGCATGGAAATGCCTGGATGCCCAGGCAGAAATCTGCTGCAGGAGTGGGGCCCTCACGGGGGCCCTCATAAAGAACCTCTGCTAGGACAGTGTGGAAGGGAAATGTGGGGTCAGAGCCTCCACACAGAACTCCTGCTGGGGCACTGCCTAGTGGAGCTGTGAGAAGACGGCCCCCATCCTCCAGACCCTAGAATGGTAGATCCACCAACTGCTTGTGCCATGAACCTGGAAAAGCCACAGATACTCAATGCCAGCCAGTGAAAGCAGCCAGGTGGGGTGCTATACCCTGCAAAGCCACAGACGCAGAGCTGCCCAAGTCCATGGGAGCCTATCTTTTGCATCAGCATGACCCAGATGTGAGACATGAAGTAAAAGGAGATCATTTTGGAGCTTTAAGATTTGACTTCCCCGCTGGGTTTTGGACTTGCATGGGGGCATTTAGCCTTTAGTTTTGACCAATTTTTCCCATTTGGAATGAGTGTATTTACCTTATGCCTATACCCCCATTGTATCTAGGAAGTAACTAACTTGCTTTTAATTTTAAAAGCTCATAGGTGGAAGGGACTTGCCTTGTCTCATATGAGACTTTGGACTGTGGACTTTTGAGTTAATGCTGAAATGAGTTAAGACTTTGGGGGACTGTTGGGAAGGCATGATTGGTTTTGGAATGTGATGAGATGATATTTGGAAGGGGCCGGGGCGGAATGATATGGCTTGGCTGTGTCCCCACCCAAATCTCATCTTGAATTGTAGCTACCACAATTCTCACTGTCATGGGAGGGACCCAGTGGGAGGTAGTTGAATCATGGGGATGGGTCTTTCCCATGCAGTTCTCATGATAGTGAGTAAGTCTCATGAGATCTGATGGTTTTATAAAGAGGAGTTCCCCTGCACAAGTTCTCTCTCTTTGCCTGCCACCATCCATGTAAGACGTGCCTTTCGCTTTCTGCTATGATTGCAAGGCTTCCCCAGTCATGTGGAACTGTGCGTTCATTAAACCTCTTGTTCTTTATAATTTACCCAATCTCGGGTATGTCTTTATCAGCAGTGTGAAAACAGACTACACATCCCAAATCTTCATTAATCTAGCAGACTCCAGCCCCTTTTCTGTGGCTCAGCTCCTCTCTCAAACTAATGAAAGCAGAACCCAGGAAGGCGAGCATTTTGGCAACTACATCAACATGGAATGTCACATGACTCATAGTGTAATCAATGTCAGCCACAAACTCTAACAAAACAATTGATAGAATCACAGGATTTTTAAGGAATAAGACATTCAGGGAATACATGGTTCATGTTCCTTCTCAGTGCTGGGGACAGGGATTCCATGGCTCTTGCTTAAATCTCTCTGGTGACAAGAAACTCACTATTTCATGAGACAGTCAATTCCAAAGAACAAGATGATCAGCCACAAGCCAGAGGCAATGACCATATGAAATTGGTCCAGTTTAGATCTTTCTCCTCTGTAGCCAAGCTCTGCTGAAGACTGCAGCACACCCACCATAGGAGCCCCAGCACTTATCCCACCTGGCCTTGCCAAAGTGGGGCTAATGGTAGTTGAAAAATAGATTCCTAATCTTGAGTTGAGCACTCTTTTAAAAGAATGTATAGTATTAAACCAATAACAGTTTCCTACTTTTGATAATGTACTATGTATATGTAAGATGTTATCATTGGGAAAAGCCGGGTAAAGGGTACCTGAATCTTTCCATAGAGTAGTTCCCCTCATCCTCACAAGTTTTAAACTGCATGCTATTCTGAGTAGTGTGATGAAATCTCATGCCATACTGCCCAGGATGGGAATCACACCTTTGTCCGGCACATCCATGCTATTACACTACTACCCATTAATCCCTTACTAGCTGTCTCAGTTATCAGATTGAAAAAACAGCAGATAAAGGGTTCAGGACTACCCACAGTTTCAGGCATCTACTAGGGGTCTTAGAATGTATTCCCAATGGATAAGGGGGGACTATTGTACTATTTTGACTTTTTATGAGTTAAAACTTCTTATGAGTTATAACTTCTTATGAATCTTAAACTATTTCAAGATTAAAAGTTATAGATATAGAGAGACAGAGACAATAGGAGCCAGGGTCACTGCCCTCAAGGCATGTGCTCATGGTGGAACTCTTGGGCATGGACATAGTGAGATTTTTCTGAGGTCTTTATCATCTATAAGAACTATCATACTAAAATATACAACCAATTCCATTACCACTCAAGGGTCCCCAGTATTTCTGGCGAAACAGTTCCCAACGTCACTCCCAACCCAGTCAGCAAGGGTTCCACACTGGGGTCCCTAGACCAGCAGCATCACGTGGGAATGTTACAAATGCAGACTCTTAAGGTCCACCTCAGAGGTACAGAATCAGAATCTATAAGGAGTGAGCCTAGCAATCTATTTGTGATGGGGCAGGGAGAGCAATATAAGATGTATCACTTTCACCATTTTCAAGTGTCCAGTTCTATGGCATTAAGTACATTTTCATTATTCTGCAACCATCACCACCATCCACCTCCAGAACCTTTCATCTTCCGCACCTGAAATGCTGTACCCACCACCCATGATCTGTTTAAACAAGCCCTTCAGGTGATTCTATGCCACCCTAGTGTAAGAACCACTCTACAATCACATGAGGTAGGGGAACTGGCTGCATAGCATATATGGCAATTATCTTTCTGTATCTTTGACCTCCGTGGCCTTGTCTTCTTACCCATTGCTTGTCTTGAGAACACAGAGTGATCAATTATTTGCCTGACCACTAACACCACCCCAGTCTAGGACAACACTATAGGAGGCATGTGTGCTTGCATCTGCCAACCTAGCTTTTAATCAGAAGCCAAGGTAACACTCCAGGGTCCCTAAAAAAACAGGCAAGGGAAAGTAATGGACCCACAAGAAGCATAAAGTATTTGCTAAGCACCCTCTGGGGCGTTCAGGTAAATGAGCTCCATTAATCCTCATTACAATCCCATGCTGCCTCCATTTTACAGAAGAGGAAACTGGGAACCTGACATAAGAAATGTGCTTCACGTCACCAGGCTGGCCATGCAGAGGTGGAAGTCATACTCCAGTTGGATCCTCCCTCACTACAGGAGAGCCACAGGCCCTCAGGTCAGCACTTACACTATACAGGACTTCAGAAGCCCAAGATCAGGCCCATTTTGTTCAAACCCTTTAACCTCACCTCTGCTTTTAATCCCAACTCCCATTTCTACTCCTTTCCTAAGGGTTGGTGTTTCAGAATGTCTGTTAATCCCATGGGCTTCTTTTAGCCCCTTTCTCCAGGTAGGGATGGTTGTGGCTGTAGTGGTGGATGAGCCTGGCTGGGAGTTCTGCTGTGGGCTCCAAAGCTCTTCAGGGTAAGCCCCAGGGCTCAGCCCAGCATCATGTTTGCATGCACAGGCATTCAACAGGTGCCTGTTGAATTAAAGGGGCAAGTATATCCATCTTGATGATGTGTCACAATTTTTAAAAATACACCCACGTATGCAGTGGCTGCTTCCTCTGGTCATAGATTAGTAATAATTTAATGACAAGGGAGGAAGAGAAAGGATCACATTTTCTTCCATTAAGACCAGCAATCAATCAAGGCTGTTAAAAATCCAGCTAAATTTAGCATGAGATATGGGCTTTCAGAAAGTCTTCCATAGTGTAGGAGGCCACCAAAAATATAACAAAACAATTAAGTCACAACAGGACTAATGGAAGTCTATAAATGGTGAGGACCCCAGAGATCAGAACTAGGGCTTGCCATATCTTGAAACAGGTCTTATCGATGAGAAGGACCTAGAGAAAAATCTCTACATATGAAACATCACTAAGTTCTTCCATTATTAAAACATGAAGCTGAAGAAGAGTTTCTACATGAGTAGAGAGAAAAGGTATATGAAGGCATAAAGCCAAGTTATTCATAGAAAACTAATCTATATCATAGCACCATTTCCTAAACCTCAGGAGAAAAATGGTGTTCCGTGGTCAAGTACATTTAGGAAATGCCAAACAGTGCATCCTCCTTGCGTGCCTGGGCTTCTAAAGCTCCATGAAGTCCTGCAATAAAAAGCCTGCGTTAAATTCAATTATGTTCCAAAATTAATTTGAATTCAAAATTTTGTTTTGTTTTTTGACATAAAAGTCGTTACTATCCTTTGAAAAAATGCTTTGGGAAATGCTGGTATGAAGAATAATATTCTTTATGTTGTCAAGTGACAGGGATCTGGGTCTCATCAAGGAAGGACTGTCCCATAAAAATGATCAGCTGGAGCACTGCCACTGCCACACAAGATGACAAAAACACCAGGGACTGAAATAAAAAGGTATGAGAAACCAAGCCACACCCAGTGTCTGCTGCCTACCAGGCAGGACTTCAGATGGGTGTGATGGAGTTACAGGGCAGCATCCAGGACCAACCCAACATCTGAGGGGACATAAATGGCTGTAACATTGACCCAGCAAAGCCACGGCTGGAATCTGTCCTCCAGAATTAATAGTTAGGTGACCCAAGATGCTCACTGCAGCATGGTAGTGACAGGAGAAAATGAGAAAGAATTAGACATTCCATAACTGGGGATGAGTAGGAAAAGTGCTGGCACATCCAGAATGGGGAGGTGGGATTATCCACCCACGGACACCTTTGCTCAGAGTTAAGCAAAGTGTGGGCTGAGTGCCAGCCGAACCAAATCTCCTGAGAAAGCCTGGTTAAAAATGTACTGCTTCAGTCCAAGATTTCATTAGGACAATCCAAAATTTAGGGGGTTGAAGGGAGTTGCTGGCTGCTCCCTCTGAAGCCAAATTTAAAATGTAGATAGGCAATCTCATGTGACCAAGTGTTTCCAGCTGACTGTCGGGTTATATGATCTGACAGGTATTAGTCTACCCATGATAACCAACAAACAGAATTGTTTTGCACAACTGTTTGAAACTATCCTGGACAACACACAAAAATTAACTCAAAATGGATCACTAATCTAAATGTAAAAGATAACATTGTAAACTTCTAGTAGAATATCTTGAGCATATGTTCATTTTGGAAATACTCCAGCTTCTCCTAACATTCAGTGAACATTTATTGGGCAATTAGTCAATGTCAATTACTCTGCGTGGTGCTGGGGATATGGAGACAAATGAAATAGTTCCTGATGCCAAGCATCTTAAAATATTTTCTGAGTTCTTTATGGTTTTATCATTAATAAAATTATCCCAAACCTCTTTGAATTCATGTATATTTCTTGCCAGACTACCTTGGTTGTAACCTAAGTTTCTGGACTGTTTGGCTCATTAATTAAACAAGCAAGGATACATCTGCCACATGCCACATTTCTCCAACACAGCTGATGGAAAGAAGGGTATCATGCCCAGGGAAGTATAGGATGAAAGAGGAACAAATGTCAGATTCAGGAGAGCTATGGAATAAACATCACTTTTAAATCCAGACCAATATATAACTGCCAAAATGGCAGAAGAATCCAGCCAGCTATCGCTCCAAGAGGTAGGATTATACTGACCAATTTGAGGAAACTGGCTAACAGGAAAGAATGAAAACAACCACTGAACCTCCGTGCCGTGGGCATCTTCCCTACCACTGTCGCTGATGAGGAGCAAAACAAGGGTTTGAATTTCTTCTTATTTTCCCTGATCTTTCGGGGCAGCGGGGAGGGGGCATGGTTAGAAAAGTATCTAAAAGGTCAACTAAAGAGGAATAAAGGTATAAAACCAAAGAATACGGATAATTCAATAGTGGAATAAGTTCCAAAATGAACTAGTAACCCAAAGGAACTCAGGATGCTGAGTCTGGAGGAAGTAGGCAGTGGGGATGGGGACAGACAGACAGATATCTGTAGGTGCTCCGGGGCAGAAATAGGAGGGGAGTGTGTGATTACATGGAGGTAGACTCTGGTTCAGCCTAAGAAAGGGCTTTCAGGTTGCTGATGCCATCCAACGCTGGATGGGCTGCCGGACACAGCAGAGTCTGCCCACAACCAGAAGGCCAGAGCTAAGGGATGCCTGTCACGGCCCCGAGTGCCCCATTCGTGGCTCTCTGCTCTGAGAATAGGAGGAGACCCACCAGCACAACAGCTGTAAGCAGAAGAGCTGAAGGATGGCCAGTGTTGCATTTCCCAGGCATTCTATACAGGTGGGGAGCATTATTTGTGGCACAGAGGAAATTCTTATTCCCTGACTTCAACACAGGAAGCACAATAGTGCTTGCTTACTTCATCTACCTCTGCACCCTCCAAATCCCTGAGAATAATAACAGGGCTGAGAGATGAGTCCCCGGAAGGCTTGTACTCGAGCCTGTGCATGAACTGTGGGCCACCTCTCCAGGCATGACCCCAGTAATTGTTACAGTGTCATAAAAAGCCACGCGGAAAGTTTGATCAGCACAAGGTCACCAGAAAAACTGTACTAAAACGCCAGCTGAAAGCAATGATGCTGACCTTGTCAGTAGCTGAATGGCAACCCCTGTGATCCCACCAGGCTTTCTGAAATGCTGGAAAGATTTTGCAGGCCGTCATCACCATGCTAATGGAGCTTGGGCTCTAGAAACCCCAGTTTAGGAAAGTCAGAACCATGCTTCTTAACTTTTGTAAGTGTGAAAGCAACCTTTATAATACCAAAATATTTACCAGAACCTCAGGTGATAAAAGGTATACTTTTACTTATTAGTTGATTCAGGAACTGCATATGTTTTATGAATTCACTCAGGCCTCCTTACGACAATCCCAAGGTCTCCCAAGAGATTAGGAGGTTCGACACTAGACCTGCACTGTCTGATACGGTCACCACTACCCACGTGTGCCTAATGAGATCATAAAATGGGGCTAATATTCACACCAGACTTCAAAGCCCTAGTACAGGAAAGAAGGCAAATATTTCATTAACATTTTATTGATTTTATGTTGAAATAATAACATTTTGGCTATATTGGACTAAATAATATACATTTTTATGCGCTGAACTGTGTTCCCCCAAAATTCCTGTGTTAAAGTCCTAACTCCCAGTACCTCAGAATGGGGCTGTATTTGGAGACTGGGCCTTTAAAGGGGTTGATTAAATTAAAACGAGGCCCTCAGGGTGTGCCCTAATCCAATCTGACCGGAGTCCTTAGAATAGGAGGAAATGTGGACACACAGAAACCCCAGAGATATGAGTACAGAGGAAAGACCATGCGGGGACACAGGGAAAAGGCAGTCATCTACAAGCCAAGAAGAGAGGCCTCAGGAGAAACCAAACCTGTGGACACCTGATCCTGGACTTCCAACCTCCAGAACTGTGGGCAAATACATTTCTGTTCATATAAACCACAAGTCTGTGGTCTTCATTATGGCAGCTCTAGCAAACTGATATATGTTATTGAAATTAGTTTTACCTGTTTAACTTTTTCAATGTGGCTACTAGAAAAAAAAATGCTCATCATCACCGGTCATCAGAGAAATGCAAATCAAAACCACAATGAGATACCATCTCATGCCAGTTAGAATGGTGATCATTAAAAAGTCAGGAAACAACAGATGCTGGAGAGGATGTGGAGAAATAGGAACACTTTTACACTGTTGGCGGGAGTGTAAATTCGTTCAACCATTGTGGAAGACAGTGTGGCAATTCCTCAAGGACCTAGAACTAGAATCACCATTTGATCCAGCAATCCCATTACTGGGTATATACCCAAAGGATTATAAATCATGCTACTATAAAGACACATGCACACATATGTTTATTGGAGCACTCTTCACAATAGCAAAGACTTGGAACCAATCCAAATGTCCATCAATGATAGACTGGATTAAGAAAATGCGGGACATATACACCATGGAATACTATGCAGCCATAAAAAAGGATGAGTTCATGTCCTTTGCAGGGACACGGATGAAGCTGAAAACCATCATTCTCAGCAAACCATCAGAAGGACAGAAAACCAAACACTACATGTTCTCACTCATAGGTGGGACTTGAACAATGACATCACTTGGACACAGGGCAGGGAACATCACACACCGGGGCCTGTCGGGGGGTGGCGGGCTGGGGGAGGGATAGCATTAGGAGAAATACCTAATGTAAATGATGAGTTGATGGCTGCAGCAAGCCAACATGGCACATGTATACCTATGTAACAAACCTGCACGTTGTGCACATGTACCCTAGAAGTTAAAGCATAATTTTAAAAAAAAGGAAATTTACAATTACAGATGTGACCACATTATATTTCTATCAGACAGTGCTGCTCTTGAGTTTCCACTGTAGGGACAACACCTCAATTCTGGGCAGAAGGAAGGGAGGCACCACTGCCTTGGGGCCCCCCTTCACCTAAATCAAGTGTCTCACTGCTTGCCACCAGGCCTCCCAGGGAGCCAGGGAGCTGCCTTTCAACACAAGGTAATGGCTCCGTGTGGTTTTCCTTAAAGGTTACACAGCCTTGAACCATTTCCTGAAATTGTTTGAGTCATTCCCTCATTCTTTCTGACATATTTTAAGTAAGCTGGACAGGCACGTGCAACAGAGTGTATCTGAGCCTCCAAAATTACCATCTGGCAGCTCTTTGTTATTAAACAAAGAATTAACTCACAAAAGGCTAACAAGAGGCAGCAAGGACACCTGCTTGGAAATTCCAGCTCAGTGGATTTACAGAGGACTCTTCTGATGCATTTGCGTATTTTTCAGTGGGCTGAGCTTAGCACTTTAAAAGCAATGCCTCATTTTATCCTCACACCAACCCTTTGGGGTAAATATCTGACCCCTGCCCTTTCACATTAGATTTATACCCAAGGAGCGAGATTATCCAGAAAGCAATCCCTTATTAAATGACCTCAAAATGGTTATGGGGTGTATATGTGTGTGTGTGTGTGTGTGCTCACATAGTTTCATCCATCACTTTTCCAGATTCAGAAAAGTTTGATTTATTACAAGAGGGAAAAAAATCTCTCCTTTCAAGTTCAATACGTTAACTCTTTACTCATCCTTAGAAATGGACAGCAAGGAAGAAACAACGCTGGAACCTACTCCATCATTTATTTGAGAAATAAAGTGTTTTGGGGGTCCTATTCCCAGGGTGACAGTGTTGAATGCCATAAGCTCCCTGCTTTAAAATAACCTATGCTCTGGTACAGAAGATAAAACACAAATATCCAAGTAACACAAATACAGGTGGAAAGAAGGTGCTAAGACAGCTCAGATGTGAGGGAGCTCAGCACCAGAAGGCCCACAGCCCACCCTGGGGAGAACGGTGAGAGGAGGGTTAGCAGAGAGGAATCGCAGGTCAGGGTGGTGGAAAGTCAGCCCAGGGGAAAAAGCTCGGCAGCTGGCTCTGGAAATGGAGTACGTTTCACACAGGCAGAGCCAGGAGTCTGGAAGGCATGGGAATGCTTCACTTGCCAAGTCATGGTATTCAGAACGGATGCCCCAGCAGACTAGCTCCTGGGAGGCAGCGGTTATGGCTTACGAGTCTCCATCTGCCCCGGGCCCAGCACAGTGTCTGGCACACAATGAGCACTCAATAAATAGGGTGCCATCCAAATCGGAACACTTGAGAGTGAAATAGAGAACTATTAATGATTATGCTGGGACAACAGGCATAAACCAGGACTGTCCCAGGCACACCTGTACATAGGACACTACATCACTGATGTGTGTAGAAACAGAAGTGAATTGAAAATAGAGAAGCAAGGGGTGGGAGGGACAAGTGTGGGACTAGGCCAAGTAAGACAGTGCCCCGAATGCAGGCATGAAATAACCTGAGCTGTTGGAGGACAGGGCCCAGTCTTTTTAATCTTTGTTTCCCCTCCACCAGACACAGAGCTGTGTACCCAACAGGTACTCAACACATGCTGGTGGGCTGAAGGCATGGACCAGACTTCAAGCTCTTCAGAAGAGGTTTAAGTGACAGTCATTGTTTAAACTGCAGAGGCCACAGACAGGCAGGGAAGATCAAACAGAAGTGCAGAGAACCTCCAGTCCCCAGGACTCCTGCCTGCCCTGGACTCACAGACCCACATTGAGCTTTCCTCCCACCTCAGAGCACGGACACACGTGCACAGGAGCGGCTGAAAAGTGCAACCTCGTCCAAGACCAGGAGAAACCTAGCACCAATCCACCCAGAAATGGGCCATCCAGAATGGAGTTTTCTCTTTCTCAGACTAACTAGGTAATAATAATGAGAAAAGCCATCATCTTTTGCATTCAAAGTCATAGAACTAGTTGGTTGCTGGATGGGATTCAAACCCAAGACTTGGCTGCTTACCAGCTGTGAGATCTTAAATAAATTAAATGCTCTAAATCTCAGATCCCTCAATGGTAAAATGAGATTTTATTTTATTTTTATATATGTAGATATAATTCTGATACAATTTTCTGTATATAATCACATATTAACATATGTAATTGTATTCTTTATAAGGACTTCATGTACATGTAAAACATGTAGCATATAGTAAATGCTCAATAAAAGATAGCTATTATTGTTACTGTTACAACTTAATTTCTTCTTTTTATTTACATAGCCCTTAATACATTTTTTTTAAAAGAAGCAACTCTCTGTCACCCTCTTCACACAAATCTCCTGGGATGCATGTGAATAAACTATTCATCCACCATTGGACCCACCATTGTTCCAACTCCCATGAACTGGGGCTAGGGCTGTCTTGTGAAAAGACCCCCAGGCTACCTATGGATGGCTGCTTCGAAGGGGTGGGTTTCCTCAGCCTGGGCGCTTCCCTAGCTCTCTGTAGGTGACAGAATCCTTTCTGCCGCACACAGCGTACTCACTACAATCAACAAATTCCCCATCTGCAAAACAGAAGTCACCAAGGAGGCTGGTGGCCCACAGTAACCTGTCAGGGAAGAAATATAGGAGGCCACCATTTTCTCACAAAATGCAGGAAGGACCCATGCAATTTCTAAGCTGGCTTCTCGTATTCTGTTTGCCCCAAGAAAGCAGACCCAAGAAAAGGAGAAGGAAAACCACTTTAAAATTTTCTGCTTAATAAGAGCTTGTACCTCAAGAGCTTCCTGGTCTCTGAGAAGGGGAAATAGATTTCTGACATAGCTGTGTCCAAAAACACTGCAGTGAAGTTTAAAAAAACTGCTGAAAAGTCAAGCTCAGTCAGTTGACTGCTGACAACACTGTCCTTCAAGCAATAGGCAGAGAATGCAGAAGAAATTATAGCCCACACCACCCTCCTATAAGGGGCACCCCCTCCATTAACACACATCAGCGTGGGCTGGCGAGCTGCACTAGGTCACATAAAGTCAGTGCTGCTGACTCAAGCCTGGCCCCACGTTGTTGATGAGGAGCACTCGCTCTCACGGTCAGTGTGAGGAGAGAGGCATCTGGCCCCTCCGAGGCCCACTTGCTTCTGATACCTGCATCAACTGCCAGCTGGTGGCTTTGTCCGTTTTCCCCTGTAACTTTTGGTATCTATGTCTTCGAGCTCCTTGCTTTGTGGTCTATGGACCAGCAGCACCAGCGTCACCAGGGAGCTTGCTAGAAATTCACCTCAGATCTGCTGTATCAGGATCTGCATTGAACAAGGTCCCAGGTTCTTCGTGTGCACGCTAACGTGAGGAGTCCTTGTCAACCAGCCCGTGAAGATGACTGAGAGGCTCTGGCTTGCTCTGGTCCAGAGAGAAAGAACGTGCCAGCTCCGAGAGCTGCCTTACCATTTGCCCTCTTCTCTTCCCACATTTCTTATTTGCTCCATACTTTCTATTTTCTTCTCACCATCTGCTTCTAATCATTTTTTAATCCCCCAAAAAACTATGAAACGAGTCTTGACCCCTTCCAAATGCAGAGGCAGTTAGAAAGAGGAAAAGATTTGCAGGGTAGAGCAGAAGGAAAAAGGGGCCCAGTGTTTACCAGACCCCTACTAAGAAGTCAGTATTCTGCTCCCCATTTCAGCTGAGGACACTGAAGCTCAGCAGTAAAGGTGAAGCAACTTGCCTGAGACCATGTGGTTGATCAGAGCAAGACCTGGTCCACCCTGGCCTGGCCCAGCCCCTGCCATGCTAAGCAGGAAGAGTGCTTCAGTTCATGTGCTTCACACATGTTGAGTTGAAAGGGAATCTTTCCACCCAGCACTAGCAAGAGCATCAGGAAGGAGGGCTTTTCTACGCTAAAAGGCAATATTGTAATATGTCCCAAACCTAAAATGCCTTCCCTTTCCCACTGAGCAATACCACTTCCATCCTCTGCACTGCCACCTTTTATCTAGTTCTATGCCACTGAAAACAGAAAACATCACATCCAAGATGGTGACATCCTTTGAAGGACCCACTCAACTTGGTGAACCATCCAACCTTCTTCTGTTCTGTTTCCCCCATTGTATATGGGGCCTGTATGTGGATATAAACATTTGTGTGTGATTGTTCCAAAACACTAGAGGGAGAGATTATGTTCCATGGTACACTTGCAACTCAGGTTTTAATCAGCATGTCTAAGTACAACGTGAAACAGTCAATGTGACCTCAATCTATTATTTGTATTTCCATTTGGCTGTGTGGCTTGATCTGTGTGACTAGTGCCTTGGGAGGCTCCATGCTGTACTGTGGCAGGAGCTGTGAGTTGTCTGTCCAGTGTCTGTCCCTCTCCTTCTTAAAAATCAAACTTCAATATCTGCACTGTCCAACATGGTAGCCACTAGCCACATGTGTTATTTCAGTTTGAATTTATATTAATTAAAAGTATAGAAAAGTAAAAAGTCAATGCCTTATTGGCACTAGCCACATTTTAAGTGCTCACAGTCATATGTGGTCACTGGCCACCATATTGGACAGTGCTGATACGGAACATTTCCTTCATCACAGAAAGTTCTGCTGGAGAGCAAAACTCTATAGTGATAGGATTTATAAGATGTCTAGCTGGTACTTAGACATCTTCCAACCTCTTTTAAAATATGGATGGTCAATGCGTTATAAGCAGAAGTCACTGGAGGCTCTTTACAGGGGCCTCAGACCAGATTATAAAGAGCCCCTTTGCATGTCCCACTTCTTCCTGCATGAAAAACACATACAATGGCTGGAGCCCCAGAGCCATTTTAGGGGTAGGAGGAAAAGATGCTCTTAGTGTTGGAGTGTCCACAGCTCAGCCCTTGGTCCCCCTCTCTTCTCTATCTCCCCTCACACCCTGGGTGATCTCATCAAATCTCCTGGCATTAAATACCATCTGTCTGCTGGCGACTCCCAAATTGATACTTCTTACTCAGACTACTACTCAAACTGAAGACTCATACATACGCATACACACTTAAACATCTACCAGTGTGTCTAAAAACAAACTCCAGATCTTCCCCCTTTCAACCTGCTCACCTGCACCTTCCGTTGAAAACACCACCAGTGACAACTCCATCCTTTTAGGTACTCAGGCTGAAAAGCTTGGAGTGACCCTTGATATCTTATTCCCTCACAACTGACAATCAAACCCTCAGGAAATGCTGTAGGATCCCCCTTCAAAATGCACGCAGAATTTGACCACTTCTCACAATGTTACCACTATGGCCCCAGTGGAGCCACCCTCTTCCCTGGGTAACGCTCAGTCTCCTAACCCCGTTCCTGCTGCTCTACCGCCTCCTACAGGCCTTCCCAACATAGCCGCCAGCAGGGGCCTGTAAAAATGGAAGGCAGGCCAGGTCACCACCCTGCCCAGATCCCTCACACACTCCCATCCCCCTCTGAGTAAAGGCAAATCCTTCCCAAGGCCTAGGAAGCCCAAGATGACCCGCTCACAACCATCACTGCCACTCTGACCTCTTTGCCCACACTGGTCTCCCTGCTCCTCCTCAGACACACCAGACACTCAGACACTGGTCTGAGCCCTCCTCCAGGAACCCGCTGTGCTAACTCCCCAGCCTCCTTCCATGCTTTGCTCAAATCACACCTCGTCAGTGAGGTCACCCTGACCCCCATAACCCCATGCCTGCACTCCCAAACCCGCTTCACTGGGCTCTATTTTCTTTCTTTTTTTCCATAGCCTCATCGCCTTCTAATGCACCTTAATTTTCTTCTTATTATATCTATTGTCTGTCTCCCCCTACTGGGATATAAACTCCCAGGGGGACAAGGATCCTTGTCTCTTCACAGCAGAGCTGAGGGCCCCCCAGCCTACGGCATAATAGGTATGCAATGCACATTTCCTGAATAAGTGAAAGGTCAGAGAACATCCTCGAGTCACTGAACCAACATCAGCAACTTCTCTTCCTCTAGAAGAGAGAGAAATTATCTTGATGTGCTTAAGCCCCTGTCCTGGGGTCTCAATTCCTGCAAGCTGAGTGGAATTCCTGTCTGATACCTCTGTGAAGACCAAAGATATTATGTTTTATTCTCAGACAGCAGTAAGAACTGGGAACTCCCTGCAGACACCATGGTACTCAAAGCGCTACTAATGACCCAAATGATCACCTTCCCCAGAGTTGAAACTCCCCTGTGCTCCCAGGAGCAGAGGAGAGAGGTGGTGAGCAAGCTATCGTACTTTCATAATCACCTCTCTCAATGTCTAAAAGCTCCCTTTTGGGGATGGCAACTAACTTTGGAAAACCACTTTAAAGGAGGAGTTAAAAATACATACCTTCAGTGATGTTGGATGTATATGTTTTTAAATATATAGGACACAAGTATTCTGTGGTATTCCTGCAGAAAATATACATCCTGAATCTAATCATGATGAAACAGACAAACTGACCTGTACTCTTCAAAAATGTCAAGGACATGAAGGAGCAAGGCTGAGTGACTTTTCCAGACTAAAGAGATGTGACAGCCAAATGCAATAGTGCGGGATTTTCTTTTGCTACCAAGGACATGAAGATAACTGGTGATATTTGAGTGAGTTCTGCAGATAAGCTAACAGTAATGTATCACTTAATTTCCTTATTTCAATAATTGTGCTATGGTTACGTAAAAGAATGTCCTTGTTCTCAGGAAATATCCCTGATGTTAGGGATAAGGGGGCATCGCGTCTCCGACTTACTCTCAAACAGGTAAGAAGTACGAATAGATAGAAAATTACAAAGCAAATGACATTTAGGGAATCTGGGTGAAGAATTTACGGTATTTCTTTGTGCTATCCTAATGACTTTTTTGTAAGACTGCTATTATTTCAAAATAAAGATTTTTTTTTTTTTTTTTAGATGGAGTCTTGCTCGGTCTCCTAGGCTGGAGTGCAGTGGCACAATCTTGGCTCACTGCAACCTCCGCCTACCAGATTCAAACAATTCTCCTGTCTCAGCCTCCAGAGTAGCTGGGATTACAGGCACCCACCACCATGCCCAGCTAATTTTTGTAATTTTAGTAGAAACGGGGTTTCACCATGTTGGCCAGGCTGGTCTTGAACTCCCGACCTCAGATGGTCTGCCTGCCTCAGCATCCCAAAGTGCTGGGATTACAGGCGTGAGCCACCACACCTGGCCCAAAATAAAAATGTTTTATGCGAAAAACGTGTGTGTGTGTAACATACACAGAGAGCTGGAGTACATGCATGCACACACGCATACGCCCAAGAGAGAAAGAGAGCGCTATTTGTCAAAAGTTTGCTCAAGTCCAATACTTCCATAATTTTTTACGCCTACCCACTTAACTTCAGGCCAATCAAATATTTACTGAGAAAATGACTCTCTCATTAAAGAGTCTAAAAATATTCCCCTTCCAAAATGAGAAGAAAAGAGGCCATGATATTAATACTAATACGTTGACTAAAAATAATGATTTTCTCTAACAATATAGGCATGAATAAAATCTATACTTTTATAAAATAAGAAATAAATAATAATTTGCTGGTACAACCACAGAATATGTTAGTCCCCTTATCCCACGCAATGAGGCTTCAGGGGCCAGGCTTCCTTTCTTTACAAGGGGTCATCTAAAACAGACTTAAGCATACATGACAGAGGAATAAGTGTGACAGTCTGAGACATGACGGGCCCTCAGAAAACCTTAGCTGGCTCCGAATCTTTCCTCAAAACAGGAATTCTCTGCACCGACGCGTCACTGCCACCTTTACCCAGATCCAGCTGTAGCGATCTGCTTTTGCATCTGTGTCCTATCTTATTGTGACACACAGCACGAAGGGAAGCTGGCTCCCCCACTTCCCCTGCTTGTGATTCCCACCCAAACACGACTTTCATTATCAGTCTTGCCTTGAAAGCCACTCACTCCAGCCTCTGCAGCCAGCCCTGGATGCCCAGAAAGTTGGCCCATGGTCTTATGCCTTCACGAAAACATAGTGTGGCTGTGTCCACACGGCTCATCCGTCTTCATTCAGAGGCCCTCTTGGGCCTGTCACTTGGATGTGTCTCGGACACCAAAGCTCTGTGTTGGAGGATAGAGATGGCAAGGGCTTTTTCCACATCTGGAGTCTGTATGTCCGGGAGGTGGGGAGGTCTGGCGAGGCAGCTCTTTGGGGTAGACTGAGGGACCAGCTACTACTCAAAGAGTGATTCCAAGGCCTGTTGCTCCTTGAGCCATGTGGATCCCACTTATTGGAACAGAGAATTCTCCAAATGACCTTAGGAATGGATGCCGTGGGAATGGGTGGAGAAGACAAAGGAAAGAATAGTGACACAATTTGGGCCACCTTGATATGTTATTTCTGATTAAAGCAATGGATAAGAAAAGGGCAGGACCAGCCCTTAGGTCTCACATGATCAAGGCACAAAGCAAGAAAACCAGATTGTTCACAGCTAGTTCACTCTGTACTAATTAAGACTAAATTCAGTTGCAGGAGGTAGGAAAACTTCCAGAGCTTAAACAGTCCTGTGGGAGGTAATAACCCCCAGTCCCCTCCAAGCAAGCCCAACAGTCAGCAATTCATGCGTCTTCAGAGTACAGAGAGGCTGCTGTGCATCTTCAGAGTGCAGAGGGGCTGGCGAACAGAATCCCAAATGTGCACGGAATGAGGGTGAAAAATAAGATCTCAATAAATTTAAATGAAATCTTTTCCATTGTTTTAAATGGAAACAATTACACTATCCAATAAATCCAGTCAAAATACAGAGTACCTCTGAACCAATGTACAAACATAAAAGCTGTCGTCTGGTGGTTTAACTGACCCCACAAATTTACTTTCCTATTATTCATCAACTTAAAAAGCCACAGGAAACAAGAAAGAAAAAAGACTCTGATAATCAAACATCTGTGTATCAGGCATGACTTGAGTGATATGACCAACTTATTAACAAACATGCTAGAAGCCCAATACTCACCAGTATGCGATATACCCATGGAACAAACAAGCACCTGTACCTTGTGAATCTAAAATTAAAAACAACAATAACAACAAAAAAACCCTCAACATATTCAGTTGTGTGCTGGAGCTTGCTGCAGTGGGTTTCCAAAAGCCAACTGTTAAATTTTCAGAAAGTTTATGAGCCAGGGTTGTTAAACACAGCCATTATTAAAAGTTAAATTGAATAAACTTAAAAATAAGTAAATTATATTAAGATAAATGTAATAAATACTCAACACTCATAACTTCCTAATTATTTTACCATACTTTACTATCATCTATGCTCTTAAAGATATTTAGAGCTATTGGAAATACTAAACAACTGTGTGCTATTGTGCATCTCTTCCTAACTCCACATTCAGTGATGTCTCATTGGTAGCTTGAAATCAGACATGATAAGAATATTTACACCAGGGAAATTTGCAAAATGCTACAAAAGTCATGTCCCCTCTTTCCAAGAGCTAGTTGTTAAACATTAGCAGCACATCACTGCTCTAGAACATAAACCCCCAAAAGCTGTCACCTCTGGGGGCCATATGCTTAACACAGAGAAGGTCCCAGGACTCTATTATGAAGAGGCAGTGAAGTCTCTCACTAGTTCATAGCCTGAGTCAGGTTACTTAACCTCTCTTTCTTCATGTAAAGCCTGTAGAAGAGTATCTGGCATATAATAAGTACTAGTTACTAATAGTTCTAGCTTGTATTTATGAGGGGTGTTACAATGTAGTGGTTTAAACCCAAGTCTTAGGAGCCAGACTTGCGGGTTTAAATCCTACCTCTGCTACTTGTCAACTGTAAGGTTGTGAGCAAGTCCCTTCACTCTTCTATGCCTTGTCTTTGAAACAGTAAGATGAGGATAAAAACAGTAACTATCTCACATGTAGTGACTCACAGTAACCAGCACATACTAAATGCTCGATTAGTGTTAGCTGCTTTTATCGCTATTACCTGAATATTATGGGAATTCTTTTAAAATCATTTTCAAAAGGAGTTTAATTACTACATTCTTTAATACTAATTCCTGTATTATTATACCTCACTTTTCCCCAAACACACTATTATCTACTAGAGAGGATTGCAGAGAAATCTTGCTGCTTCCAAAATTTGAATTAACTCCTAGAGTAAAAATGGACCATGATAAAAGTGAATAAACAAACCATGGAAGAAATTTCAAAACAGGAATGACTAGAAGGTGATTACTTTGAAGGGAATCATGCTTATAATGAATATCTAAGTTCAAGGTTTGAGGCAGAAGGGATCTTTATAATCACATCTCAAATATAAAGACAAAACCAATAAAACAGAACACATTATCATGTGTGACTTCAAAGAATACCAGTGTTAAAAGGGCATCAACAGTATATATTAATAGATGAACCCAGTGTAAATGAATAACTGTAAATAGAAAGTCACCTCTTAAAATAAAAATTTTACCCATAGCAATTGCTACAAACTGCATCTCACATACTGTACAAATAAGCTTACGATAACCACTGAAGTGTCAATGCTGTGACCATACTTACATATTTAAATCAGCTCCATTTCAAAAAAGGACTTAAGGCGGGCAAAGCCTTTGGATTAGAATTTTTGTGCCTTCCTTTGCTAATCACAATGTCCTCTGTGGCAAGTGTCCAAATGCAGAAGATTAAGAGCCCTTCATTGCACCCAAGAAATAAATCAATGGCCAAACAGTGCTCATCGGAGATATCAGCTCCCATGCTGAACATTCACCACACCCTTTCCCTTCTTGATTCATCCCCAGTTTGTTCTCCAGCTATGCACAACATGGCCTCCCAGAGGAGATGGTCAAGGCAACCCACACTCAGTGAGCTGACTTCCAGCGTGGTCTCCAAAGCCCAGCTTCCCGGTTCCTTAGTGCCATCTGTGTGAGCAGAGCATATCGCATGAGCAGCGGCTTCACACCTGAGCTGGATGATGAAGGTAGTTTCCCACACATCAGTTCTATGCATCCCAACCTTCCCCTCTTTTCTTGCCCTAGTTTCCAGCACCCCTTACCAAACATTCAGGCCATCTATGCTACCTACAGACCAGGAGAGCCTGCCAAGGGCACAAAGCCAACTGCAGGAATCAAGAAAAATCTCCCATTTTCCTTGGGCACCCTATAGCTGAGAGGCTTGTCCTCTGTAGGACATATGTCCAAGGTCACCTTAGAGAGCACCAGGGCCCCTCCATGCTGCCCTCTCAGGGGTCCTCAGCCAGGATACTATGGATCTAGGGGAGAGAAGAGGAGCCTCTTCTGGAGAAGCAAACTAAGATAACTAGTCTACAAGCATCAGATCAGGTTAGTCTGGAACTGACATATAGAAGACCACCTGGACAGGTTAAATAAATCAAGGAATAGTGAAAAAGAACTACTGAAAAAGAACAGGAAAGCTCTATATGCACCAATATGGAACAATCTCCACGAAACTTTTTTTAACAAAATAAGTTTGATTGAGATATAATTTACATACATAACATTCACTAATTTTAGGTGTGCACTCTGTTAAGTTTTAATAAATGCAACCATACAACCGCTACAACCACGATCTTAGAATATGTTCATCGCCCCAGAAAGTTGTCTCATCCCTCTTTGAAGTCAATCATCATCAGCCCTTCCCCCAAACCCTGGCCGCTGAAAACCACCAATCTGCTTTCTCCTTAGTTGGCCTTTTCCAGAACGTCATATAAATGAATCATCCAGTAGGTAGCCTTTTGTGTCTGGCTTCATTTACTCAGTTTAATGCTTTCAAAAGTCATTCATGTTATTGTGTGTATCATAATAACATAATATTGTTATTGCTGAGTTGTATTTCATCTGGTACAGCTAGATTTTGTGCGATTTGCCAAAATCTGTTCCTCCATTCTGCTGTTGGATGTTTTAAAAGAAAAAGTAAGTTTACTACAGTGTGCACACAGTATACTACTATTTGCATAAAATAAAAGGAGGTACACACACAGATTTCTATATTTATTGACAAGCTTTTGAAAGACACGTTAAGAAAATGGAACTGTGGTTGCCTTTGGGAGAAAAATAGGATAGCTGAAAGACATCCTTTCTTTGACAACTTTTATAACCATTTAAAAATTTTAACTATACACACTACTGATTCAAAAAATAAACAAATTTTAAAAGTTTTCAGAAGACCTCATATCTAAGGTTGGCGTCCCCTTTTGCCAAACCCTGCAACTGTTTTTTTCTTAGCTATTTCTTTGATTTCTCAAGATGACCCGGAGATTTAGCATGTTATTTTCCAGATAAAGAAGAAACTTTTGCTGTTTTTCTTTCTCCTCTTTCTCAGAGTTCTTATTAACTCCAACTTAATCTCCCTTTCTTAACTATCTGTTTCTTAAACAAGAAAAAAAAAAAGTTTTGATCACCTCTGAAAACCAGCATCCAACACTCTAAACCCACAGCATGTAATGTGATTGAAGCCATGGTCCCAAGGCATTTTGTTGGATATGAAAATGGAAACAGGCCAAAACACCTGGGCAGATCCCAGGGTGTGATCTCTCAGGAGACCTGGTGGCCAGGGTGATGTCCCACCCTTCGCCAGGCCAGGATGAGCATCTGCCCACAAAAGCAAGGAAGGAGCTGCAGCCACTTAGGTTTCAAAGTTCCTTGAAAAATCCTTCAGGAACATAGAAGAACAATCTTATGAACATCTGCAGCTTCTCAGAAAAGCTGATGTGCATATTCCCTCGTCTAGTGTAGATTGTTTTGTTTTGTTTTTAACAATAATACCGTTATTGGCCTTCTTGACAGTGTCTGACACATGGTTCTGTTCAAAAAAAGTTCCCTAAATGCCTCTAGAGGGTGTCACTGATCCTCACAGTAGGGAATGACATCACTGCCCCTGCACTCTGCCTGGGCTTCTCTGCCATCCCTGCATCAGACTCAGAACTGTTGCCATCGTTTCCCTGGTCCTGAAGAGCCTGCTTATTTGCCTGTCATGCATAGGTATTTGATCTCACAAAAGGCCTGTGCTCTCAAGGTATTGTACAGGATTAGAGGATGAGCACAGCTGTCATCCAGGTAAGAACACATAAACCAGAAACAGATGGAGTAACAACAGGACACCTGCATTTATTCTTTGGCACACACCATGCATCCCAAATTCTCTTCTCCATCATCTCAAGCCATCACTTCCCAGCAGTCAGTCCAGACAGAGGCAAGCAGGCCCCACTCCATATCAGAAGCCTTTGTGACCCCACACTCCAGCTAACCCAATTAGTCACTCCAACAAGGTTCTGCCTGACAAGTATCCCCAAAGCAGGAGTCAGGCAGCATGGAACAAGCTCCAAGAAGTCAGGAAGATGACAGTGGCATCCCCAGGGCCTAGGACAGTAGCTGCCACTGAGGATGTCCAAAACCTGTGGACTGAGCCTTGAACAACAGCAAGCCTTCAGCAGGCAGGATGGGGCAAGGCACATCTGATCAAAGCAGAGCATGGCCAGGGCTTCCCAGACTGGGCCCACAAGGTGGATTTCCATGGCACATAGGCATGACTCTGTAAAACAACTCTCATATTTGAAAAGTTGTTCCCAGTCAATTCCCCTGCAGTCCTTCTGGTTGCATCAGGAAGAAAGTTCCAGCGCGGTGCTAGTATGTCTTTAAGCCTTCCCTAGAACTTGATCATTTCCCTTTCTAACACATGAATGGAGTGGGCGCTTTATCAGCAACTTTGACAAACAATGAAATCCAGCTAGAATTCTAGGACACTGTTGTGTCTTCAATATATTTATTTTTACAGTTACTTTCTGTTTTGGGGACATGTTAGATGGTTTTCTGCTTATAGAAAGGTACAAAGTTTCTGTTTTAAATTATTTTATTTGAGACCAAAAGTTGGCTGATTTAAAGAGAAAAATATGAAAGAAAATATCACAGGCAGTATGAGTTTAAGACCAAAAAAATGTAAAAATCATGCAGGTGGTAGATGGTTCTACATGAATATGACACAAACCGGGCCTCTGACTTCTGTGAGCATAAGAACCAAGGCAAAGAAGTGTAAGGAGCAGGTTCCAGGAGGAAAGGGGCAGGTCATGACAAGAGCTGGGGCCCAGGGGATGTGGTGGCAGAAGATGGGTCTAGAAAGGTAAGGTCAGGCAGGGCATGGAGAGCCCGATGCTGAGGGGAGGTGTTGGGCTTTCGCCTGTGACTGTGAGATCCACCAGAGGCCTCCAGCCTGACTGGCTAGTGGGAGGGGCCCCATCCCCAAAACTGGGCTGGTCTCGGGGAAGAGGGAAGATAAGCCGGGGTGTGTGAACTCTGAGGCAGAGAAGCCAAGGAAGTGGCTGGAGCTGCCTCAGCTCTGCTGACCACAGTGAGGCCGTGAGAAAGTACCTGCCCTCCCCTCAGGAGGATGTGCCTTATCACAAAATCCTATACCCTCCGGAGGTGCCCTCCAATACGGTGAATGGAACAAAGTCTGGTACAAGACAGTTAGCCTGGAAAACAGGTGTTAGCCTGTGCGGTCTTCCATGATAAAGTCACTTATCACCATATATGGCAAGAAAACTTCCAGGGAAAAGGAGAGGGAGAAAAAAAAAGATTGGAATAGGCTTAAAGAAAAAAAGAAAAAAATACCTAAAGATAGCCTAAACAAAGCAGGCCCAGCCCCTCATGCTGGCCCCACTGTCTGCTAGCCATATGGTGTGTGATAAGCCAGAATGCTTTTATTTATCTTCTTTGATTTGTCCATAAAGCCGAGAGCCAGCTCCACTGAGAAAGCTCCACTTGCAGTAGAGACTGCATCCTGCTCTTGACCCCTGACCAACACCCCCCAGGCCCCAGTTCCTGCTCCAGGAGGTGGCCCGGCTGCCACTCCCCTTCCCCTCATCCTTGCTTCCTGCCTCAGCTTCCATAGCTGTGTTCCCACAGCCAGTAAGCCGGGGCGGTGCCTGCTGCCTCCTCTGTGGACAGCTAGCTAGGCCATTAGCACTCATCCTACGGGTGCACTCTGCCATTTGCCCAGTCCTCTGCTACAGCCCAGACAGTAACTGCCAGAAATAAACATTCTCATGGTTATAAAGTATGGCTATAAAGTATCAGCCACCTTGAGTGTACCTTGGCAACAATGTTGCCTCTTGAACCATAAAGGTCTCAGAGACATGTGTCTATCTGGTGTATTTCTCCGCTCCCACCTCCTTGCATGAGAAAATGGCCAAGCAACCACTGTATCCAAATGACTCTAGGTCCCAATTCACTGAAGCAGGCCTGCTCTTTTGCTCTCCCTAGAATGACCAAAATAATCACGTCAAGGTCTGTGCTGGATCTGCACTCGAGAGCCCTGAGCTCAGCCTCCAAACTCTTCTAACCATCATCTCAATCTCTCTTCTTGGCAGCCAGGTTTTGCTTGAGTGAAGAAATGCCACTTGTTGGGTAGAGGAAGATCAGCAGAGTTGAATCTGCCAACAGGATGCCAAGTTAAATTTAAATTTCAGATAAACAGCAAAATGTTTTTAGTATAAGTATATCCCATGCAATATTTGGGACACACTCATACTAAAAAATTATTCATTGGTGATCTGAAATTCAGATTTAATTAGGAGTTCTATAGTTTTATTTGCTAAGTCTGGCAACCCTAGATATCAGAAAGTAGCAGGACCAACCCCTTGCGCAACCCTGATCCTTCCCAGTAACCCTCAGGGCCACCATAGAAACAGCCCTTCCTCTGGCCTGCACTTCACTATTGCCACTCTACGTGGCATCTCATAGCCAGTACCCTTGGTAACTAGGAACAAAGGATAACTTCTCAGCCAAAGCAAGAAGCTGCAAAGAAACCTAAAGGAAAGGTTTTGTGAACAGACCTAGCAAGAAGAGGCCCGAGAGAAGATGCCCTGTCCCCAGCAGGTATAAAAACACCAATCACAGGCATTCAAAGGCCTGACAGTGTTTGCATACGAGCCTGTACTGCGCAGCCTCACACCCCACCAAAGGCACCAACAAGCCAATGTAATCTAAGACTGACGGGGCGGGGCTGTATGGCTTAACAGGCACAGGAGCAGCTTTATAAATGGCCAGCATCCCAAGCCCTCAGGCAGCTGGTCTGGGCAGGCCCCTGCAGGAGTCCTGGCAGAAGACACAGCCCAGCCCCACTGAGAAGCATCTGAGGGGCATGGACTCATGGGCTCTGGGCCATGGGTGTGTGGGGCATCTCTCTATACACAGCCCTGAAGCATCTAGAAGCAGCTGTTATTCTTCTGCTCTGGCACTAACAGGAGGACACTTCATCTCTAATCTGCAGACTTTTCAAACTATCAGTCAGAAATCCAGTGGCTAATAAACAATATTGGGTTGAGCTATATGAAATTTCCATTTTTGTAAGTCAAAAAGAATATTGGCAATTATATACAGCCCAACCAAATAATAATAATTTGGTTGCTTTCTATTTATCAGACACCATTCAAGGTCCTTTAAGTAAATTCATTGTGTAATGTTTAATCCTGATGACCACCTTTCAAGGTAAGGACTACTGTGTCCATTTTAGAGATGCAGAGACTGAGACAGGGAGAGGTCACAATTATGTGTCCAGCTGGATACACACTGGATCTATGTGTCTCCAAAACCCATGCTCATTCCACCCACCATGTGGCCTGGATTAAGTGCATTCTTCCACCTCCTCCGCTCTCTGACCCTGCCCATGGGTCAGTGTCTGGCCATTCCTGCAGCATCAGGCACTGCCAGGTCTTCCACCCTGCCAGCGCCTGCTGCAAGGGCCACTCTGTAGCTAATCAAAGCCTGGCCTCCTGAATTAGCAGCAAAGTGTATTTAACAAACAATTTCAAGAGGAGAAAAACATTTGCAAGTTTATTTAGAGTGCGAGGGGAAAGGTTGCCAAAAAATGCATCCTAAAATAAATAGAAAGTAGTCAAGGGGGAAGAATCTAGTCCAACCAGTTTTAAAATGCCTTAACTGTGACCATGAGCTAATTTGTAGTAGACCACTGAGAAAGGCATCAGGTGCAGTGTGATCCAGCATCACTGCAGACCCAGAGGCACATGCTTCCAAGGCTCTCCTCTGAAAAGGCTACCAAGCCTCATAGAGGGGAGAGGATGAGAAACCTCTCAAAAGAACAAGTCAAAGCCAGGGACCATCACTGGTCTCCTAGACCACCACGACCCCCCTTAAAGGCTGAAATCAACACAGTAAGATAAATAAAAGGGCTGTCAGAGGCCAACTTTAAAAGAAAAGAAGAAATGGATATGCTCCTCCCTGTGAAATAAAATTTTGGAAGAGCACACATAATACATAATAAAAATAGTTTCCACCAGCTCCAAGTGAACATCTGCAGAGATCAAAGTTTGAGGATAAAAAGGAGGAGAGGACTGACCTTCACATGGGCCACATAGTGACGACACGTCTCCTCCATGTAAGTCAGCTGCAGCTTCTCTGTGACCTGACCCATGGTCTCTCCCAGCAGCACAAAGTAGACCCTGGGCATCTGGCCCTTCTCCTTTTTGGCCACGTCAGCCATCAGAACATAATTCAGGCCTGCCAATAAATGAGAGGTCAAAATGTCAGAAAGGACCGACACACTGTGATGAGGCCACCTCTTTTCCTTGTCACAGGATCACATGCACATCTCATATGATACCTACCCTTCCATGGCAGGAGACTGCAGCCCCAAGCAGAGACTTGCTCAGAAAGCAGCACACAGCCAGGGTGCTCAAAGAATCGAGAGAGAAGCATGATGTCCTCTGCCTTTCTAATGACTCTCCTTGTGTCATACTTCACGGCTCTCCCTGATTTAAACCTCATGCCATCATGAGGTATCAACTGAGCCAGCAATATGCCCATTAACAAGGTGTACCCAACACAGGTTAGTGTCCTGACAAGCAAAACATCATGACAAACCTACAGAACATTACCAGAAGCTGCTGAAATTATCAAGGCTTTGTGTAATACTGACTTCTATAAAGCACATGGTTTATGCCCAACACAAGGGAACCATCTCGTCTGATAATTTTAACTCATCTCAACAAAGTTGAGTCGTGCTCTATAATCAGTACATGGACCAGACCATGTGCCCGCCATCGTTTACTGAGCACTAACTATAGGCCAGGCACCGCTAAAGGTAGAGGGGATGTATCAATGAACAACGCAGGCATAAACTCCTGCCTTCAGGTAGTTTACATGCACAGGAACCCAGATGAAGGCTGGAGTTGCCTTTATTCCCAGGTAGCCGAGTGTGGTGATCAAACATTTTGTAGTGCCTATCCTTTCAACAAAACTATGACCACGGTAGGGCCTGTACTGAGGTCCTCTCCTGCAAAGAATAACTCACCCCCATACCTGAATGTGTATGCCAGATGGCAGAACTTTTGTAACACAGTCTTGAATTTAAAAAAAAGAAGAAAGAAAGAAGGAAAAAAAAGATGATCACAGTATCAAATGCAGGCTAGATAAACCTGGAAGGATCTACCTCTGTTATTTCAGAGTCAATAAGTAAATAGATAGGTATGTATTTCATTATAGAAATATGACTTCAGTGTCAATACACCTATTTTACTGCTTTTCTGTGCCAGAGGTCATCCCCTCCGTAACCCTTTTTATTTTTTAACTGTTTTGGGGATTCAAGGAAATATGTTATTTTTAAAGTGAGAGAACAGGAATCTCTGTCCCTGGAATGACAAGGCAAGATGGCTAAGCAACAGAAGGCAGATGACCCAGCCCTGCCCTGTCTCCACACACCTGCCTCTTAGAATCTGGGGGCTTTGCATCAGTAACAAGTAGCCCCGAGCCCACTGGCATTTAAGTAAGTGAAGTCAGGCATTAGGGAAGGCTCCGGCTTTTAATGACATCAATGGGATCAGCCACCAGGGGAGGTATGAACAGGCAGAGAGGAAGGTGACCTGAATGGGCATTCTGCACCTGCCACAGGGCGTATTTTTGATGCTTCTAATGGCCTCCCTGGGCCTCTGCCATCTCAGGGATCTTGCCATGCCGAGCTGGCAAATTCCTAGTCAGCAGAGCCATCTGCCCCAACTTGTTTAACGCCAGCAAACAGTTGACTTACAAGGCAAGGCTGTGTCACCAGAAGGGATCTGAGACCTGGAAACTCTCAGGAGGTGCCATTATTAAGAAGAAAATAATGCATACAGGAAAGTGCTCCCACACAGAAAACACTGGCACCTGTGCAAGTGTCACACACCAACTCCAATGGGGACAATAGCAAGAAAAGGGTAGATTCAGACTGGCAAAGCTTTGAGGCAATCCTGGAGACCACTAAGCTCAAAAACCTTCATTTTTTAAGATGAGGGAACTGAGGCCCCAAAAGGGAACAAGACTTGCTCCAGGCCAGAGGGCCACCCATCAAACAGCTGAATCTAGGACTCCCTTAATCTCTGGTGCCAGGCTATTCCCACCACACTTGTTCTTGCTGCATGTTGTACATTACTTGACCAAAACCTCCCATTTTTTTGAATGCATGGATAGCAGGTCCAAACAAGTGCAGAGATCTACAACTGAACTCTAGCCAATTTACTTTCTACTGATCACAACTTCCCTGAACAACTGCCCTGAAGTAAGAAAGATTACATTTAAATGAAGTGAATTTCCAAGTTCGCTTAAGCAAAGTCATGGCTACAGATACACATTGCTGGAAGACAAGCCAGAGGCCACAGTTGGGTGAACCAATGTGGTGGAGGCAGCTGCTGAGCAGACTCTCCTCGGGGTCCCCTGACCAGCCTCCTTCCCAGGTGAATGGCTGCCTTCCCTCAGGAAGGGAGACAATGGAGAGAACAGCGAGACTGGACTATCTTACCAGAGATGAACTAGCTGAGCTCAGAGAAAACCTGGGTGGAAAGGAACACAGGAAGATGGAACTGATGGTATTGCTCCCCCACCCATATCCTCTTGGCTTTTACCATTTCTCTGCTGTCCGGCCCAAATTGCAACTGCCAGTACCTGCATCTCTTCTCCTGAGGGCTTTCTCTAGTGGCTCTGTCCATGTGCCTGGCAAGCCAGGAGTGCCAGGGAACTCAAGTCCCCAGAGCAGCCCTCCATAATGCAGGGCCCCAGCTCCCTTGCCCCTTGATGTGGGGTAATTCTGGGGCACGGTCTACACTGACTGCCAGGGTTCCCCAGCAGGACTGAGCTCCAGCTGCCCACAGTGGTAACCTGCTCAATAAGACACCCTCTATTTGGCTGCTCTGATGGCTAATTTTATGTGTCAACTTGGCTGGGCCACAGTACCCAGAATCTGGTCAAGCACCAATCTAGATGTCACTGAGAAGGTATTTTTTTATATTAGATTAACATTTAAATCAGTAGACTTTGAATAAAGCAGATTACCCTCCAAAATGTGGGCAAGCCTCATCTGTTGAAGGTTTTAAGAGAAAAAGACTAAGGTTCCCAAAAAAATAAACTGCTTTTAGACTGCTTTCAGACTTGAGCTGCAACATCAACTCTTCCCTGAGTCTCCAGCCTACTGGCCTGCCCCCAAGAATTCAGACTTCCCAGACCTCATAATCTCACAACCCAATTCCTGAAAATCAACCAACTAATCCATTTCTTTCTCTCTCCATTCTGTTTCTCTGGAGAAGCCTGAGGCCTGCAACTGCCTTCCTTTCCTGTCTCACTGTCCCATTTCCTTACTGGTACCTCTTGGGATCATTTGTGTATCAACCACATGCACTCAGATCCTTGACCCAGGCTCTGTTTTGGGGAGAACCCATATTAACACAGGGTAAGTAAGGAAAAGCAAATAAATTCAACCTGCAACGTGTGCCAAGCACTGTGCTAGATAATTTACAAACACCAACTTTACTCCTCCAAAGTTTCATCTCACTGCAGAAGTACTGATCCGGAAGTACTGATCTCTTGCAACTCAAGGAAGAGAGAAACAACCCACAGTTCACAGAAACTGAGCTGAGGACAAGGCAACTGCTGCTCCTCTCCAGCGGGGTGTGTGCATGCCAGCACATTAAACTTTCAGATTTCTCTAAAATGTTAAAACATACAATCACAGACATACCGCATTATCCAATTCACCAAGTGCAATCATTCTGGAAGCATTTCATCTCTAGAACTGCCTAATTAGTACTTTTCCTTGATTTAAATTTTGACATTTTAAATTACCCCAAAGGAAATTACTTCTACATCAGACTGTCTCCTCTAGAAGAAAGCAAGAGTCACAACGAGAGACCCTGCCTGAGG
Source organism: Homo sapiens (assembly GCF_000001405.40). NCBI lineage: Eukaryota > Metazoa > Chordata > Mammalia > Primates > Hominidae > Homo > Homo sapiens. Next base: position 108,597 of record NW_025791771.1, on the reverse strand, counting down.
AGGCAAGAAGAAATGCTGACCACTCATTCCAAAGCCCTGAGCGGAACTGGCAGTTTTACCAGCACCCACTGGTAAAGGGTCTGGTGGAAAGGGAAGCAGAGGACATGTCTGGGAAGCAGCCGATCAGCTGCCCGGGCTCCGCGGTCAGGGCCCTGGGAAGGTGGGTGGATCAGGCTGTCCAAGTTGCCCACAGCCGGCCATGAGGTAAGCCAGCCTGGCCAGCCCCTGTCTGTCCCTGGGAGGCTGCTAGTTCTGATTAGGGCCTGCTCCAACAGCACATTTCACATCTTTAGGTTTTTCCTTCTGGCAGCTTGTGTCCCTGCCATGTCGAATGATGTCATGGTGATGGAAAAGCTGATCAGCCCCGAGTAATACTTTCAGCCACCTCCCTGCCCTGCCCCCGGCTGCTTCCCGAGGAGCCCCCCTGCACGGGCCTGGGCCAGGAGGGAGCCAGCTGTCTCTCATCAACTCTAGCTCTGGTCTCTCCCAGCAAGTTTTGATTAATTCCTGCTCTCCGTCAGAACAAGATTTCAGCTGTGAAATTCTAACAAATTCTCCTTCCCGAGTTTCAGGCTAACCATGGAAACACAGGAGCACTGGGTCAGAGTGCAAAATGCAATCACTCAGAGAGCGCCCCTTCCTGGTTTTCGTTTCACACTCTGGTGAAAGCCCAGAACTGCCAGCTTGATTCCCAGCCTCCAGAGATTGACAAGCAAGTTTAGGCTTCAGCCTGGCCAGTGAGTAGGTACAAGCACCGTCCACGGGTGAGGGGCAGGGTCCCCTTGGGCAAAGCATTCACCACCTTCACCTATGCTAGCCAGGAGGCTCCAAGGGGCCACAGGCTGTTCCCAGGCCAAGAATGAAGTGATGAATAATACTATTAGGGACAGGAAGAACTCCTATTTTAAAGTGCTTTATGAAATACGTTGTAAACCTGCTCCTGGAGGAGCCCACAGTCGGAGTGAGAAGTCTGTGTCTGTCTGTGTCCCAGTGCTAAGCACAGTGCATGCCACACAAGGGGCCCGGAGCTCATCTAGAAAAGCCAGCAAGAGAGCAGCTGGTTGTTTTTGTCCCGTCTGCCTGCCCCCCTCCCACTAGAATGCCAGCTCCATGAGGGCAAGGACTTTGCCTGTCCTGCTCACTGCTCCGTGCCCCAGGATAAGCAGGGTGTCTGGCACTCTGTAGGACCTTAATTATTATTGTTTGATTGAATGACCCAACAGGGATTCAGCAACTCAATGTAACTGGATGCTTGCTGTGCTGGTTTATGAAGCTGTTGTCCTCAGCTCCAACCCACCCTTCTCTACCCTGCACTGTGACACTGGAGCTGGGACCCTGCAAACCTCACTTGTTTTGCCAGAGGCTTGCTGTGAGGCTCTGCTAATATGGAGCATCGGAGGGAGCCTGCAAGGCTGGAGAGGGCAAAGGAACTCGCTCCTTCCTCCCTGCTTCCTATTCCTAGCAGCTTATCCCAGCAACAGTTTCTCACGGCAGCTGGCCCCAACAGCAGTTAATTGTAGTTTTCAATTTTCCCCCCATTCTCCCAGAGCCAGCCTCATTGCACTCCCTCAGAGAGATCAGCAGCACCAGCCCCCTCCTCAGAGGTTCAGGTCCTAGCTCCGCAGGGCCCCTTCTCCAAGCTCATAGGTTCTGATAACCCCAAGGAAGTGGTTAACCCGAAGTATAACCTTGAACAGTGGTTCTCAAATTGAACCCATCTGGAGGCTTGTAAAAACACAGATGTGGGTCCCACCTTCAGAGTTTCTAGTCAGAATTTGCATATCTAATGAGATCCCAGGTGATGCTAATGCAGCTGGTCTGGGACCACACTTTGAGATCCACTGGTGCAGACCTGGAGGCGGCAGCTGCTTCCTGCAGTTACTCCCAGGTCGTCCATGACCTGTTTAACCCATTCCCAGTGCTAAATTTCCTCTGTTAAAATAACTGGTATGGTTTTTGTTTTCCTGACTGGACTCTGCCTGTTTCAGAGGCCAAGGCAGATTCACCTCCTACAGAGAAAGTCTGTATTTCCTACAGTATTTACAGAGGCTACAGCAGCTTGTGTCCCGCTAATGAGCTGGTCCTGAACACTCCCATGACCAAGTAGGCACTGTGGTCTCCCATTTCTAAAGCAGGAAATAAAGAGGCAGTTGGTGTCCCTTCTCTGTACATAGGCTTGAACCCTGCCAGGTAGAGAAGAAGAAACCAAAGGCACAAGACTAACATCAGCTGCTTATGGCTCTCAAAACCATCCTCAGAGAGCAGGTCATGTAGCTGAAGACAGCAGCAGATAAATACCACAGAAGATACCACTTCTGACAGCAGTACCTAGCCCACCACAGGTATCTGTGTATTGCTCTGCCCAAATGCAGCCGTCCTGCTAACAAACTCAGCCCAAGATATGCAGACATTGAGAGGTGCCTGGAAGGCCTGCCCAGGGCTGGCACTCATTCACCAGGCATTCCATGGACAAAGTCATCATCCACATGGTTCCTCTGCAGCTGCCAGCACAAAGAGTAGGAAGGCTGGTAACCCAGTGTCTCAGCTGTGGGTTCCTGAGGCAGAGGCCTGGAGATGACAGAGTTGGCCAGCACCCTCTGCTGAGCTTGGATGGAAGTGGAGGGTATCTGTGTCCTGGAAGTGCCCATCTTTCCTCCATCTGAAGACTGACCTTCCAAACTGTGCAGAGCCAAGAGGCTGCCTTCCTTGCTGAATTCTAGGACACCTCACCCAGAGCTGGGCCCCCACAGTTACCTGACCTTTCACCTCCACCTCATTTCCTATCACATTTCCATAAGGCCTGCCCATTTTTCCCTCCCCAAACTCTCCATTTCACTGCCAGCACATTTTCTGGCAGATTTCTACATTTCTCTTTCTACTGCAAAGATTGAGATATGAATGCCAGAGAAAGTGACAGAAACATGCTGGGGATGAATAATTTTCTGCATTGCCTTATTATATTGAGATATCAAAATTCTCCAGTTACCATCCCCTTTAAGCCTGATTATCGGGGAAACACACCCTTAGAGTGTAAAGGGATGTTTGACTTTATCTATGAACCCATGTGGCAGATGGAGGATAGGGAAGAGAAATTAATGGGAGGGTACACTGGTGCTGAATGGGCCCCACCTAATGTCAGATATAAGCCAGGTTGCTTCGCATTGCCCACAAGGTACAGTACAAGATGCCATCCAACTGCCAGCCTCTTCCACTTTACCCCAACACTTCTGGGGCTATGGCTAAGCCTAGACCTTCATTCTAATTATGCTTAGCAGTCTGTGAAAGGCTCATGCTAGATGGGGCCCCAGAAAGAGCCACTGGTCGGGAACAGCATGAGGAGGCACCCACATCTCCTCTGCGCTCAGCTCATGAACCTTCAAATCAGAGTTTGCTCTACCACTTGTCTCATGCTCTGAATCACTCTTGCTCTAACTTGCATCTTGGTTTCTTCTTCTCTGCTTCAGCTATGCCAATTTACCTTCACTTTCACAACAGCGATAAGTGAACGTTGTCTAACACTGCTTCAAGGCCAAAATAGTAGAAACTCTTTGTAACTCCCTTTAGAAGCTCCATGAGGGCAGGACTATATCTCCAGTGCCTGGCACATGTGGATACATAATAAGCATGTGTCAAATGAACATACACAGAAACTATTACTCGTTTGCCCTTTTTGAGAGTTCTAGAATAGTTCTCATTCTTATGTGTATCAAAATTAATCTTCATTCTTTAAAAATGTTTTTTAACAGAGTCCAACTACGTGATGAGCTGGCACTGGACAGAAGACAGACTGCTTAATTATGTGGAGGACACACGAGTCCCAGAACTATCAGAAAGCTTTTTTCCTTAAGACTGTAGTATCTTAAACAATTATGGAGGTGGTGAGAAATAGTTGTTAGAAAGCAAAACTAAGTATCATAAGATCCAAATTCAACTCCTGGCTTCAACAATATCTGTGTGATCTTGAGTGAGCTGCTCTTTCTCATTGAGCTGCACAAGAAAATGTTGTTAATCCTCCCTCACTAACCAGTTCCCAAGTTTTATGGTATGGTTTCATTCAATGTTGAAATTTCTAAGCTCTTTTTAAAAAATGATAAAATAAATATGTTTAATAGTTGAGCTTATTCAATATACCTGAAGATCAAGAGAAATTGCCAATGAGACAGCCAAGAAGGATGAACATATTAAATAAGGTAGAACATTTGAGGTGTGGCTGAGGAATGAACTAGCTCACGTAAATATTTCTGCATGAGTGGGCGTGTGTGCACACATGTGTGCTCCACAGCAGTGCTTCTCAAACTTAAATGTGCACAGGAATCTTGTGGGGCTCTTGTGAAAATGAAGATTCTGATTCAGAAGTCCAAAGCGGAGCCCAAAGTCCTGCATTTCTAACAAGTTCCCAGTGATGCTGACAATGCTAGGCCAGGGGCTACACTGTGAGTAGCAAAAGGAGTCACTCATGACATTAAAAATATCTAAGAACGTCAGTAGGTTCAGGTCCCTGTTAGTGTTTTTGTTTGCCTGGAGTTTTTCTTTCTATTATTAAATCAGCCTTTTAAATAAAAATGAAGCACCTAGTAATATGCATAAAGCTCCAGATTCATTTCCTTCAGGTGATCACGTGCTCTGAATTCCAATCAACACTGGTTCTATCTTGTTCTGGGGTTTAATCCAGTCTCTAGAGCTGGGCTAGCAAGTTGATTTTCCCCAGCCAGAAAAATGGCAGGGACAGTTACCAGCTGTCAGGACAATGCCTGCCTCTTTTCAATTCTGAGCTGCCAAAGCAGCACCCCTCTTTTAGAAACCTAAGCCTCTGTAACACCAGCATCCGAATCCCACCATCCATCTTTGGTCTCCAATTCCATAGTAAATGGTATAAGTCCCCTGACATCTGGCTGATGCTACAAGCTCAATAAGGAGCCTCCAAAGTCCTGTCACTTCTGCTTTCTAACTGCTCGAATGTTCCCTAAGGGCCAGGCTCCGGGCACTATATCTCCACCAGTCCCATAGGACCTGTGGTCCAATGAGGCTTCAGTCTAGCCCTCATATTTGCAAAAAGAATGCTTGGGGTCCAACATTATTTGTCCTAGAGCTGGAGGTTGTGTGACATTAGAAACATGTTGATAAGCAGGAAATAGAAGGGGAGGAACCTCAGAGGGAAAGGATGTCCAGCCTGTGTGCCTGCTGCCTGCAAAACCAGCTGGGAGGAACAGCGACAGGGAACATCGGAAATATCCCACTAGCCCACTCCAGCTAAACGGGTATCCTGAGCCCTGACTTGGTGGCTCATTACCAATCTCTCCTGGAACGTGTTTGCCATGGAAGCTGAAGCAGGTGGTGACGTTCAGGCAGTTCACAGGCTGCTGTCCGTCGTGACACTGAGGCGCTGTGATGTTGATGGAGCCCGGGAGGAAGATGGAGACATCCACCGTAATGACAGGCCTTGCTCTGCAGGGCAAGAGAGGAAGGTGACTTAGTCGTGGTAAGGAGCAGCTCTCAGAACCAAACAAGAACTAGACCAACAGGATAAATCCTAGGCCTTCAACCCAGCATTTAATTAAAGCATGAAATATCCCAAGAGAGAAGGGCTAGTATGTTCTGTGAGCATTTTTTTCTGGTTTTAGAAGGGGCATATTGCCTAGTAAATTAATAGTTAGCGTCCCAATAATAAAAGCAAGTTTGTTGTTAATAAAACGCATCTGGTTGAAGCCATAAATGAACCACCAGATGCTGGGTAATTATTTAAAATTTTACCAATTAAGTACCAATTTCCATTTTATTAGGGAGATAAGAATACATTTAAGAGGATTTCCTATAGCAGATGCCATGATTCAAGAAATAGATGCATACTCAGGGATTCCCTCAAGCATTTGCTGCCATTATGAGCATGAACTGCAATGTTGTAGCCCCATGCAGTTGGTCAAACCTCCTGCATCATTTACCTCCACCAATTCATTGGGTAATTTCCTAAAAGAACTTGATAAGTGGAGTCCCAGCTGGTAATAGCAAAGTGCTTCAGGGCAGAAGAAATCAACCTGCCCAGTCTTATGACCAAATGAAACTCAATAAATAGCCATACTCTCCTCCCTGCCATGGACCATCTCCCAGTGCTTGATGAATGGACAGCACCTGTGGGCTCCCCAAGGACATCCCACAAAAACAAAGAGTAAATCACACCATTCTGCTCCCACTGCAGACATCTGCTCAGGCAGCATTCACCTAAGCTACCGCTCAACCTTCTCCCCTCCAGGCCTCACAAAGAGACCCTTTTACCTCTAAGGAGCCCTGGCCTTCACACCACTGGGGTGACATAACAAGATTAAGGGGCATTAGTAGCTTGAGAACAATGATGCCCCTGTGTACAATGATCCCTCAAAGAGAGCCCAGGGTGATAGGGCGGATGGGAATGATGACCCACACCAACTCCAATGGAAGAAAGCGTTAAGGAAAATCTGGGTGAACAAAGGAAGTGAAGAGACACGAGGCACAGATAGGGTGAGGGGACTCCACTGCTGCCACCATGCTGGGAGATGGGGTCAACAGAGAGTAGTGATAACAGAGGCAGTGGAACTGCGGGACTTCCAGAGCAAATCTGGCCACAGGACAAACGGAAGTCAGACAATAGCAGTGCCTGAAAGAAGGCCAACACCTTAGTCTTTCCATTTTCTTCTGGGTTCATCCTTATAGGATACTAGAAATAAATCGGAAAGTGGATCTCTTACCCCTGGCCAGTGTGATTGTGCAGATGCCAATGGACACCCTATAAAACCCCGTCGACCTTTCAACAGCCAGCTCAAATGTTCCCACCCTGAGGAAGCCTTCTCTAGTACCCCTGACAGGCATCCTCCCTCTCTGTGCTTCCAGCTCTGTACACACACCTCTGGCCCCCACTTACTAAGGTGAACAGTCATTGTCTATTTCCAAACCTGCCCCACCATCCTGCAGCACCCTGCAAGGGCTGGGATCCGGTGAATTCATCCTCTCGTTCCCATAATAAATGTGCAAACACCCTTGTTAAATAAGTACAAATTTTACTCCAGCCTAGGAGACTGAAAACCACGAGTGTCCAAAGCCTCACAGATGGACAGAAGTACCATGAAGAGCTGGTCTCCACCTTGCCTGGTCCCTGACGCGCCTGGTCATGGTACAGAAGAAAAGCCTAGCCCGCCCCATCATCCCCAGGGGCCACCTCGTCAGGGAGGAGGCCGAATCCTCCTCTCACAAAAGAGCTCTGCAGAAGACAGTGCGGCAGGCAGGAAACAGACGTGGGCAGCCCAGACACAGTGACCTCAGTGGAAGTTGGAAAAACAGTATCCTTTGAAATGGACCACAGGGACCTTCACAGGTACATCTCCTTCCCACAGCTGTCGGATCAGTTCCCTTCAACCTTTTTGTTTCAACTCCAAGTATTGTTTTTGGATGAAGAAAAGCCCAGAAATCTTTCAGAGGCCTCTCTGATCGCTTCCTGTGACCTTCAATGGGAGAGCACCGTGTGCCTATCACCCTGACACAGGACCTGCCCCGGAGCTAATCTGAGGGAAGCAAACTTCCTGAGGGCAGAGCGGGCCAGCCACACTCCTGGGGGCAGGGGAGACTGTGTCTCACAGTCCTGCCTACAAATGTGCCAGCCTCTGAGATAAAAGCAAAGGAGCACCCAAGGACAGCACCACAAGCGCTTTCAGTGCTTTTTTTTTCTTAAGAAGCTGGTAGCGGCCGGGCGCGGTGGCTCACGCCTGTAATCCCAGCACTTTGGGAGGCTGAGGCGGGTGGATCACAAGGTCAGGAGATCGAGACCATACTGGCTAACACGGTGAAACCCTGTCTCTACTAAAAATACAAAAAATTAGCTGGGTGTGGTGGCGGGCACCTGTAGTCCCAGCTACTTGGGAGGCTGAGGCAGAAGAATGACGTGAACCCGGGAGGCAGAGCTTGCAGTGAGCCAAGATCGCGCCACTGCACTCCAGCCTTGGTGACAGCGGGAGACTCCGTCTCAAAAAAAAAAAAAAAAAAAAAAAAAAAAAAAAAAAAAAAAAAAAAAAAAAAACCTGGTAGCTGGAACACTTCTCCCTGAGGGCTGACAGTTCAAATCCTGTCACTTCACTTCAAGGTAAATAATACAACCAGTTGGGATGCCCTTTGACATGTTGCTCAAGGTGCCTTGGCCTTCTGCAAGGCAAGGACAGATAAAGAGCCTTCACCCCTGGTGCCACTGGTGCCATTGTTAGGTTACTAAGCCAGCCCTGGGGCCACCTATCTCCAGGGAGCTAATTTGAGGTCATATAGTTGAAAGCCTCAGCCAGGTTTTCTCTTAGCTGCAGCCCATAGCATTCCTAACCCACATACCTCTGGCCTCCTGCCCTTAGGAGGGTTAGGAACGATGGGCAATATATATCTATGTGTGCTTGCACATGCGTGGTCTCCTAGCCCTCCCTGCTTTTCTAGTCCCACCCAAAACCTAAAGTAACTCAAAATCTAACATCAGTTAGGCCAGGCTGAGCCAAGCCCCTACTTAACATAGCCAGCTGATGCCTCCAGGCCTTCACTGCTGCTCAGCTGAATCCTGGGACTTTATCAACGGCTGCCCCTGCAGACATCCAGCCTGCTGGCCCCTCAGACATGCTCAGCAACCCCTTTGCCTGCCCCACCTTGCTTCCTCTCTTAGGGGCTCCAGCCTGTCTTTGAAGCCTTCCCTGCTCTCCCTGATTCCCTTGTCCTCCTGGAATAGACCAGGGTGGTCACCCTCTGCTTCATCCTCATCCACATCCCAAACTGAACCTCGCCCTGACCTTATTCCTATCTTGGGGCCTGGCTCAGAAGATGAGAGCCCCTCGCCCCCAGCCCATGTACCGGAACTGAACCTTGCTCTGACCTTATTCCTATCTTGGGGCCTGGCTCAGAAGATGAGGGCCCCTCGCCCCCAGCCCATGTACCAGATTCCATCACTCTCACCAACCTCATCCCCCCATCCCTCATCTCTGGAGCAGCCTCCCATCCTCCCTCTTGTCTCTTCAACCTCTCCAGGACCCTTGGGTGTAGGCACAGGGTTAGGGCATCAGGGTTCACATAGATGAGGGTGAAGCTGAGGGTGACCACCTCTGATCTCTTCCAAGAGGGTAAGGGACTTGGGAGACCAGAAAATGGCTCAAAGACGTTCTTGGCCTAATCACTGATCTAGAGCTTCCCGTCCTTAAAACACCTCCCTGAACTACCTGCTGGTCCCATTTGCTCCTTTGCAGCCAAGCTTCTGGAGAAGCAGTCAAGAGTCACTGTCCTTCTTGTTTCTTCTCTCACCCACCCACTGCCATCTGGCTTTTGCCCCATCACTTCTCTAGAGCCACCACAGCCAAGGGCACCCCTGACCTCCCCCTGCCACCTCCAACAAGTCTCAGGCCTCACTCTGCTTGGCCCTTCCTGCTGACTTTGACACCACTGCCTGACCAAGTAACCCTGCCTTAGAATCCTCACAGCACCTACCACCATCTGGAATCACCTTCCCTTTTATATTAATAAGATCTGCATGTCCTTGGTCTCCTCACCCATAAAATGGGGATAACAGCCCCACTTATGTCATGGATTGTTAAGAAGACTAAGAGTTGTCATGTGTTCTGTCAACAAGAGGATGGATGAACAAACTCAAGGATATTCAGTCAATGGAGTGCTACTCAGTAAGGGGAAAAACAAGCAACACACCAACATGAACGAATCTCAAATGCATCACACTGATTAAAAGAGGCCAGAAACAAGAGTCCATACTGTATATTCCCACCAATGTGAAATTCTAGAATGGGCAAGATGGATCTATGGTGATAGAAGTCAGAACAGTGGTTGTCTATCAGGAGAGGGGTATGACCAGCCAGAGGCACAAGGAAACTCTCTGGGGTGACAGAAGTATTCTTTATTGTGGTGGGGTGGTAGTCACACAGCGTATGCAGTGGTCAAAACTCATGGAGTCATACTCTCAAATTGGTGCATTTTATTGCATGCAAATTCTACCTTAATACAGAAAGAAAACAATAACAAAGAATGAACACAAATGAAGTGCTCACACTGTGCCAGGCATGCGGTAGGAGCTTACCAAACATTGGTTGCATTATTATTCACTTGCATATGGCTCTCTGGCTATAATCTAAGGTCACAGGCTAGGTCAGGTTTCCCATCAAATCCCCAGGATCTGATGCATGGCTGCATCTCAACAGGTCAATGCACCTTAGCTGAATGAATAAGATAATGGATTATTGTGACCACAACATCCTTGCATGCTACTCTACAGCTGTCATGGCCCGACCACTCTTCTTGGGCCTTCCATGCTCTTATTCAGGGCAGGGCTCCCCAGGCTCCTCTCCTAGGTCTCTTCTCTTGATATGTGCTCTCCCTGGAGTTCTTCTTGAAGAACTTTACATTTGTCCCTGTTGAGCTCCAACTCACCAGATTCAACCCTCCATCCTAGGCTGGAGTCTGGGGTCTCCCACCCATTGTGTAACTGCCTCGCTTTACTTTACATCCATATGTGAGCAAACTCCTGGAGAAGGCTGTCCCTCACCATGAAGAAGAGAAAAAGAAAATACCCTTTGGATTAAGCTCACAGCAGGAAGATTAAAAAATACAAGAATGATGAGAAAGCAGAGTCTATATGATGGACCTTCAGCCAGATGGCCCCGGTTTTAAGAGGGCCTGTTGGGTCAGGCGCAATGGCTCACGCCTGTAATCCCAGCACTTTGGGAGGCTGAGGTGGGCAGATCACGAGGTCAGGAGTTCGAGACCAGCCTGATCAACATGGTGAAACCTGTCTCTACTAAAAATATTAAAAAATTAGCCAGGTGTGGTGGTGTGCACCTGTGATCCCAGCTGCTCAGGAGGCTGAGGCAGGAGAATCACTTGAACCCAGGAGGCGGAGGTTGTGGTGAGCTGAGATCACACCATTGCACTCCAGCCCGGGTGACAGAGCAAGACTCCATCTCAAAAAAAGAAAAGAAGAAAAAAAAAAAGCCTGTTTTCAACTGTAAAAGTTGAGGAGTGTGTTTTATTTGAGAAGAATCCTGACAAACCAAAGTAAGATGCTCAGGATAATGAAGAGAGCAAAGATGACATCATGAAAGCACCAACTAGAGCAACCAGATTCACAAATCTAACCTCAATCATTTGGAGCCACAAAAGCTGTTTTATCCAGAGGAAGCGCTGATAAAGAAAGTGAAAATCCAGTCACATGGGAAATAATTACAGGAACCAGGGAGGCCTTATCTTAGTGAAGTCACCACTTGGGGGACACAATTGCCCCCTTCAGATACTAAAGGGTTGCTATATAAAAGACACAAGACTGAGAAGCAGAATTTTAGGGAGGCAAATTTAACCCAATTTACATCAAACTTGCTAAGATTTATTAAGCAGTTAAACCAGGCACTGTTCTGAACATTTTACATGTACTGCAGATAGTCCCCGACTTATAATGGTTTAACTTATGATTTTTCAACTTCACAACGGTGCAAAAGCCATAGGAATGCAGCACACTCCTTGACTTACCATGAGGCTACATCTGGATAAACCCATCCTAAGTTGAAACTACCATGTTTTGACTTAGAATGGATTTATCTGGAAATAACCCCATCCTAAGTCAAGGAGCATCTGTATTGCTGTCCTGGCCAACAGAGGAGAATCCTGAAACAGAAAGGTCAGGGGACTTGCCCAGGAAACTCACCTAGTAAGGGCAGAGTCAGGGCTGGAACCCGGCCACCTGGCCCCTGAGTTCACATTCAACCTCAAGGCTCTTCTGCCTCTTTAATAATTCAAGATTTAATGTTACCCGGGGCAAGCTGGTTCCCTTAGAAGTAACTGGGCTCCCACTCATGGGGCATCTCACTCAAACAGGAGGCTGTGTAGCCCTGCAGTGGAGACCAGCAGAAGGTACCGCTGAATAAGAAGGATCTGGGGTGTGGAACTACATGGCCTCTGGGATCCCTTCCAGCTCTGAGATCCTATTAGTCTATTTTAGAAAGTTCTGCCATCAGGTTATTAACAAAACCTAAGAATTGGCTCCCACTCCAAAGTGTAATTCTGCCTCCTCTGACTCATACAGCTAGAAATACTTGGAGAGGGTTCACGGGTGGTGGCGGCGGCCCACTGGCCTTTGCAGGAGAGATGCAGACTGCACGGGCCTCAGCAAGCTCTGGGCCTCAGCTCATGTCCCTCACCTCTGCAGCCAACAGGGAATGACGTGCTGTCTAACGGGCAGGAGGCTCCCGGTCCCCAGGGTGTTGTGGACTGACTGGAGGTACAAATGCAGGGTGTACAGATGAAGAGACAGAATGAACAGTGCTTCCCAGCACCCGCAGGAAATTATAAAATATTTTTATGGCACATTATGGAAGGTTCTTGGCCAAAAGCAAATAGCTTAAGAGTTAGGCTTAAGAGTTAGGCTACCCCAACCCCTACCTTAGGCTTAAGAGTTAGGCTACCCCAACCCCTACCTAGAAGCTCCCAGGATGTTATCATCTCATACCTGCAAGCCATTCAAGGCCACAGCTAGAAACTCTGGGATAGAGAATAATTAGAATGAGAAAATAAGGTAGCATTTCCACTTACTAAGCACCTCCAGCCTACAAGGAACAGGACAGAGGAAAGAGCCCATGAATGGTGAATGGCTCCATCCCTCACCCTGAACAGCACAATTCAAGGAGCAAGAGTGGGGCCTCTCACCTGAGAAGAACCACGCTGTCGGACATGAAGGCTCCAACAGTGACATCTGAAAATGAGAAGTTTACAGCGTTCAGAAACTTGCTGAAGCCCATACACAACCGCGCCCTGGGAATGCGCTCACAAGGATGGAGACCCAGCCTTGAGGCCGGAGAGCCCTCAGACGACCACTGTCTGGGCTATACAATGATCTTGTAAGAATGGAAGCCACACTCTCTGACGTGGCAGCCAATCCCTACGCAGGCTACTGGGGCCTTGAAATGTGGCTAGTCTCAGTCGAGAGGTGCTGTGAGTGTAAACTACACACCACATTTCAAAGACCTAGTACAGAAAACCATTAACTACCTCACTAATAACTTTCATATTGATTATATGTTGAAATGATAATATGTTGGCTATATTGGGCTAAAAAAATTAATAAAATTAACTTCACCTTTTTTATCATTTTATGTAATTACAGGAATATTTTAGATTACACATATGGCTTATACTTCTTTTCACATCAGTGAATTAGAGAAAGACATACCTAGAATTCAGTGACTCTTGGAAAATGCTCTAGGTTCTGAAGAACATGGAATTGTCACCCTCCACCCCTCACTCTATGTGACCTGAGTATCTCATGGTATCCCTGTCTGTAAAATGAAGATAATTATCCCCAGGGCCTTCTTCAAAAGCTGATAATATTTCATTACATTTAAATCAGAAAATATTTATTAGTCATTATATAATATTCATTAAGTACCCACTAGATTTATAGTAAATATTTATTAAATATATGAAATCAGATATTTAAGTCAGTAAATTCATGGAAATACTTGGTAAGCTATAAACCAAGACCCTGGTTTAACTGGTAATGTTTATTCCTAAATAACTTTAATTTAGGAAGTACTTACTCTTCCAGTGGTTCTATGCCTTTCTCCCTACCACCCCAACCCGGCCATATAAATCCCTGGCCCTGGGGTTCCCACTACTACTTCACAGAACCAAGTATCTGAGTCCAAGAGGGTCTGAATCTGTACATCACTAAATGCACTGAGCATCTATATGATGCCCTCATTAGGGAAAAACAAATGGCAAATCCATGAATTATAGTGTTCCTAAAATTTCTCCACTTGGGTGTTGTATCAATTTTGTTCTTCAATAGTCTTTAAATTTGCTATATGTTTAAAAATAAAAGAACCTGATGAATTTGTCAATTTCCCTTATGAAAAACACAAGATCAGAAATTCAGATCCATTGTGAACTGTGAACACCTTGCTCACCTCACATTTACAGAAAAGTAGCTGAACCACTGGGAAGCATGGATCCCCGTGCACTGCAGGCTCTGGGCAGCCCCTCACAATGAGTCTCAGCATCCTTGTTTATAAAGTGGGGAAAACACCCTATCCTACTTACCTGCTGGGGTCACTGCGAGATGCACATTGCATGTGGAAGCATTTTGTACATATTAAATGCTAAACCCATATAAGGTATTATTTGGGGATGGCCACAAATTTTCCAGAACAAGAACTGCTTTCTCAAACTTAAAAAGGCCCACAAGGGTCTTTCTTGGGACAAAAGCTTCAACACTGACTTCTTTCTATTCCCTTACTTCCTCCTGGCTCTGTTGTCTTGAGGAATTTCCAAAACTCCTATCTGTACAAAAATACACAATGTGGTGTCCTCATACAAGACTGCGTTAGTTTTCTTAAATTTTAGTGGAAAGAAATATTTCTCAAAAGCAAGATGACTATAAAATTTAGAGAAATGTTTCCTGAATTCCATGACCATTCTGGATTTTTTCAAATTCTTACTGTTGTTTCCTTACCTTACCCCACTCCATCTTGAAACACCTGAAGAACCACTACTCCACCACCCAGGCAATTTGACCTAGGCCAGATATCACTTGGGGTTGGGTTTGAAATCATGTATCTTTATCCAGTTAGCCACAACCACCACAGGCAATAATTAACTCTAAAGCCAAGCCAGCCAGCATTGAATGGTGAAGGTCTGCTTTGTCCACACGCAAGAGGACTTGGTTTTCTTTTAACTCCAAATCTTTCTCCATCATTTTATTTCAAGAGTAGGGGCAGGGGGCGGTGGGGGTGCTGCTCTTTTTCCCTCTCAAGAGTAAGAAGCCTTTGAATGTGGTTAAATACAAAGGAAAACATGAGGTTTCACTATTCAACCATTTTAGATGTGGCCAGTGCTTTTTTTCTTCATTAGAATTACCGCCCCAGAAACCACTACACAAATCCACCCTCCTGGTGCTAAGCCATTCAGAGTAGATCAGTTTAAAACCCCAAAATAAATATCAACATTATTTTCACCTTAAAATTGAACACCAGGCAAAACACCCTATTCTATTGTGTGAATTGTCCTAATCCTAAATGGATGTGATGATTGCTAACCAGACTGAAAATTATTCTACTTCATGCATTTATCTTCATTTATCTCATGTGCCTTTAAAGAAAAACAGCTTACCAGGATAGCCATTTCCATCCATATCAATGCCTCCCGATATGGACTGACCAAACATCCGGAGCACTGGATTTATCTTCTGCCCAGACAGTTTCTGAAACAGATAATAGGGAAATGGAGTCACAGGAAAAGACCACAGTCACAAATAAGAACTGTGACTGCTTTATTCCAGCTTCCCTAGGACACTTGGTCTTAAAGTTGTTGAAAGAAAAAAAAAAAGTAATCCTAATGTGATCAGCAAGTCTTTAGCAGGCAGTTGAAGGCCACACACTCCTTTATTATTACTTGTCTTGGCCAAACGTCATCATTTAAAATTTTTTCTAAGTTCTGTGTTAATGAAAAAAATCCACCTAGACTACCATGATAATGTTTTGACATGTTGAAATTCAAAATGGATAAAGTTTAACTTCCATTCCTAATGCAGGTTCTGTTTGTTTTTACACAGGTGTAGCTGGCTGAAATTCTAAGAACATATTTAGCTTGTATCTTTCTTCCCAAATATGTACTAAATATTTAACACTCTGCTCCTAAGAGGCACACATTACAGAGTCTTTCCCTAGACAGACAGGTAATTAACATGTCCAGCTGGAAAAGATGGCCATGTGGAAACTACCTCTCCATCCAGCCAACCAGATGATCTATAGATTCTGGAGCTTCACAGACAGGAGTGAACAGTTTTACCCAGTAAATCTAGAACTCCATGGTCCTGAACACTTCTTAAACTGTAGGAAATCAAAAGCACTCAGCTGAAGAAGATGCCCTGCCCTCCCCTCTAGAAAACAGCCCCCTCAACCAACCAGAGTTCACAACTTCACCATGGGACACACTAGCATCTATGCTTACTTTATATGTTTTTTAAAAACAAAAAACTTTCTCTTTTTTTTTTTTTTAAGAGATAGAGTCTTGCTCTGTTGCCCAGGCTAGAATGCAATGGCACAATCATAGCACACTGCAGCCTCAAACTCCTGGGCTTAAGTGATCCTCCCGCCTTAGCCTCCCAAGTAGCTGGGACTATAGGCATGCTCCAATATACCCAGCTGTTTTACTTTTTTTGTCAGACGGGGTCTCGCCATGTTGCCCAAGGTGGTTTCAAACTCCAAGCCTCAAACGATGTTCCTGCCTCAGCCTCCCAAGGAACTGGGATTACAGCCACCACTCCTGGCTGTGCTCACTTCTTATTCATCATTAAGTTCATCACATATCCACACAGGCAGCACTGATTCAACAATATTTATTGTACAAACAGCCTTTGTCACACTGAAGCTGCGCATCAACATTCGTGTGGCGCAGTTCCTCACAAAGATACTGAACTTCTTGAATCAGAAAAGTCCCATCTTCTGGGGTCTGACCTACTCCTTCTGCCTTTATCTGCATGGTCCCCCAGGGGAGGCTCACTTCCTGATGTCCTCACTGTGGAGGACAAGAGAAATGCTTTGTTTTCAAAGTACAATAGAACCAGGTTTACAGCTATCTAGGGGCTCACTTTGACTTTCTTTCCTTATCCTTCTCTTTCCCGAGTCATCCTGCAGAGAAGTCACGAAGGCAAGGAGGGGGGAGTTTTCACAGGATCTACAGATGGAGGCACGAGAGATGCCCCCTGACCCCCAGCAGCTGATAACTGCAAATAACCCTCCTAGAAGTGATCAGAGAAGGCTGCTTGCCATCCTCCGTTAAGCCATCCAACAGGAAATGTCCAAGCACCAAAGTACAAATCAGAACACTGTAGGAAACACTGAAGAAATGTTTCACACTAACAGGCAAAGCCCTACATCCCACATGGCTCTGTCTAAACAAACATGTACGTGTGTCTGCACATTTCTTAAAAGCCACGTTTTGAAGCAGACCCTCTTGGCTCTGAAGTCCAAGAACTCTAGCAGCAGCCTGCCCCTGGATCTACATTTCTAAGGTATGCTGTGGCTGGGACGAGGGGCAGAGCGAAGGGGTGGTCCATCTGGGGTGGTGATGCAGGCTTAAGTTATCCCACAGACATCTGCAGGCCATTATGCTAAAAGCCAAGAAGATAAGTCTGCCCAGTGCTAATAACCCTAAATGAAAACCAGGAGCCCTGGAAACCTCCACTTGACCAGGTTTCTATGCAGTGTCCCCTCCAGCAAGAGAAGGATCATAGGGGCCGCCATATGCCCAGAGGGCTCTCACATTGGGAAAGGCACACAAGGATCTTAAAATAAACACTCTCCGTGGTAAACTCGAGAGAGAGTTAAAGAGCAATGTGGAAGAAGTGTAGGCCCTGATCTCACAATTTACCCAGCAGAAATAATACAAATCTGGGCCAAAGCAAAGTGATTCCATTGCCCAGAGTTGTTTCTGATTCCTTCCTCTAGTTCACCCACACAATGCCTGCTCTGTCCAGGACCTGGGCCTGCAAGAATCTGCCATTAAAGAATTTTTTTTCTTTTAAATCTCTGCCCTTATCATATGCATATTAGCAGCTTGGGAACGTACAGTCATAGTTGCTTCTTTCTTTTTTTTTCCTTAAGAGCCCAAAACCACTTCTCTTTGTCAAAGCAAAGGAGCCAGCCTGCGTGCTGACAAAGGCAGGCTGGTCCAGATGCTATCCCTGCTTCCCACTAAAGACGCTCCACGCTAACCACAAGAGTTATACTGTGGTTCTCTACAGGGATTCCACCCAGCAACCAAACAAAACACTGGGAGGGCCCCGGAGGAGGGGAAGCTGGGGTCTCTCACAGGTTGCCTCACTGTGTGATTAGCTTCCGAGGTCCAGGAAAACAAGCTTCCCGGAGGATGCGTGGAGAATGACCCTGACCGCTGCCCGAGCACGGGGCTCCTTGGGTGACTTTTAGCTTGTCACCCTGGGAAGAGCATCCCTGCCGCAGCCTAGGGCAGCTCTTGTGACTCAGATGTGGCCCCCAAACTGTGCCCAAAGCTCTCTTCCTCCTGCCTTGTGGGCTGAATCACCGAAGTTTATTAATCTCCTGTTATGTACTTCTAATGAAAAGAGGATGGTCTGGATAGATAAATGCCCCTCAGACTATGTATGCCTCATGGCAAAATAGTTTCCATATTCGTAAGTTTTCCTACTGAGTTTCCGAGCGTTCCTTTTTGCAATGTGGAGTTGAGGATGGTGGTTACGATAACAAGTTTCAGGCAGCAGACTGGCAAAGATTCTGTGGCCATACTGCCACTTATGACCTTGGGCAAGTTAAATAACCTCCTTGGGCCTCGTGGATAAATAAATGGTGGATAATAAACAGACCCATCTTACATGGCTGCTGCGAGGATTAAAGGTAAAGAAAGGGCAGAGTAGGCACCCAAAAAACAGTCCCTCCTCTTCGCAGCGCCTCCCAAAGCCCTGTCTCCTGCAGGTGAGGCACTGAGCTCAGCAGGAGGCCAGTAGAGAGGGGATCTGAGGCACGAATGACAACCAACCAACCCTCCACCCTTAACTAGTTTATCTCTATCTGCCAAGGACAATTATTCATGTAGAAGTTGTACTTGCATTTACCTGCTGCCTCTTAAAATTAAAATACAAATACATATGAGTAGGAAGTAGTCAGCATGTAGTAAGTGTTCAATAAATAAATATTTGTTGATTGGAAATTTCTCAATGTGTGTCCCCTTCTGTCTCTGACCCACTGGGAGAAAGACCAGAGCCAGTGCCACTCCACAGGCAGACATCCACAAATATCCTGACAATGCTTCTGCTGAGAGCATGACTTCCTTTTTTCCCATGGGCTGGGCTTGACACCATCAGCAAGATTGAACACCAAGCTGATACGGCAAAAAACAGAACTCACCACTTCCATGTTCCCAAGTATAGGGCGCAAGCGCAGAGTCCTAACTGGCTCCTGGTTTTGAGGCCAGCTGGGACGACAGTCTGTGATCAGTTTCAGGCCCCTCCACCATGGACCATTTTTCTTCTAGATTATATATTAAAACATATTCCTTTGCCTTAGCATAGACGGTTGACAAAGTAGTCACCAAAAAGAGAAAGCTTCCTTTCCTTTCTTAAATAAATGGCTCCAACTCTGAGTAAGAGTTGAAAATTATCTTCTTTAGGCAAAATGCATCCCTGAGTGTTAGCGAACTTGGGATTCTAAGAATGCTTTTTTTAGTATTTAATAAGCAATATTAATTGTATCTTTCACAAAAGGGTAGGAAGGCCAAGGCAAGAAAAATGTTTTTCTTTGTACCTCCAGGGCATGGTGCATAATGAAGGTTCCATACATGTTTGCTGAATGAATGTATGAACAGTTGCCATATCACTCTCACACTAATTACCATTGAGTACTGAGGGACTATCCCACCGGCATCACCATGATAGATATAGACCGCCCCTGCGAAGTCATCCTCCTTGGGTGCACCAATGGCCACATCTGAGGGTAAAAAAACAGCTATGGGTTAAAAAGCCACATTAATAATACAAGTGCAGCTTCCCTAATTCTGGTTGTCATGTCTGAGTCCCTGGATACCAGAAATTATTGGTTGTTGATTGTTCAAGCATTAATTTGGGGACAAGATCCCTCAGCGGGAAAAAAAAAAAAAAAAAGTAGGCCAGTGTGGTGGCTCACGCCTGTAATCCCAGCACTTTGGCAGGCCAAGGCGGGCAGGTCGCCTGAGGTCAAGAGTTTAAGACCAGCCTGGCCAACATAGTGAAACCCCAGCTCTACTAAAAATACAAAAATTAGCTGGGTGTGGTGGCACGCACCTGTTGTCCCAGCTACTCTGGAGGCTGAGGCAAGAGAATCACTTGAACCCGGGAAGCGGAGGTTGCAGTGAGCTGAGATTGTGCCACTGGACTCCAGCCTGGGAAACAGAGTGAGACTCCATCTCAAAAAAAAAAAAAAAAAAAAAAAAAAAAAAAGTACAGTGAAAACTATAGAAGCTGACTGAGAAGAATTTAGTTCCAAAAAAGTTTCTACCTTATGCTCGTAAGAAAAACCACTGACCCATCCAATAAAAGAAATGCAAATATAAACTACGTGCCATAATTTCCATCAGGGAGAATTCCATAGACAATGGCTATTGTGTAACTGAGAAAGTCTGAGGTCCTGGATAAAGGACCATTCCTTATTATTATTTGATAATAAATCCATTCCTGGATAAAGGAAATATACAGAAGGGCATTCACTTCACACACAAGAAATAACATTACTCTCACAAACTGGCAACTCCTAGAACAAAACCTAGATCTTCCTAACTTTTTTCCCTTGCTTCTAACAAAGTCATGTGTCTGCAGAAGTGAGGCCAAGGGGGAGGAAAATGAAGCCCACTGTAGCCAGTGGTAGGAGGTATCAAAGACGTCTGGATGGCTGGCCTGGGCAAGGGTTGCCCCACCTCCACCACCACATGCCCTGGTGACATGGTTGCTCTGCCTCCCGACGTCTGTATGCTGTGTATGCAGCGAGGTGAAGAGGCTCAAACAAGCCAGAGAGAGAGGCCAAGAGGCTGTGAGGAACACTGCTGTCCAAACAGACCTAGGCATTAGGTACATATGCCTCCATGCCTCCCAAGACACACACACACACACACACACACACACGCGTACACTCTCAAAAGTCAATCTAGCTGCTGCTATAATCAGGCAGAAGATGTCTGGGTTTCTAATTCTCTCCTCACTCATTTCCCCATCAACATGGTAGAGCATGATGGAGCATCAAAGGCTCAGAAACAAGGAGAGTTGATGGCAGGATGAAGCTATTCAAACTTCTTGCCATAAGAAGTCCCAAATGGACCAGCCCCAAGGTTTGCTTCCACTGCAAACAACAAAGAACACTGAGCTGGTGAGAAGGGATTATGCAGAGGCAAAACTCCAGTGGGCTGGAAGCTCAGCCCTGCGTGTCTACAGGGAGAGCACCTCTAAACGTGTCCTATCTCCCCACAGCACATTGATGGGCCTTCGAAGGGGATCAGTAGACCCAGGAGCATGCCACTAGAGATGGACAGTCAGCGAGCAGGCTGCCCCTCTGAAACAGAGCAGCGTGCTGCACCTGGAGGGGCTCCGTGCACCAGGAGCACTCACTCACCTGGGAACCCATCATTGTCCAGATCGTCCAGGCTGGCAATGCTCTCTCCAAAGTGCGCATTGTAGGCACCATCCCCAGTCAGAGCCAGCTGCTCCTCGAGGGCTCCCTGGGAAACAGGATGGAGGAGAAAATGGAAAACAAAACAAAAACAAACAGAACAAACAATAAAAATCAATAAAAAACCAGAGTTTGAATGCTGCCCTGCTAGAGCACACTCATTGACAGGAAACACCTGGGCAGAATTACAGGAACCCAAACTTCTCTCTCCTGCTGGCAAAATGCGTCCCTTTTACCTGCTTAGCAGGATGGTCTCCCATAGCCTGAGATGCATTTTTGAGGGAAGGAGAATGTCATGGTAGCCAATGACTACACTCTCTGCCTTGTCCTAATACACTACACACAAGCAAACCTCCCTACCCACCTTTCCCCCATGTGCTCTCCACGTCCTTAAGGCATAGCACTTTTTCCCCAATGTTGTTTTAAAAGGGTATACATTTTTCTATTTTTTCTTTCCTGTGCCTTTTGGTACAAGTTTATAAAACTGTTTTGCAAAGTGCATATATGAGTTATCTTGATAGAGGGAGTCATGGTTCAGAAAATCCAAGCACCCAGTCGTTCTTGGCCAGAGGGTGGCTGTGATGGCAGACGTCACTGTGCCTATTATTCATGCATGGCTCAGGTATGAATTTCCTGAGAAAATACTAACCAACAGAGGGAGGGGGTTAATGGTGTACAAAGGCAGGAAAAGTCATCTAACTTGGGGGAAAAAGTCATACCTACTCTCACCCCAAATCACTGACACATGAAGACCAGAGTGATACAATGCAATCTGATGTCCTGAGACATGAGAAGATGTATGCATTCCCCAGTGCAGAGGCAGTCTGGGCCCACTATATCCTACAGGCCATCCCACGAGTGTCTGGCTTTTATCATGACCAAGTCTTCTTTTTCACTATAAACACAATTTACACCTTGAAAACAGTCAAGGTGAGATGATTTCTTGGATGAATGAAACCTCCACCCCAAAACACAAATATGCATTAATTTCTTTCTTTCAGTGTAGTGGGGAAGAGGAGAGGAACACCAGCAACTGATTGCTCCTATGTACCAGGTACTGTACAGCCAGCTCCTCATTCAAATCACACAATGACTCCATAAGGAAGATCTTATGATGCCTCTCACTTTACAGATGAGGAAATTGGGCCACCAATTTCAAGCCATTTGTCCACATCACACAGGCTAGGACATGGCAAAACCAAGATTCAAACTCAGGTCCACCTTGCTCCAAAGTCAGAATTTTTTCCACTACTCCACACTGCCTTCCGATCTTTATTCAAATGGCTGATGTTCAACAGAAATGAGAATACTCTGGTACTTAGAATAACCATACAACATCAAGAAACACTGGTTGGCAGGGGAGGGTGTGGGTGCATCATGCCCAGTGGAGGCCTGGGGGAGTTCTTGTGCTTCAAGAGTCCACCTTCTGATTTAGACACACAGTCTGGCTGTTGGACCTGACTCCTACACAAATGTCTCAGTCTCCTGCAAATACAATGGCAGGCACCACTGAATGCCCACAGCACTCATTTATTTAATGTCCCCTTCATTTCTCCCTGCACCCTGCCCTGACTTCCTGGAATGTCAGTGGGTATGCAGGTGCCAAGAGTTCCTGCAACAGGTACCAATAAGCACCTTCCCTCCCAGATATTTTATTTTTTTTAGAGACAGAGTCTCATTGTGTAGCCCAGGCTGGAGTGCAGTGGTGCAATCATAGCTCACTACCACCTCAAACTCCGGTGCTCAAGGGATCCTCTCGCCTCAGCCTCCTAGGCAACCACCACTGCACCTTGCTTGTTGGCTTGTTGACTAACTGATTGACAAGGTCTCACTCTGTCACCCAGGCTGGAGTACAGTGGCATGATCACGGCTCACTGCAGCCTCCACCTCCTGGGCTCAAACAATCCTCCCACCTCAGCCTCAGCTGGGACCACAGGCAAGCACCACCACACCAGGCTAATTTTTTTGTGTGTTTTTAGTAGAGACAGGGTTTCACCATGTTGGCCAGGCTGGTCTTGAACTCCTGGCTTCAAGTGATCCTCCCACCTGGGCCTCCCAAACCTCCCTGGTTTTAGATCTGACTTCCTGAAGAGCCTGAAAACCTCAGACGCAACATAAGGCTCTAACAATCCCTGGCTCTCCTTTCACTGCTTCCTTCCTTTCTGGCATCTGCCCACTTAGTTATAGCTAAACCTCTGCCCTCTCCCAACTGGGATACCTAGCATCTCAGCCACTGCTTAACAGTACACTTCGATTTTTTTAAATATGAAATTATATTCTCACTATTTGGATAAAGATAAAACTAAACATCTATCCAGAGAGCTGTTATTCACATTTTCTATGTATTTGGCATATTTCTGAGGACTGGTTGTACATGCAGTTTTCATCCCATTTTTCCACTGATTATCTCCATAAGCGTTTTCTCATGTTAGAGAAAAGGTAGGCGGCACCAGAATGTTTTCATTGAACCATGTTGTTCTTGCTGAATACTTGTACTTGAACACTTGTACTTCCAGATCCTGAAAAGACTGCTTTCTCACTGGTCTCCTGCTTCCACGATGCACTGCTGTCCCCCAACCCAGCCCCCACTCACCCACCCTCCATTAGCTACAGAGGGCCAGAGGCATCTTTCTGTCCATGTCACGTCCCTTTCATGGTTCTGCAGAATAGGGGACACCAAGATTATTGGCCAGGCGTGGTGGCTCACGTCTGTAATCCTAGGGAGGCCAAGTAGGGCAGATCACTTGAAATCAGGAGTTTGAGACCAGCCTGGCCAACATGGTGAAACCCCATCTCTACTAAAAACACACAAAAAATTAGCCGGGTGTGGTGGCAAGTGCCTGTAATCCCAGTTACTGGGGAGGCTGAGGCAGGAGAAGAGTTTGAACCCAGGAGGCAGAGGTTGCAGTGAGCCAAGACTGCGTCACTGCACTCCAGCCTGGGTGATGGAGTGATACTTTGCCTCAAAACAAACAAACGAACAAAAAGATTATGGTTCCCATGCAGTCCCCTGCCCCCCCATGCTGAAATGAGTGGTGATGCCACCTCACACCCCAACCCACTTGCCCAGCTCTGCACTGGGAGCTCTGCTCCAGCCCACCCTGCCTGTCTGCTAACTCCTACTCCTTCTTCAAGATTCCCCAGCCATTGTGTCCTCCTCTGCTTCCCTGGGAAAATGTGCATATGCTCCCAGAGAGGTGGCATAACCTTGAGACAAAGCATGCCAGCTCTAAAGCCAGCTTGCCTAGGTTCAAATCCCAGCCCCACTTCTTAGCTGTGTGGTTTGGGACACATTACCTAACCTCTCTGGGCCTCAGTTTTTCCACCTGAAAAATGGGCACCCTTGATACCATGTGTATATTGCATAGAAATCTCTCGCAGAAAGCAGGAAGAAGAGTCCCTGGTACATAGTAAGCACTCAAAAGACAATTATTAAGATTCTTCCTTGGCCCCTGGGTGTCTGCAGTTGTAACATTGTATATAACTTTCCATTAATGGGCCATTGAGCTTATTCAAGACAGATATCACATATTTTCATCTCCTCTGGGTAACATTGCCCCCAGTGCCGGCCCAGAGGGGTGCTCGGCCACTGCTGGCTGGACAAATGTCCCTCCCCCACACCCATCCGCACATTGCCCAGTATTGTACTCACATTTCCTCTGTTGATGTAGACAGTGACCTGTCCCTCATCCCTGATCTCAGAAAACATGGGGGCCCCCACCAGCAGGTCAGAGAGGCCGTCCCCATTCAGGTCAACTGCGCACAAGGAGGAGCCGAAGTAAGAGCCCATCTGCAACCAAGTTGAGTTGCAACAAAGCATTCAGTGTCTGCTCTCACACAAGGATGCCCTCGCTTTCCTCCACCCCATTGGCTTTAGAAACATCCCTCAGAGGAATTGAACAATGAGAACACATGGACACAGGAAGGGGAACATCACACACCAGGGCCTGCTGTGGGGTTGGGGGAGGGGGGAGGGATAACATTAGGAGATATACCTAATGTTAAATGACGAGTTAATGGGTACAGCACATCAATATGGCACATGTATACATATGTAACAAACCTGCACGTTGTGCACATGTACCCTAAAACTTAATGTATACTAAAAAATAAAAACATAAAAAAAAAGAAACATCCCTCAGAGGCTGGATGGCTATGCTGCCCCCTAAACCAGAATGCCTAGCAAAGAGTGAAATACCCAACTTCCAGCAGCAAGGCAGGGCCCCAGTCAATGTGAGACAAAGCTAACTGGCCCAAAGTCCCCCATTCCTGGAGTCCTATCAAGGGGAAGATAAATAGATTGATGCCCACAGAATGAGGTGCTGTTTTTAAAAATGCAAGCTGAGGACACAAAGTTATGTTACAACCATAATAAAAATGCTCCTTATATCAGACATTTGACAAGGCCAAGCAAGTAGGAATATGAAATCTCACAACACAAGAAAGGCATGAAAATAAATGTTACATGGGGAAATAGGTTATTCTCTCCTGGTCCTATGCACAGGTGAAAGATTGGTTAGGAAGGCATGAGCTGAAGTGACAGAAAAAGGTACAACTTTTAAGACTGTTTAACTGATGAGGGAACAGAGCAAGATAATATTGACTTTTAATTATAGCTTAATTAGGGGTCTCAAACCCAAATACCAACAGGATCCAGGCAGGTGATATAACAGGCATAAGAAAAAAAATTAATGTGGCAAGTGACACTTGTCTTCCTTGTCTACATAACAATAGGGAGTGGTGGAGACTGTGGCAAACTGGAGCCCACAAGCCTGGCTAAAGGAGCAGCTTCAACCCAGCTGCAGCTAACTGCCACCAAGAGGAATGCTGACCCAGAGAGGAGCAACCTTTCCATTTTCCAAAAGAAGCCAAAAATTTAAAACTTTATTTAAAGTGCCAGTGTTTTAAATGCTCGCAACTTCTTCGTGTGTAAAAACAATAAACAAATACTGTGCAAGCCAAACAAAAGTATTTGTAGGCTGTATTCTTTCCAAAGGCTGTCAGTTTGCAACCTCTACTTTAAAAAAAAATAAAAGAAGAAGGCCGGGCATGGTGACTCACGCCTGTACTCCCAGCACTTTGGGAGGCGGGTGGATCACAAGGCCAGGAGTTCGAGACCAGCCTGGCCAACATGGTGAAACCCCATCTCTACTAAAAATACAAAAATTAGCCAGGCGTGGTGGCAGGCACCTGTAATCCCAGCTACAAGGGAGGCTGAGGCAGGAGAATCGCTTGAACCTGGGAGGTGGAGGTTGCAGTGAGCCAAGATCATGCCACTGCACTCTAGCCTGGGCAACAGAGCAAGACTCTGTCAAGAAAGAAAAGAAAGAAGAAAGAAAGAAAGAAAAGAAAAGAAAAGAAAAGAAAAGAAAAGAAAAGAAAAGAAAAGAAAAGAAAAGAAAAGAAAAGAAAAGAAAAGAAAAGAAAAGAAAGAAGGAAGGAAGGAAGGAAGGAAGGAAGGAAGGAAGGAAGGAAGGAAAGAAAGAAAGAAAGAAAGAAAGAAAGAAAGAAAGAAAGAAAGAAAGAAAAGAAAAGAAAAGAAAAGAAAAGAAAAGAAAAGAAAAGAAAAGAAAAGAAAAGAAAAGAAAGAGAAAAAGCATTATTCTTTTAAAATAAATGTTTTCTAATAAAAGGCCCCTGGGTTGATGGACATGAACAAGCCTTTTCTTTTACTGTTGGAGTTTGTTGGCAGCTGACCCAGGGAGTTTGAGGGAGAGAGGTAGAGGACACTCCAATCTATTTCCTGCAGCTAACAGGGTCACAGGAGGGCTTTGTAGTGGCCGCTCAGAAATCCTTCCCCAGTGATATGCCAAGGCCATCTTCCTCCCCTCTGATTACCCATTCTCAAAGGAGAACGGAGCAGGAAAGGGTTGAAATCACAGAGGGTGAGGAGGAAAGAAACCGAGTTGCCAGTCACTATTTCAGTGGCCTTGCCAATCTCCCCATCTGAGCTTTGGTAAAAGAAATCAGTAAGACACAGGCAAAGACCCAAAGAGCCAAGCTGCTGGCTGCGCTCACTGGCTGAGCCCCAGGGGAACTATTTGTTTCATTCCAAAGGACTATTTAACTTGGCATCTTCATCAATGTTAAATTAGAAATCTCTATATGTGAAGTTTCCTATCTCAGTTTTGAAATACAAATGCTTCACATACTCCGTTAATTCAATAAAACTTCAATATGGCAATGACATGCTTTGGGGTGTGTGTCCGATGATCAGAGCTCCCCATCAGCCTGGAAATGTGGAGATGTGTGTCTGTATTAACATCTGAACTGCACACATGTTGGTGATTTCTTAAGTGTACTATTTGGAGAAAGTCAACCAATAAAGACAAGAACCAGGTTTTTTTTGTTTGGTTTTGTTTTTTTAATCTTTTTGCTTTGTTTCTTCTTATAGGAAGCCAGGATACAGAACTATCTGACCAAATTCTAGCCAAACGGAAGCAGAAGTGAACCGGTGGTTTGCTGAGTTAGAACCCTCCTGTCTATGTGACTCTGGACATAGGGATAAATCTAAAGGCATCCTTTGAAAGCCTGGGGTCATGTCCTTTTGTAGGAGGTAATGGAGAAGTCAGAAAGACATGAATGTCTCATTTCTTCTGGCAAGAAGTAGAATAAGTTGTATAAAGAAAGGTCATGGCCTATTTCAAAAGCAGAACGATGATGACAGGGTAAATCTAGTTGGAGACACTAGTAGAAGGAAGTGAAGGCAAGAGGACTGTGAGTGAGTGGCAGAAAGAAGGGGTGCCTATGGAATGGTGCAAAGGTTAGGGCCAGAAGAGCCCTAAAGAAAAGAAAAAGTCAAATGGCTACGAAGCCAAGAAGTTGAATACCTGGGCCTTTCTGTCCCTTCTCAGGGAACCTGATGTATCTTGGTATGATAAGGACATCCAAGCAGACATTCAGGCCTGAACCTGTCCTGGAACTCAATGGCAGAAGTCTTCAGGAAGTTTAGACAAGTGGGTTCTCAAAGGTTAATCTCATCCTCCTTGCACCACCCACTCTCAGATCTACCCCCAAAAACCTGATCAACTTGAGCATAGGTTCTCATCCAAACCAAGAGGTTTTCAAGGAGGAGAGAGGGCACAATTACAGATTGTTAATTACTCGAAGGCAATAGGAATTAACCGGACCTCCCCAGGGCACAGACAGTAAGGAGTAGGGCAGGGAAGGAAAAGCAGTTTGGGGGGGCACAGCTACAACTGAACATAAAGATACTCAGAAACTCCACAATTCATTTTAAATAATCCTTGGCCAGGTGCGGTGGCTCATGCCTATCATCCCGCACTCTGGGAGGCCAAGGTGGGTGGATCCCTTGAGCCCAGGAGTCTGAGACCAGCCTGGGCAACATGGTGAAACCCCATCTCTACAAAAAAAAATACAAAAATTTGCTGGGCATGGTGGCACATGTCTG
The DNA here is from genome assembly GCF_000001405.40 of Homo sapiens. Taxonomy (NCBI): domain Eukaryota; kingdom Metazoa; phylum Chordata; class Mammalia; order Primates; family Hominidae; genus Homo; species Homo sapiens. The sequence continues at coordinate 79,980 of NW_025791771.1, read as the reverse complement.
TGGTCCGAGCTACCTGGGAGGCTGAGGTAGGAGGATGGCTTGAGTCCAGGAGGCAGATGTTACAGTGAACCAAGATCATGCCATAGTGAGACTCTGTCTCAAAAAAAAAAAAAAAAAGGAATCCTTTACCTTTAGGCTTTCAAACCCAGGTACATTTGAAGGGAAGAGGGAGATTGTTTCCATGCTAGATACATTCACCCATTTGTTATCTTCTGCAGAAGATCTAAAATGTTAGCCTTAATTCCACTCATACCCTACTTGCTCTTTGAAACTCTCTTTTGTAAATCACAAGTAGCACAGAGTTATTTCTTTTCTAACTTTAAGGGTGCTTGGAAAACCCTTTTGCAGAATGGCTCACAGTCATTTTCCAGTGCTGTTGCTTTGGGGTTTTGGAAATGTTAAAATAACACAAGCCAGCAGAGTTCTCGGGAAGGCAGAGCCATTCTGAGGAAAAATGCAAAACCAAGTTTGGTGATGCATTTTTTATTCAAAAGATAATGACAATTATACACTAAGTGTACCTATTCGGATAGTTAAAATTGCAAAAAGGTCTACTTGAATGGGAGAACAACATGGAAGGATCCTAGGCTGGCGTACAGCAGTTCTAACTCGGCAGGAACAGAATTGAGGAGGCACATGGCCTCCTCCCATGTCCCAGACATCCTATGCTTCTTCCCAGATCCCACTAAGGCCTCCACCAAGACCTCCAAATTACCCCCACAGCTCCCAGCCTAAACTTGTGTCCCTTAGAGTAGCCAAGCTCAGCCAAACAGTCCTGCTGATCTAAGCCACACAAGAAGTGCATGACTGATAAGCTCATGAAAACTGTTGCTTATTAATAGCAGGACTCTCTAATTGGCTTAATTTTAGACAACAGGGCAGTATAATGGAAACTTTCAGAAAGCAGAGAGAGGATTAGGGACAGGGTGGGGAGGACCCAGGCAGAGTAATCTCACCCAGGCTAACTTTAGGGCAGCACCCTGAGCTATTTCTGCTTCAAGGTTCTAAGAGGAATCAGGCAACCTGTGTTTGGATTTTCTTTGTGTGGCAACAGTCACCTTGGCAATGACAGTTGAGGGCTGAGGATTAGGGAAGGGGGTAATGTTGGGCTGGTGAAACAGGCTCAGTGAGAAGCATTTATTGCTACCTGTACTCAGAAAGATCTGCTCTCTCTGGAGGTGGAGATTCGTTGAGAAAGGATGGAGGCAGAGAGACAGGGCATGCAGTCACTTTGATGACAGTCTGAACTACGGACAATCTCTTAAAACTCTGTGCTGTAACTTGGCCCCATATAACTCATCTTGCTACAGAATGTCTCCTAAAGCGAGTATGAATCCCATGAATGTACAGATTACACATACCGCTGAGAAGGTAAAGACACCAACAAGCAGACAGCACTGCCATATAAACACAGGGCACAGGTAGGGCCTTCAAACCAATTTTCTAAAAAGTACTGACTCCCACATGATCACATCTCTCAAATAAAAAATAGTCACTTATACCAAGAACCTCACCTTTTTACCTGATGCTTGAAAGATCTTAATTAAGGTGCCTGATCTTCGGTCAGCTCTGAAAATATAAACCTATGGAATGAAAAAAAAAAAATCTAGTTAGGATGAAATCAATGATCAAAGATATTTATCAGCACTCTCCTGGGAGTCCTATTTAAAAGCTTAAGAGCCAGGTGCACAGCAGATGTGCTTATGCTAGCTGATGATCATGAAGAAGTCAGCTGTCATTTTACCAGCCCTGCAAAAAAAAGGGTCCTTCAATCCTGAGGCAGACATCACCTCCACTGCTCCTGAACCACAATACTTATAAAAGCCACACACAATAAGACCCAAGAAGCTTCCAAATTACAAGTAAACAATTCAACTCTGAGAAAAAGCTAGTATTTTGTTTCTTGAAATATTTCCTTTATTCCTGTTTTTAAAATTAGTTGGTGGTATGGATTGGACTTTATTCCCAGTAAGACTTTACCAGGCATTACAACAGAAGATAAAGGGATAGGTGGAGATGAGTACTGTAGACAAAGCAGTTTCCCAAAGTGATTTCACGTAATATTAGAGTCATGTGATCTGCCTGGGTAAAAATGAGTTTCATTTGGGAAATGTGGAGTTAAACATTAAGTAAATTCTTTGACTGTGGAACTTTTTAGAGCCTTTAGCATGTTCATGTGAACTATGCATCGCCACTGCAAAGACGATCACTGACATTTAACTTCCTAAATGTACTTGACTATGGAAGTTCTTTTTTTTGGATTACATCTCGTGGGAAGAGTGTCTCATGAGAACCAGTGTAAATAACCTTCCCATGAGATAAGGAACTGCCATCTTAGTGTGAGTGCTTTTGTGCCCTGACACTAGAATATCCAGCAAAATCCTGAAGGCCAGGGGTCCTTGGGAATCAAGTCTGTACTAGCCCCAATCCCTGGGAATGTGGAATTGTCAGCAACTTTGTCACTATGACCAGTTTCCCCATGCCTCTCAGGTGGTCTAATTGAAAGAAGCATTTTTATGTACTTTATAAACTGGGTCCAGGAGTCCCGCTGTCTGGCTCTATCAATTATAAGTACCATTCTCAACTTTTTAACTTTATACCTTGCACCCCCCAGATAGCCAGTGAGAGGGGTTTGCGGAGGGGTCATCTTAAGACTTGACAGGGACTATGAAGTTCATCACAATCATCTGAAGGAAAAACTATAAAACTGGATCATGTTTTCTGCAATTAGGGAGAAAAGAAAGCTGCTATCATTAGCATAGAGGCACCCGCATCACTGTGAACTAGACGTAGGCATTTTTACCATTTCTACAGAGATGCCCGGTAGCCCGCAGCCCCTCCCCAAGAAGACAACATCAATGTGAACAGCTCTCAGTGCTTCTTTCTCTACTTAGATAAATTCATGCAACTCAGAAAGAACCACCTCTTTCTTGAGGTGATCGAAGGTCACCTGCTTGATCCCTCCTCCCTGCCAGCTCAGGGCCCTGGTTTATCTGGTTTCAGTTTTGAAGAACCTCTTTCCACAGCATCAGTGTTAGGGAGGAGGGAGGCACATGCTCCAGAAACGTGAGCAGCAGCTCCTAACCTCTGCCCAGGAGGATCCACAGAAATTATCCTTAGTCAAGCCTAGTCAACTGGAAAGTTCGTCAGCTCCCTGATCATCCTGACCTCCTGGCTGAAGGCTCCAATTACCAGTGGTCTCAGCTCATCTGGGCTAATCCAGAATCCAGATTCCACTTCTCCAAGCCCTGGGAGATATGACCAGACTCTATCACAGGTCTACCCCTAAAGGTCCAGATCCAAAGTTCATTCCTCTGTTCACTCAGTCTTTCCCATCAGACAACCTATGGAGCTTCTTAAAAATGTGGGTTCCTGATCCATCTGTACCTACTCAATCTGGATTTCCTGTACCTTCATGATAAAGAACCAACAAGCGTAGTTCACAATTCAGGCCCCTCAGAGGTCATGTTTCCCAAAGGAATTCAGGCAGCCCTAGATCCAGGGGGTGGGTTTTTTGGCAGATACTATAGTTTAGGGAAAGCCAGACCCACATATTTCCAGTCCAGCCTTTGGGCTGAACCAGTCTTGGGAACCCAATGTTCCTTCTCAAACACTGGGGAAATAAATACGAGAATAATTTGGGGCATGAATAAAGCCTCAAAGATATCTGAGACTGGACCTAGCTCCATTAAATCAAAGCCAAACTTGGGAAGGGTTTGGGATTTGAAGTTGGACAGCACTAAATGCCATTCTTTTGAAGGACACCATAAGGCCAGGGCTCAGTCTTATAAATTACACACACACACATGGTCAGCTGTGAAAAACCTCAGATGAGAGTGTGCAGGAAATCGAGAGTGTGAGTATACTCACACTCTAATTGAGCTTTCAAGGGAAACTTTCCAATGGAGTGGGGCAGTCAGGGGGTTCCTCATCACCTCCCCACCAGCCACCCAGTAGAATGTTCAGGTCAATGTCAGCTGGCAAACCTCTGCACCAGGGACAGCATGCTCCCCTCTTCTGTCTGACCCCAGCTATTCCACAGATGTTTCTCCTCACCTTGCCGATGCCTTTGTCCTGTGGGGCACCTCCTACCACATCAATGGTGGACGGGTGAGAGAAGTGGCCAGCGGTCACTGCGTAGCCTGAACAGGATGGGCGGAAACCAAGCACACGGTTGAAAAAGAAGGGAAGGGAAAAAAAAACATCCATCAGAGGAAAATGTTTCTCAAGCATGCTCCCTACTCTTGGAACATAAACTACCAGGAAAAAAATGGCAGCTGTCAACCTTCTCATGCTGAAATGGCTCTCATCTCACAAAAAGTCATGTTCACAAGGATATCAGGGCAGGAAAGAGGGCTTTCTGAGTGTCTTCTTTCGGACAAGTACTGTATGAAATACTATATATCTGTTTTCTTCTTTTCAAGGCATAGTTTTCATACGGTAAGGTCATATATCTGACGTGTAAAACTCAATGAATGCACACATGAGCGTAGCCATGCAACCACCACCCAGATCAAGGAAGTGACTATAACCACAGAACCATAACCCCAGAGGGTTCCCTCATGCCCTTTCCCAGTCAATATGCCCCACACAGGTAGCCACTATTCTGATTTCTATCACCATATATTAGGTTTGCCTTTTCTTGAACTTCACTCAACATAACATCTGTGACATTCATCCACATCGTTGAGTACAGTAGTAGTTTCTTTTTATTATTGAGTAATATCCGTTATATAAATATGTCATATGTTTATTCTGTTGCTGGGCATTTAGGTTGTTTCCAGGCTGGGGTTAATATGAACAAGGTTGCTACCAACATTTTTATGCATGTCTTTAGGTATCTCTTTCAGTCTAAAAACTTTATGAAGAAGGCATGACTGTTTCTTCCATTTTACAGATACAGAATTAGAAAAACCTGTTAAACAACATGCCAAAGATCACACAGCAAGACTCAAATCTAATCTGTGCCTCTAAAGCCCCTGCTGTTAACCACACTCCCTCCTACAAGAAGGCAAAAGAAGCTGTCAGTGGGTGGGTGGGTAGATGCATGGTTGGGTAGATGGATGGGTGGATGGGTGGGAGGGTGGTCAGTGAAAAAATATGGATGCAAAAGGAACCTAGAAACAAAGGAAAAGATTGCCTAGGCTTAGCCTCAACGTCTCCTGCTTTCTGAGAGCCTTGCTAGCAGGCTGAAAGCTCTCCTCTGGCCAGCATAAATCCTGTACAGGCTGCCATATAATCCCCAAACTTGTCATCACCCTCTAACCCTAAAGTGATTGTAAGTTGTTTGAGTTTCGCGATGACATCATATCATGATCAATTCTTCCTCACCATGTGGCTGATTTCTCTCAGACTGGCGACTGATAGTACCTAAGAGTATTCTGAGTGAGATCAAAGCCTGAACGGATCCTTGATAATCCCTGCAGCTGATAAGAGCCTCTAATGTGTATACAAAGAGAAACCACAGGCTCGAAGCTTCAAAGGAGCTGTTCTAGACCCCAAACCCATCATCCAAACTGGGCTTTCTTCTGCTCTCTCTTCATTCCCTGATTCAATAAATATGTGTTGAGTTACTACTATACACCAGGCACTATACCAAATGTGAGACACAATCCCACATTTTGTCTTCAAGGTGCTCCCAGCCCAGTGAGAAGTACAGTACCAGTGATAGGTGCTCTCTCAGACGCACCCACAGGGAAGGCAGCTCAGCATTTAGACTCTGCACTCAGAAACCACAAGCTCATACCCTAATTTTGCTACTTAGGAGCCATGTGACCTTGGCAAGATGTATAATTTCTTTGCTCCTCAGTTTATCTATAAAATGTAGATAATAATAGCTACTTCATAAGGTTGTTTCAGAAATTAAAAAGAAATAATACATACAGCCTGGCATAGGGTAAATGCTTAATAAGCAACAGCACTAGGCAGCTGGGTGCCTACAGGAGCAAACACCCCAGAGTAGAAGGATTGTTGGGTCTATGCTACCAGGCAAAAAACTTGTAGTTAGAAGGGAAAAGGCAAGTCAACGACTCCCTAACCCCATTTAACAAGAAGTTCCCAGTGACGCTATGCAAAAAGGGAGTCAGGGCCTTTCCCTGTAAGTTATGTATCATGAGTGCGAAAGAGCATTGTGTGTCATCATTAGGCCTTCCTAAATTTAGCTTCGCTTTCAATCCAGAATTATAGCATTTAGGGCATAAATTAAAGAAAAGAGTCTTGTAATTGTCATCTACACAAGCAAAGACAGCCTATGTCTGTTCTTAAATTGGCATGGACCTTGTCCCAGTGTCATTCTGCCTGATAGCTACATTAAATTGTGTCTATCTTCTTTCCAGAAGATTAAAAGAGTTAAGAAAGCAAGAGAAATTTTTCTGAGCCTTTAATTAACCTTCAGCATTAGGTTGCCATCTGTCATGATAATTTCTAGTTCTTATCTTTCTATTTGCTACCAGTTTTGTGATCAGAAAGCAAGGACTCCATCCAAAGGGACGCCCGTGGAAAATCAAGACTCCATCACACTCATTTCTACCTGACCATCTGAACTTCAACAATTGATAAAATGAGAAAATAAAATGTTTATTTCCCTGGAGGTTCAACTGTCAGCTTTTTAATTAAAGCATACAGTTTTAATTCAGTTCCCTCCTTGGTTTTCCTCTCTACCTTGTGTTTGTGGAGCTAGATGTGAAGATGCCCTGGCTAAAGATGTAAGTCATTAGAACAACAGGCGTCAAAGCCAACTAACTCCTCTTTCCAACAATGAAGCAATAATTTGTGAATCTGGTGGGAATCACTCCCATTTCCCCTTTCTTACCTGTTCTCTCCCTGAGTACTCACCCAGGTAGGTGTACCGCCTGTTCATGATCACTTCGTCGTTCAGTTTTAAATAGGTGTTGTCCGTAAGGTTCAGCACTTTGATGGTTCCAGCCCAATAAAATGACCCTGGAGCACCCATCACCACCAGCTCCTACCAAAAAGAAATCCAACGGTAAGCAGAGAAGGAAGTGAGGAGGGGAGGAGGGGAATGCAATGAGAACCACAGTCACAACAAAGGAGAAATTCCTCACACCAAGAACTTTTTTTTCCCCAGCTAAGCAACAAAAACAGATTTCACCAGATTCATCAGCATTATGGAATCTATTATACAGACGGGATTATCAGGACTAAAGATGTGAAGAGACTGAGCAAGGTGACAGAATTCACGACAGGCCAGGCCCCTATTCTATCCACGATGAGACCACACACGTTTCCTCAACTTTACATCAGGCTCTAACAAGGAAATGACAAACAGCTGACATTGACCTCAACCACAGATTCTGGGGAACACCACTCATGAAAAGCAGTAAGCAATACCGCACCCTGCCTGGACTCCAGGCTCACCATTCAACTCCCCCGACCTGATGCGTAGCGAGAGGAAACTGTGCACTAGTACTCCAGGGAATCCCCTCCAGACCACACTCAAGACCCTCTCAGGGACGTTCTAGAACATGGTTTTCCGATCATTACAGTCCACTGCAAACATGGAAGAACAAAACCAAGAGACCAGCAAGGTCAACTAAGGAAAAACACAAACTGGAAGAGGGGACCACAAGGCAGCAATAGACGGTATCACTGTTAAAAACAGACTCAAGGCCGGGCGCAGTGGCTCATGCCTGTAATCCCAGCACTTTGGGAGGCCGAGGCGGGTGGATCACTTGAGGTCAGGAGTTTGAAACCAGCCTGGCCAACATGGTGAAACCCTGTCTCTACTAAAAATACAAAAATTAGCCAGGTGTAGTGGCACATGCCTGTAATCCCAGCTACTCAGGAGGCTGAGGCAGGAAAATCGCTTGAACCCGGGACGCAGAGGTCTCAGTGAGCCAAGACCATGCCACTGCATTCCAGCCTGGGTGACATAGCAAGACTCTGCCAAAAAAAAAAAAAAAAAAAAAGACTCAAGAACATAAGAGGCACAGCTGTCTTCAGCATTTAGATCAGGGGGAAATGGTCAACAGGGCTGAGAGCATGTTTGTGCCCCAGAACCATCACCAATGCTGACAACAACCCTAAGTTCCCAGAAATGATTTGGTCACCCAAGGAAGTCAGCACAGATATCTGCTGGGGTTTTCCCCTGGGTGATACGATAATGGAAATCAATCAACATCCCCTGTTCTCTCACTCCCAAAGTTTATTTCCTTTGCATTTTTCAAAATTCTAGACCACACTGTTTTCCAAGAGTACAGGGCTCAGGTAAAATTCAACACTGTCCACTATTTCAACCACATTAGGCTCTTCTCCTGCCACTGCCCCCTCAGACTGCATGCCTAGGACACTCTAAACTAATTCTGGTCTTCGGAACTCCCTCTGATCTTTTTATCTCCATCTGTGCAATGCCCTCACACTTCCTCTGCTTGTGTAACCCTTTCGCAGTATTCAAAACTCAGTTGAAATATGGGTGAATCCTAGACCAAATGTTGATGAGAAAAAAATGACTCCATTCATAGGAAGTTCTAGAATCAGCAAAACCAATCCACACTGATGGAAGTCAGATCAGTGGGTACCTGGAGTAAAGAGGAGGAACACTGTCTGCAAAGGGGCATGAGGAACTTCCCAAAGTGATGGAAATGTTCTCATCTTCATTCAGACAGAGACGACATGGTATACACATTTGTCAAAACTCATCGAACTCTGCATTTAAAATAGTGTATTTTATTATATGTATTAATTTTTTTAATTAATAATCTTGACTTTTTAAAATTCCAGAACAGTGATTAAACACTAACAAGGAAGTCATCACATAAAAACACAAAACATGCTAATGAGATGACATTTTACAAGCATTAAGACGAAGCTCCCATTGTGCAGAGGCTGTGCTGGAGCTAGGAGGCAGGCTGTGCTTGTATCCATCAGAGGTCCCTGGCTTTCAGTCCTTCCTTTCCCCAACAGGGAATCCCTACTTTTGGATTACCTTTATTTTCTAAAGTTTCGACACTGCAATAAGAAATAATCAGAATTATTTTTCTAATGAAATCAGTAATTTTTCACTCAACAATGTTTATTGGGCACCTACTATTATATCTCAGAGTTCACACTAGATATAAAGATAAATAAAGTCCCTTCGTAGATCATTCTTGGGGTAAGACAGCATGGTAATGTGCAAAGTATTTCAGAAAAAAATTCTATGCAAACAGGTTAAAATCAACAAAATTTCTAGAGGAAATCTTTCAGCTATAGACAAAACTCCAAAGATACTGGTCATGAAGGCTCATGGGGATAACAGATGCTGTGCAGGTCAAGTCTCTCACTGCTGAAACCCACCTGACCTTCCCCTGAGCCTTCAGAATTCCCCTGCACCCCGTCCCTTGGTCACCCACATATATTTCAGAAACAGATCTTTTCAGGTTGATCTCCCTCTGCAGAGACGAGCCCACGCACTGGCAGAAGCTGCTGGCTCTGACAAGTCCCTGGAGGCTAGATCCTGCCGCAGAGATTTAGAATTTCTGAGGACAATTCATAAAGTCACCACTGAATTCTCAGGGAGCAAGTGTCTGCAAAAGCCAGAAGTACCTAAAGAAAAAAAATAGAGAGAGGAGGATAGAGCCTGCAGGCAAGAGGGCAATGCCTTAAACAATACGTGTTATGGTTAATTTGGGGAAGAGCCTTAACAAAGGATAGGGCAGGAACACAGATGGAAGAAAAGCCACTAGATTCTCGCCGGAAAGGCTTGCTTTTTGATAATTCAGGAGGGTGTAGACAAGAAATGACTGTTGATGAGCACTTCATTTTAAAGTTTTGAGATCCTACCCCCCTTGAAGGAAGCTGTTGATGATAAGCCAGATGTTCCCAGGGGTATCTCACTGTTTTATAAAAATAGATAGCTTTCTGCAGTCAGGACGCTCCACTGGGAAACACAGCAGAGCATCCATCCACTCATTCTTTTTACACTCATCTGTCCTGCATAAGAGACCACGCTAGTTCTAGAAAGAGTACAAAAAACAGAAATAAGTTCATCAGAGGAGAGACTTTTTCTCCTGGCCTTGAGCTTGGAAAGGAATTTGTAATCAGTGTCCAAATATAATACAAAGGGCACTGAAGAACCTAATGAGCAACCTCCTCAGCCCCAGATGTATCCTCAGTGCAGAGCTTTCTCCACCTGCAGCTTTGCACAGGCCAAAGCTTTGAGCATCAGCACAGGCCTGCAAAGGCTCTTCGGAACATTGGGGGCAGGGATGGGATATGTTGCTTTCTGATGATTTAGACTAACCCAGGATAAAAGTTGAAAAATGTATGCCTACCATACCACTGCATCCCCTCTCAAACATTATAAACAGGGTAAGATAAAGTAATTCCTGTCTTCAAAAACCTTTAAAACCAACAGCTCTTGTTTTTACCGCACCACGCCACTCCGCCCCCAGTGCTCACACCCCTCTCCCTTCAGCCCATACTACATAAAACAGGGCCAAGCCTGCGACCCTCAGGGCTGAGGCTGAAGGGAGGGACAGTGCCTTCCTGGAAATCCCTCATAGTTGTTTTTTCTGTTCCCTATGGATGATGCTTGTGACCTTTCTGGTGCTGTTCACAAGTGCTAGGAAAAAGTGACTAATACTTAGCTCCCCACCATGCAGGAACAGCCAGTGTCAATGTCACACACACAAATGAAAGCTTCTCTAAGCAAAGGCCACCACTACCTAAATCACATTTGTGGAATCCCATCAATAAGCAATGCAGCTTTTTCCCAAGATGCATTTATTAGCAGAACACCTAGAGGAACCGGGGTATGTAGGTGGGCCTGGGAGAAGCCATATATTTCCTCTGTGTACTGCAAGTTGGCATGAGCAGCTGGGCAGGAGTGCCCGGGATCTACAACAGAAGTCCGTGCTGAACAAACTCCCACCCAAGTGCCTCTAGGCTTCTACAGCAGGCGTGAACGCCAGCCCAGCTGGTCCAAATCCTCTCTTGCTGCTAAGCAGTATCTACTACCTCTGTTAGCCTCATCTACAAAAATAAATAAACCTCCCAGGAAATTCTCTCTAATCCTCAATGTCAGGCTAAAATTCAGGTGGTATCCATAGCTCCGAAGGCTTTGTTAAGCTCAGGGTCACTGACCTGTAGGTCAAGCAGGCACCTTAGGCCAAAATATTTTGGGGCAACATAGCTATGACCAGAAGGCCACAGATCCATGTCCAGCTTGGGAGGGGACAACAGCTCACAGAAAAGGCAAGCCCAAGTGGCGAGGTCAGCAAGAGGGCAGAGGAGGGGAGTCGCGCTGGCCTGGACCCTTCAACCACATTTCCTGCTCAGCCACAAACAGCTGAACTTCCAGAAACAAGGCAGGCAGTGAGTTCAAAGACCTCCTGTTTAAGGAGGCCAAAAGCCTGGGAACTGAAGCGGAGGCCAAAGTCCAAAGTAGCCAGGAGACAGCAGGCCGGGGTCAGAGGACAGAGTGGCGCCCAGAGGGGCTGCCTTCCCACTCACCACTGCCCACCCTCCCCGGACACTCTGTACACCCACCATGTCCCCACTTTGCTGTACCATGAGCACAGCCAGCACATGCTGACACCCCATGTTTCCCTCAGGTTCTAAATCCCAAAGCCTGGATTTCAGCAGGTCTTCTGTTCTTCTGGTCACCCTGAGCTTGCACAGCTACCTGGACTTCCCCTCCACACTCCTGCCCCGCCGGTTCCTCCTACCACTCCCTGCCTCCACTCAGCCCAATGCCTGACTTGCCAGCTGCTGCGGCAAACATAATGACACTTCCCTCCTGGGAACACTTTCTCCTCGGCTCTCTGTCAACATCTCCGTTGAGTTCTGATGTCTCCCATCAATCTAGCTTCTCCTCCCATCTAAAGGGAGGTGTCTCCCCCATGCCCTACACTAAGCACACTCATCCCCTAAGAGAGTCATGAGCAAGGGCCAAATCTAAGTTTCTGCCCCAGGCAGGACTCCAGTCCCTAAGTCCAAACGTCCTCTAAAAACATCGCACACTCCCTGTGTCTGAAAGCAGACTTGGCAGTTTATATCTCCCAATGGGTTCTTTCTCAGGCAACCCCTTTTCACCAGAGGCACCACCATTCTCCAGAAGCCTGGCTCAAACCCTCCTTCCTCTACCCCACAGCTCCCTGGCCACCCAGCCCCTTGACATTTCCTTCATATTCTCTGCCTCCCCCAATCATTTTTATTCCTTAAGCCTCCCTCTACACTGTCCTGTTGCTTCACGGCCTCCTACCACATCACGGCCTCCTACCAGGCCTCCCTTCAGGCCCTTCCACTCCCAAAGTTCTGGGCAAACCCAGCTCAAATAGCCTTTCTTTCAACACTGCCATCTGCCAGTGTGTCACCTGCTTGTGAACTTACAGTGGTTCCCACTGCCTATTGACTCAAGTCATACAATACTAGACAGGCCTGTTGGAGGAACAACAGCCATAGTTGTCACACAATCTAAATGTTTGCTGAGATGGAAGAAGAGAGTGAAGTCGCCACACGGCAGGATGGCATTTCAATGGGGAGAGGAAAAGTTGTTTAACAAACCAGTATCAGAACAACCAACTATATATTTAGAAAAATAACGTAGTTAGTTTCTATCACACAATGTATACAACACAAATTCCAGAAAGATTAAAGATCGAAATCTTTTTTAAAAACAACCTATGAAAGTGCTATTAAAAATACAAGTATATTGAAAATATAAGTATAAAATATGGGAGTTTGTTCAGCCCAGACATGTGTTGTAGATCCCGGGCACTCTCCTGCCCAGCTGTTCATGCCAACTTGCAGTATACATAAGGAATAACCTTCTTAAGAGATAAGTTTAGAATCTAGAGGGAAAAAAAAAAAAAGACTGATAGATTTGGCCAAATGTGCATGTTTATTGCCAGGATGATAAAGACATCATAGGCAAACTTAAAACATAAGAAAAAGGCTGATGAAAAAATTTGCAACACATAGATCAGGTAAGAGATTACTGTTGAAAATATGTAACAAGTTCCTAAAAACCAGGAAAACAACAACAACAACAAAACAGAATAATGTACTGAGAACATAAACAGGCAACTTCCAGGAAAACAAATACAAATGGTCAATATTTTAAAAGGATATTAAATGACATTAATAATCAGGGAAAGTGACATTAAAACGAGATGTTTTTTCATAACAAAAATTTAAAGTCTGAGTGAGAGAAGATAGAGACAGAAGCAATGCAGGGGAGTGTCAACTGGTAAACATGTCTGAAGTGCAATTTGCCAACATGTATCAAAATTCAAATCTGAGTGCCTTTGGACCCAGCAGTTCCTCCATTAGTGTCTCTTCTAAAGAAACACTTGTGTACAAGGAGCCACGTGAATGGATCTCCAGTGCAATGCCACCAGTGGGAGTCCGGCATGTCCTAGCAGCAGCTGAAAATACCATGTAGTGGGTGAGGTAGGAGATGAGCCTGGAAAGGTATGAAGGCTGGGAGGCCAAGGGAAGGCATTTGCATTTCATTCTAAGTAGGATGAGAAGACACCAGAAAGTCCTGAGCAAGGGAGCACCATGATATTTTTCCTGTTTGTAAAAGGTGGTTCTGGCTGCTACATGGGGACCAGTCTGTCCAGAGGCAAGGGTGGAAGCAAGACGGCAGAAGGATTCCGCAGTGGGTTGGAAGCAAGACAACTATGGCTTAGATTTGTAGGGTGGCAGAGGATGTGGAGGGCAATGGATGTCATTGTTAGAGGTTTTGAGGGCATAGGAGGTGGTGGGACTTGCAAGGTGGCTTAGAAGTAGGAGAGTGAGGTGAGAGAACAATCTTTAAATTCGGCCTCAATGGTTAGGATGATTGGCGGTGCCATTCCCAGGGCATAGAACTCTGTCGACTGTCATAAAAATGATTCTCCAGCGAGGTAAGAATCACTGAGGGTGCGGAATGGGGGTTGGAGGGTAGCATCTCCTATTTATTGGTTTGAGAGTGAAAATAAAACTTCAGACTTTCTGCCTTTTCTTTCTTGCTTTCTGGATCAGACACTATATTGCCAACTGTCTATGTTCTCTTTGGATTTAAACAGCAGTTTCTGAAAGGAAGGTAGGCAGTCTTGCTCCTGACTCAGGAGGGGCCCTCACTTTGGAAGCCAGAGAGCACCCTTCATCCTCCCTCCACCCCCCATGTCCCATGCCCTTCCCCAGCTCTCTGCTCTCCTGGAGTGAGGAAAAGAGAGAGGTGGCCTCAGGGAGCCAAGTCCAGGGGCCAGGATGAGGAGCTTTACATTGTAATCCTCCATGGACTGGGAAGCCTCGGAGTCAGAAGGATGGGTTTCATTTGAAGGACCCTGGGGCTAGTATGCAGAAAGCACACTTCACAGGTCAGAATGGATGCAGGCTGGGTGATAAAGTGTTCTAACCTAGCCCATGGTGATGGGTGCACAACACTGTGAATGCACTAATGCCACTGAATCACACTTTAAAGTGGTGACTTTTATATTATGCATCTTTTACCACAATTTTTAAAAAAGCATAATAGACATAAGAAGACCAATCAGGGCCAGTGTACCTCCAGGTGATGGTGGTGGCCTTTCTAGAAGCATGATGGTGATAATGGAGGCGATTGTAATAGTAATAAAAGCTGTCATATTTGGGATGTGTTTTGGAGGCTAAAACAACAGGACTGCAGATGAATTAGAAGTAAAAAGTACTCTTTTTTTGGCCTGAGCAACCACATGGATAGACAGTGCCAGCAGGCAGTCATGAAAGTGTTTGAGAGAGGAGGAACTGATACGAAGGGCAAACTTACAGTAAGTAAGAATGACACAAGAAAACAGTCCCTAAAAATGTACTACCAGCCAAAAGTCATGCTACTACCACACGGGCACATAAGCATGCAGGTGTCCTGTCCTTCTGAATCTGGGAAAAGGAATGGTTAGAGTTGTGTGTAAAACCAAGTCTCTCAGGCCGGGTGTGGTGGCTCAGCCTGTAATCCTAGCACTTTGGGAAGCCGAGACTGGCAGATCACCTGAGGTCAGGTGTTCAAGACCAGCCTGGCCAACATGGCGAAACCCCGTCTCTACTAAAAATACAGGTGTGGCGGTGGGCGCCTATAACCGGGAGGCTAAGGCAAGAGAATTGCTTGAACCCAGGAGGCGGAGATTGCAGTGAGCCGAGATCATGCCACTGCACTCCAGCTTGAGTGACATAGCAAGACTCTGTCTCGAAAAACAAACAAGTCTCTCCACTAAGGAGAGAAGGCTGCTAGGAGGGGATGCTCACACGCTTCATGTATCTGCACAGCCGCCAATGATGGGGCACAACCTGACTGAATGTCATCTCACTCACACATCCCCAAATCGACTCCTTCCCCAGGTCTCAGAGTCAAGCAGACTCCTACAGAAATCATCAAATAGGGGTAGCCTCGAGATGAGCCACCCCACCTCCTCTGCCCAGTGGTCTCTGGCCAGCTGGTGCCCTCCGGGCAGGTAGAAATAGCCTCCTCTGGTGTGAGGACCAGAATCTGCTCCCTCGAGGCTCAAGTATCTGGGACTCCAGAAGTCCCACCTCTAAGGGTTGCCAAAATCATATAAGCAAGGAAATGAACACCCACAAGAGAACAGAAATGCCCAGACAGCAGACACCCACCTCGGTGAAGAAGCCCGCTATCCCAGCCTGGCAGGAGCCGTGTTCCTCTCCGTACTTCTTCTTATACTCTAGGGGGAAGGAAGGAGAGAGAAGCAAACCACAGCCATGTCAGTGTATGCCAGCTGTGCGTGGAGCCAGCAGAGCCAGCCAGCCACTTCCCACGAGTGCCGCGGCAGGCTGGGCCCAGGGATGCCATCCAGACTGGGGTGAGGAAGGAAAGTCTCAGGAATCCACCAGACCTCAAAAATCCAGGCTCTGGTGCCATCGGGAAGGGAGGCTGCCCAGTGCCCCAGCAGACTTCCTCCCCTCGTGTGCGAGAAAGAGGAGCAATAGCCACAGTCATTAAGTGGGAGGCTAGTGACAATTATTTCATTTACTCCAGAAGGGACAGAGATCCCTTGCAGGCCCAAGGAGCTGAAAACGTGACCCAGAAATGGAATGATGTGGCCATCCCAGTGTGGAGTCTCCTGGAAGAAGACCAATCTTCCCTAAAAGAGGCTTTGGATGCCTCCTACCATCCAAAAAGAAACAAGCCGTCCACAGAGGACCGCAAGAAGAAGGGACTGCTCTGGCATTCGGTTACACTATTGCTGTGTGGAAGGAAAGGGGGAAGATCTCTCCAGGTGGAAAGAAAACTAACAGATAAGCTTTTCTCCTCCACCCCCTCAGCTCACAACACTGCTACCCAACAAATGGGGGCGTTCTGCTGCTGCAGTTATAATTTTAAGCTGGCAAGGAAGAGGGGTAGGAAACTTTTGACAAGTGCTTAGCATTTTCCAGGCATTGTGTTAGCTGTCTCCAGGCATATCATTTCACCGGTCCCTCATCCCTGGGAACCCATATCCCCACTTGTTAACAGGTAAGAATATTGAGGCTCAGAGAGGTTAAGTGAATTGTCTAAGGTCACACAGCTCTAGTAAATGGCAATGCCAGGATTCTACCTCAGCTTGGACTTAGAAACCCATTCCTTCACTTCTGTAGACCATCAAAGGTTCTGCAAAGTGAGTGACTAAAAATACCCAGGAAAGTGACTGGATGTTGGAAATCATTTCATGGGTAAAGTCAAGGAGGTGGAGAGATGTTCACAGTGACTCAAATTAATCACATGTGAGGCTGACATTGCTGGAGACCTTCCACAGACCACTCCTGGGCACCCTCAGGCTGGGGCTACCCCAGTGACCCTGTACCACCCCCTGGGCTCCTGGCAAGTCTCTGGTACCATTAAAAGCAATATCATTATTTTTGAAATGCAAAATACAAAGGAACAATGAAACTATGATTGCAACACAGTGCCACTTCCTGCCGTTCTGAGTGTCTACTCCAGGCAAGGGGAAAAAGGGCCCTGGGGAAATATACAGAGTAATTCAGTTTCTAACAACACTCACCACAGAGCCTAGTAACATTTTCCAGTAAGTGGCCATTAACTGACTGCTAAATGACAAAGAATGTCAATTGAGTTACTCCTCTTCCATGCAGGATAAAATCAGTTCTCCCGCCTTGTCCGGTTATTATAAGGACAACTGCTAGACCTGCCAGAAAGCAGTCCAGTGACAAAAGGAACTTGTTTGTTCCCTGCAGAATCTTGCACCAGGGCTGCGAGTGAGACTAGTGCAAAGCAATGAACAAATCCTGCATCAAATTTCATAATAGCAAGAAATAATACAAATTAATAATAAATCCTGCATCAAATAGCACAACGGCAAAAAGGATCAAAATGTCTCAACCTAAACAAACAGTTACATATTAAATGTGAAAAGTCTGGCAAAAAGCATATCCATCCCACTGACTCTAGAGACTAAACACCCAATTGTAACTCTTGAAAAAATGAAACATAAAAAGGAAATTCAGACCCCATGAGCTGAATGAAACTATAGTGCAAGACACACCACCAGTTCAGCCTCATAAATTTCTGACATGAATAGGAATTGTGTGGGACTCTTTCATCTTTTAAAGCAGTCTCAAGGTCTCTTTATGACAAGGTCTCCAAAAAATGGGAGATTTGAGAACTTCAGTGCCTCCTCCCCAAACTGTACTTGGTGTGGTCTATGTTGGGAGCAGGACCTCGGGTTTCCGAGGTGGTGACAGCCTCACTGGGAGCTAAGAATACCCCACTTCTGGCCCAGGCTGAAGGCCAGCAAGGGGAAGCCCTTAAAGGCACCCCTGTTTCAGGCAGCATGAAGCACTGTTTTCAGGCCAGCCTCCGCCTTCCCAAGCTGGGACTGCCCCACCAGAGGTCTGAGGGCCTGGGACACACATGGAAGTCGGTACCATCACTGACTTTCATGTTTCTGAAACCCAAAGTCTAAGCTGCCTTCTCAGGATGCTCTAGGGCAAGGAATCAAACAATGGGGGCCCCTGACTGGCTCCTATAATCAAATCTAGATCAGAGAGCAGGCCATGTCCCAGCCTCCCAGAAACTTCTGTGACTGTCATTAATCCCTTCAAGGTAGAGTAGAATCCAGTTCTAATCCTTCTACCACCTATCCGATCCCTGCCACACACACTTTGGGGGCAGTTGTGGGGCCTGGCAACTCTAGTCTAGGAAAGTTAGTGGGTGTTATTGGATTAGACAGTTTCACATTCCACACCTTCCACAGCCTAGGCCACAAGCATGCTTTCCATTGTTTTCACTCCTTTGAATGCTATTTCTGTGAGTTAAGGGCACTACTATTATTTTAACCTGATTCCTTCATATATATGTCAAGAGGGCAGGTTTAGGTTTCTCCCTAATCCATCTTCTAAATGTTCATGTACGAGCCTTTCTTCCCCAAAGAGTATGTACATAGGGTTATTCTACCATACTCGTATCTAAAAAACTTAAAAATACAACTTGATTTTGCTTGTCTAGACCTGAGATGGCAGGACAGCCTATATCACAAAGCTATGGGAAGTGAGGTAGGCGCAGAGAGAGGCAAGGGGCTGCCCCACAAACAACATCCCCAACAAGCCTGGGTCACACACCCTCCCTCCATTGACAAGTCCAGGAAGTGCAGGGTGGAGGGACCTGGGAAGGGGTGGGGGTGACCTCCAGTCTCCTGTGTTCCCAGGAAGAACTTTTCCTGCACAAACACAAAGGCCGTGGGGCCCAGCAGTTGGCTGCTCCTGGGCATGTCTACTTGGTCTCCAAATGCCCCCAGGGACATGGCCCTGCAGAGAGGACTACAATAGCTAGTGCCCTCTCCACTACTGAACAAAACATTTATCCACCTCAAAGAAGCAGGGGAAAAGCAGGCTTTGCCTGACAGCAGCTCACAGGCACTGTAACAAACCTAACCCTTACATTTGGGGAAGCTGGCCAGCACGGTGGCTGACACCTGTAATCCCAGCACTTTGGGAGGCCGAGGCAGGCAGATCACTTGAGTCCAGGAGTTGAAAATCAGCCTGGGGAACAAAGTGAGACCCCCATCTCTACAAAAATACAAAAATTAGCTGGATGCGGTGGTGCACACCTGTAGTCCCAGCTACTCAGGAGGCTGAGGTGGGAGGATGGCTTGAGTCTGGGAGGCAGAGGTTGCAGTGAGCCACGATCATGCCGCTGCACTCCAGCCTGGGCAACAGAGCCAGATTCGGTCTCAAAAAAAAAAAAAAAAAAAGCGGGGGGGAAGCCAAATCTGAGACCCAAAAGATAGGGTTGAACAAGGGGACTTAGAAGTCACTTAGAGGAGCTGGAACCAGGTTGTGGAACTCTTCCTGCCATGGGTGGGTTTGAATTACTTGGCCTGCATTACATGCTTTAATTCATTAAGTCGTATGGCTCCTCCATTCTAAAAATGGGAGTATTTTCCTTGGTTTAGCTGCTGGTTTTATTAAGCCCTGTCTAAACAGAAGGCAATTCAGAGAGGAAAAAAAATACTGGTTTCCAAATGTTCACAATCCGCAACTCAATGCATGGAGCCTACATTAATGAATGTAATTCAAGCAGACCACCAATCGGGTGGGGTCACTTCCTGTACCCTTTCCAAAAGACCAGGATAAAACCATTCCACAGAAAGATCAAGATTCACATACAGCATAACATATATTCTTCCTAATAATCTCCCTTCATATTACCCATTTGAGAAAGTTCTGTCTTTCAAAGCTTTTTAACACATCAATTTTACAATTATTTTTCTGTAGTTCCTTAGCTTAGCTCTGAAATAAAATACTGGGGGAAAAATAGCTTGCCAGTCTTTATTCTGAATTTCACCAAGGAGTTGTTATAGCGAATTCCAAGTTTCTCTTCAAAGAATCAGTATGTCAATATGTTCAGCTCTCTTATTCTTTGATTTTCCATTTTAAAGTTTAACTTCCTGGTTCTCTTTGGCCCCCTTGCCTCTAGTTTCAGTAAACAACTTTCCCGCCAGTTCTAATCAGTAGTTCAGATCTGTTCCCCTGGTCACCTGCTTTAACCTAAGTCACCCTGGTTACCTGCTCCATCTTGAGTCACCCCTGGTCACTTGCTCTGACCCAAATCATCCTGAGTCACCTGTTCTGTAACCACCCTTCCCACCAAACTACTCACCCCGCCACTCAGGATCGTAGTCTGCTCTCTTTAAAACAGCCAGTTGGAATTAGCTCAGACTATGCAGTTGAACCCCAGGAAATAGGGGAACGACACAGCAGTAGGGGCTACCTGCAACAGGAATAAGAACCCCTGCCCCTCCCCTGTCCAGGTGTGCTCTCACCATTACTCCATCCACAAGTCGCACGCTTCAGTAGAAGTAAAAATTGCCTTGCTGAGAAAATTAAATTTATGTTCAAGTGCTATTTCATTGTGGCACTGAGGAACAAGCATTTTGTTTCTAACAGAGTGGCAAATCTAAATAACTGATAATTGTACAATACAGGAAACAATGCATTTGGGCAGACACAGCTCTAGTAAAAAAAAAAAAAAAAAAGGGCAATTATACAGAAAAATGAAGAGAGAATAAAACTACCCTCAGTTTACAAGGGACCACCATATAAATGGGGGAAAAAATGTAAATAAATTAAACAGCTAGGTTAAAGAGGAAGCGAGAACATTTTATGAAAATAACTGATGACTAAGCTATGGTGTGCATGAAACACAAAGTGCATAAAGCCAGAAACTTAGAATTAAATGAAAGAAAGATTTTAAAAGGGGAAAAGATCTTTAGGGAATGCCTAATAACTCTAACTCTGTCCATTTATTTACAAATGGAATATTTTTGCTCAGAAAGAGCAAGTGGTTTGTTTAAAGCTACACTGCTGATTAGCCTCAGCATCAGGACCCAAGAGCAAGGCTCCCAACTTCTGATCTGCTTCTGCCACTCCCTTATGCTTCACAAAGCACATTTCCAGTGAAAACATTCTTATCATCCAAAGAAAATGTTTTATAAACAGATGAATAGATAAATGTGGGGCACACACATACAATGGAATATTATTAAATATTCCTTCCTTTAAAAAGGAAGAAAATTCTGACAGATGCTACAATATGGATACACCTTGAGGACATTATGCTAAGTGAAACAAGCCAGTCACAAAAGGGCACATACTGTATGATTCAACTTACATGAGGTGTCTAGAGTATCCAAATTCAGAGACAAAGTAGAATGGCAGTTGCCAGGGACTAGGGGAAGCAGGGAATGAGGAGTTCATGTTTAATGGGTACAGAGCTTTAGTTTGGGATGATGCAAAAGTTCTGGGGATGGATGGTGGTGATAATGGCATGGCAGTGTGAATGTACATAATGCTACAGAACTGTACACTTAAAAATGGTTAAAATGGTAATTTTTATGTTATTTATTTTTTACAATATTTTTTTTTTTTTTGAGACAGAGTCTCATTCTGTCACCCAGACTGGAGTGCAGTGATGCAATCCTGGCTCACCACAACCGCCGCCTCCCAGGTTCCAGTGATTCTCGTGCCTCACCCTCCCAAGTAGCTGGGATTACAGATGCACCCCACCATGCCCAGGTAATTTTTGTATTTTTTAGTAGAGGCAGGGTTTCACCATGTTGGTCAGGCTGGTCTCGAACTCCTGACTTCAGGTGATCTGCCAGTCTCAGCCTCCCAAAGTGCTGGGATTACAGGTATGAGCCACCACGCCTGGCCAATAATTTTTTAATATTACCAAAAAAGGAGTTTTGTAATCTTTAAAGCGTTCCCTTTACCTAGAACTTAGCAACCCATTTTGCCAACTCCCTACTTCAGCAGCAAGTAATAATACAGGCACATAATAATGTATATATAGACATGCAACTTACTATGCATTATGTCATGCTCTACTCTCAGAAAAAAAAAAGTGACCCTGAACATGGGACAGTCACATTTCAGTGAGAACCCCAGCTCAGAACTGAGCAGAATTCAATTTTGGGACCAAAGCTAAAAGACTCATGAAATAGGGAGCTGCAGTGGCTCAGGCCTGTTGTCCTGGCGCATAAGAAGGCGAGGCTAGACGTTCGAGGCCAGCCTGGGCAACACGGAAACCTCTGATCTATATAACCAAAAAATAAAAATAAAAAGACTCATGAAATAACTGGCACCAAAGCATGGACAGACAAACTGCTGTGCAGATACTGAAACCAAATGTTCCCAGTAAGCAGCCACTCCAGACTAGAGCAGATTGGTCTCCTGGCTACATTTTATCAGTCTGAGGACCCACGTCTGCCCTCTGTACCTACTGGGACTTGTCTACAGAGTGTATCTATAATTGCAAAACTGAAACATAGCTTAACAAGTCTATAGTGTAGTGTCCCAAAAATTCATAAAATTATGCCATTGAAAAAAAATATGACTTTTTTTTCTGTGATAGGCCACAGCACTCAGTAATCACCAAGAAAACCAGGATCCCAACAGAACAGGTAGCTACAAAGAAACCTACTACACACTTAAAAGCCGTCAACCCCTCCTCTGACTAATAAGCCTGTGACCTTCATCAAGCTCCCTGGGCCTCAGTTTTCTCATCTGTATAACAAGGATAAGAATACTTATCTGAGAATGATGTGATTACTCAGTAAGATCAAAAATGTTAAGTACCTAGCACAACCCCTGGCACCAGGTAGGTGCTCAATAAATATTAGGTGAATCTGAATCTGTGAATTTTTCTGAGAGAAACAAAAGATGCAGTTTAGGTAGTCTATAATTCCACGTAATACATGGAAACACGTTTGAAGTATAGGAGACAGGTTTGCCCAAGATTAAAATTCTTGGCTCCAAGGAAACCTGGAAAGCCCCAGAGAGGCCCTGCTGGAGACCTCTGGCCTCCTCCTTACAGCCATGGCTGTCCTCTGGGGCCTCCCTCCCTTCCTCCCCCTCAGAATCCCTCTCTGTTTAACTGGCCATAATGTACAACTGCATCCTCTTCTCTTTAATTTGCTCTATTTATTTAAATAAGATATGTTTATTAAAGCTCCTTGGAAACCATAAAATCCTATGTAAATGTAGAGGTCTTTATTTAATAAAAATTTATGAGGCTTGTTCTTGAATTTTTAAATGGATCAACTTAGCCTTTTATGGTTCTCTCCAAAACAAAAACAAAACAAAAATACAACAAAACCCCAATTCCTTTTCATTTGTAAATGGACCTTCGTTGATTTTTATCCCTTGTGGAGACCACTTTTAACATTAAAGGGGAAAAAAATCTTCACCTTTGAATGGGTAATCTATTTCCTTCCCTGGAAATGATCACTGTCCTAGGAAATGCAAACACACACTAGAAATAAAAGCCAGTCATTCCCTGATAATAGAGTGGTACAGAAATCTTTGGAATCCATAGGAAGTTTTTCCATCACAATTTTAAAGCACAGTAAAATTCAGACTTCAACAATCCCAAATTTAAGAACATTTAAACATGGCATGAGTTAAAGTTTTAGGTCATCTACAAAAAGAGGGAAGGAACACTTACCAACCAAATTGTGCCAATATGATCTTCAACAGTATTTGAGAAATTATAACTTGCCAAGGGCTCTTAAAATCATTTTAGGAATATCCAGCTTTCTACCCTTCATTATCTAGTCACTAAAACAGGATATGTTAGACACCTTCTGAGAATATTTAAGAATACTATTATGTTGCTTGAAAATTAATTAGAAAATTTACATTTTCTAATTGAAGGCAATGAGCAGCATTCACTCTCGACTGAGCACTGTGGTAGGCACTTTATACCTCACATACCTCTTAAGTAGATCTTAATCTCCCCATTTTATAGATGAGGGCACCAGGCTCATGGAGCTTGCCTAAGGTCACTAAGTCAGAAAGTAGGAGCATATAGGTTTAATCATAGCAATAAGTGAGTAGTAAAGCCAGATTCCACAATTTAGGTCTAACATACCATGGCATCATAATTACCTCTTGCATTTCTTTCTCAGAGTTTAATCTTGAACAGGCTTTGTTAATTTGCCATGCTGCTCCCAAACTATTCCACACTCATCAGGTTTTTCGGTCACAATAAAAAGACAACTTGTTTGCAGTCTCACTCCTGCTAAGTTCCGGCTTCTTGCCTCAGTGGTCTCAAGGGCAAAGGATGAAAGAAATCTCTGTACTTGATTTTATCACATGCATTGACTTAACATTTCGGAGTCCTAAAATATCATAGCTTGGTTAATAGTAATTAATGTTTTATAGTGCTTGCCCTTTAATTTACAAGTAGTTTTCCCTATACATCGTCCCACCAAAGCTCTCGTTTTCTCACACATTCTGATAAAACCAAAGAACATATGGTAGGTAATGATGTTCTCACATCAGACAAACACAAACTAAACTGACTGAAGGATATGCTCCATGAGTTTATGTCCTAAATTCATTTTTATTTCCCATTTCCTCTGTTTTTCCTGGTTCCAACAGGATATTCTGGTAGCTTTTCCCATCCAACCAGAAACAGGAAGCACCTGAGAAGCCATGTCCTAGTGCCAAACCAGAGACCAATTTTTTAAGAATTCAAAAGCTTGAGACATTTTGGAGAGATCCCCACATATTTAGAGTCTCTGCAACCAAACCGACCTTCCAATGTTGTAAAGGAGCACAGCTGGCCCATATGGAGACTTACCATGAGGCCACAGTTATAGAACAATGGGTGGCCTTGCTGAGCACTTTCACCTGAGTTTTCTCGGGAGCTCCTCACCATAACCCAAAGCGGTAAATGCAGTGGAGGCATCACAGCATCGACTCCCACTGAGAGGCCAAGTGACAGGCCTGAGGCTAAAGGGGCAGAAGTGCAGCAGAGCCGTCCTCAACCCACAGCCCCTCCCACGGTCTTTCCACCATCCCACAAGAAGTGGGTTTAGAGGCAGCCGTCCCCCTCCTCCCTTGCCCTGTTCCCACCACCATGACCAGTCTCGAATTTCCACCATCCCTCTCTTCCATAGTCTCAACAGCCTGCAGACTTTAAGTGGGTTTCAGTTTTTCCAATTGTAAAATGAAATAATGCCACCTTGCACTTGGATGCAGCTCAAGCCCTTGGGGACGGGCTCCAGCAGTACACACTGGCAGGAAATTCTCTCTCCACACGGCCCTCCCACTTTTAAAACACCCTGTCCCCTCTCTGTTTTCCCCTGTAGATGGGGAGCTTCTTGGTAGCTGGAACTGTGTCACTTGGGTTTTGTCTATCTGGCAACTAACAAGTACTTAAGATTAAGTGGATTCTATTCCCGGTACACAAGTCAGTCACCCTATGATGATTAACAAACACTTGCTCAGAATACAGTATGTTGTACATGGCATATTAGTATATATATGCTTAGCATATATTAGCAAGTATATGCCAGACACTGTTCTAAGGACTTAGAAGCATTAACTCAGTCCTCTTCATAGACCCTTGAGGTTGGTTAGGCACAGAGAACTTAAATAACCCATCTGAGATTACACTGTTAATAAGAGGAAGTAGCAGAGCCGGGACTTGAACTCCGGCAGTCTGTGTCCAGAATCTGTGCATTGGCCACCAAGCTACTCTGCCTCTCCATTGTGTGGCATGTGAATAACAGATTAGAAAGAAAAACTCAGGCCATCACCTCTCTGGACCTCATGAAAGACAGGAGGCTGTTCTAGGTGGTATCTGAAAGGTCCTGTCAAACTCTAAAATCTTCCCATTGTCTTTAACCATAATGTGACCCCTAACGTGGAACAGAGAACTTGCATTACTGAGTTTCTCCACATTGAGGAAATAATGGTGGCCTTAAAAGCCATAGTAGGTCTAGTTTAAACCACAAAACAGGGAGGTGGAGATGCCTAAAGCCAACAGAGCACAGACAAGAGCCCTCTCACTACGGCCGGCATCCTCCCAGCCCCACCCGTCCAGTCCAGTCTTCTAGAAAAATACTCAGCATCTTCTACCCCTCTCCTCTTACAGGGCCAAGAACTACAGAAACTTTCAATTTAGTCCCCCATTTTTCTAAGGGGCTGCTCTTACACCCCAATACTCCACATGCCAGCCCCATCCATCCCTTATTTCCCACCCTGGGCCAATGAATGGGTTAGCATATAAAAGTGTGTGTGCGCCCATGGGAAGGAAGATTGGGCAGGGGCATAATCATTTTGCTAATTTCTTCACCAGTTCCATTTAACCATCATTAAGTCCATTGTATTTTTGGGATAGTTCAGTCACCCTTTCTTGCTTTGTGAGGGTTGTTGACTGGCTTTTACTTCTCATTTAAATTAGAAACCCTAAAAAACAAACTAACAGAAATTACCATTAATTACCAGGACACAAAATGGTTTGCTGAGTCAGACAGAGGCCAGCTTCAAAATCCTGCTCCACCATTTATTGTTTGAGTGACCTGGGGCAATTCACATACACTCTGAGTCTCCACTTACTCCTGTCACAGGAGAATGACAACACAGAAGCTGGCCTTTGGGCATCCCACCTGTCTCCCCCCAGCTCCTACCACCGTTCCTATGATGTGGCCTGACTGCCACCTGCCAGCACCTCTGTCCTGGAGGCTTTCCCAGCCCACACACATGGCAGGACAGGATGCCAGGTGGAGGAAGCCCCTTCCCCTCAGCCCTCAGGCAGGAGGACTCTAGATGTGTGCTCCACACTGGCCCCAGCACCCACCCCAGAGACTGCACCCACTCGCCCAGGTAACGTGCTGAGGAGTACATCTTCCATGGGCTGCCTTCCCTTCCCATTCTTACTTCCCCCTGCCTCACTGGTGTCTTCTAGAACAATTTCCAAAATAAAATACCTGTAATCAGACCCAAGAAAAAAAAGAAACAAACATTTTTCACAGCTTCTGGGAAGATTAGATGAGAGAATGTGTAAAGACCTCAGATCAACACTGGCCTACTGATGATCCACAGCTACTTAATAGAAAGTAATGCAGAATTATGAGCCTCGTGGACCTGCGTACACATGGACATTGAACTCCACCTCCCTCTTCAGAGGGCTGTCCTTGTGCTTGTGGTATATATAGAGGAATCATCAGGGACCATCATGTGTCCCTGTCACAACATGTCATCTTCTGGGAAAACCAAAGTACTGGTCCTATGCATAACTAGTATGGTTCAACAATCACTGCCTCCATCACCCTGCTGAGCCCATCGCTCCTTCTCAGCCTGAAGAGCTGCCCCACCGGTTGTTCCAGAGGCTTTTCCTTTTTCTTCCTTAGGAAAAAGGAGGAGTAAACTGGGGCAGTGGAAACCCAGGCTTGACACATGCTTTGCGTTTCTGAAACCAACGATCCCTCCACTCTTGATTGATTATATCATCCTCTATTTTTAAGATGAAGTTTGTTCTTCTTCTGTTTGGGACAATACAGATATAAACAGGGCCAGAGTTTCATTTCCCTACATGGCCCAGCCAGAGCTGATCAAATGCTGATACAGAGGAGAAAGAAAAACCAAAGGAAGGCTCACTCTATAGGGGAGAGGGTTTGTGCCTCCTGCAGAGATCTTGCTGGCTCTTCTGTGGGGGACGTTTCCCAGAGCACCCTACCTGTGTCACCTCAGTACCCAGAAGGGTCCCAGTGTCCATATAGTGTTTCTCATGAATCCTTTTTAGTGTCCACAAAATTTGAAACCTAGGAAAACCCAGGGAGGCCCAAAGGCAATGTGGACATAAGCCAGTGAGACTTCTGTCCAAATAAAGTAGGAGGGGAATTAAGAAATAAATAGTCCAGCACTTACAGAAGGAGCAGGTTCCAGCTTACCCAAAATTAGGCTGAGAAAACTTGAAACTACGAGCTATCAAACTGAAGAAAATAACCGTGTTTTCTGAACGCTTAAAGCTCAGATTCGACTGGGCTAAATAGTGACTGACTCAATCACTATTAGTGACTGTCCTCGATGCCCAGGCATTTGAAGGTTCTAAGTCTGAGAGGATACATTTTCCTTCCAAGTGCCCCTTGGCGAGGAGCTCTTAAAACCACATTCAGGATGCGCCCAATTCTCCAGCATCTGCCTGGGCTGCAGGACCACATGGGAAGGAAAGTCAGACCTCAAATGTCATGAAATGCTGAAAGTTCAGAGTGTCAGGTTTCTGTCCAGCTGTTGCTTTATGAATCCTGGGTCTCCTCTCCCCCCAGCCTCAGGACATCTGTCCACAGTGCAGCCAGAAGCTGTGTGGGAGCCTAATGACTGACTTGGAGCTGCCTGGGGCTGTAGAGATCATCTGGGCCAACCACTGAATATTCGGACAAGGAAACTGAGGTCCAGAGAGAGAAGGTAAGTTTCCCAAGGCAACACAGCACCTGGCATTACCAGAAAACCAAGGCAGCTGTTAGGTCACTTGGCTGAGGCTTGGTGAATTTCGGTCCCTGAGACTTCATAATGCTTGGTAAGCACCGTGGGCTCTGCAGCCAAGTCAGGTGAGGGTTGGAAAGGCCTGGGACTGCTGCCCCCTCTGTACCTGCCTCTTCTCTGGGCAGGGCCTTGGGGACCAAGAGACCATCTGGGAGCAAACAGTGCTGCCCTATCATGAGCATGTGGAAAGCTGGGGAAATGTTCAGCTGGTGGTGCATAGAGGTGGGAAGGCGGGCTTAGGGCATGAGGTGGGTAGGGGGATGAGGAAAAATCAATCCATGCTCACCTTCATAGCAAGGGATCAGCGTCCTGCCTTTGGCCTGGAGGTTGGAGGGGATGATGTAGCAGAAGCCATGGGGTAGGATGTGGTCGGCTTCATAGTAGATGTTCTTCCAGCGATGAGCACAGGCCTAAAGGGATAGAGAGCAGTTGAGAGCAGGAAAGTTGGCCCCAAAAGATCACAAAGCAGACTCCTGTCAGTGCCAGATGTTTCTTTCTGTGGGAGAAGAGAGGAGCAGAGGGACCAGAAAGCCACACCTTCATAACAGGCACTTTTCTGGGCATCAGAAAACTGCATGAACAGGAACAAGCCACTGGGAGCCTACTAGGAGACAGGAAATAAATATATCAACAAATGAGAATTGTAGCTAGTCCTGAGCATTGGGAAGGAAAGAAACAAGGTTATAGAATAGAGAATCTGGGAGTGGGAAGGATAGTTTCCACCAGAGGTCGGGAAGGCCTGAAGCATGAGGGGAAGAGGGTTCTGGGAGGATTCAAAGGATAGCAGAATGTAAAGGATACATCGTGAGAAAGGCTCAGAGGCTCAAGAGAAAGAAAGGCCGGTCTGGAGTGACCATGGTGGGAAGGAGATAAGATCAAAGAGGCGGCCAAGGTTGGACCACAGGGGGACGTAGGAATGGCTGTGACTTCAGCAGATCTGCAATGGGAAGTGGTGGAGAGTCTTACACAGTTGAGAAGCATGATCCAAGTGACAGTTTGGAAAGACCATTTGGCTGCTTGGTGGAGACTGCAGGAGGGCAAAAGTGCAAATGAACACCAGGTGAGAGATGATGCAGGTCTGGACCAGGAGGGGCAGTGGAGATGGGCGACGGGGGTGGCTTCAGAGCTGACAGGCCCAAGGGACTGAACCGATGTGGAGACAGCAGGGAAGGGAGGAATGGCTGATATTCAACCATGTTTCTACCCACAGAAACACTTCAGCATGCATCTCATTAACTAGAAGTAAATGTGTGTGGAGAGTTGTTTTTTTATGGAAACTTACATACAGCAAAATGCACAAATGAGCTTTGACAAATGTACACACTCATGTCACCAAGGCCCTAGCAAGACACAGAACATCTCCATCTCACCAGAAAGTTCCCTCATGCCAGGGAGTGGCTGGTTTTGCCAGGCAGGTCAAGGAAGGCCTCTCTGAGGAGAAAGCTGAAGGAAGGTTCATGGCCAAGGGTCTTGGGGTGCATGAGAGCTCCGCATACTGGCGAAGAAGATGGACAGATGCATTGGCCAGCTCTCCAGAGGAGCCTCTCAGCACTAGGGTCGAAGCCACGCAAGACACCATGAGGCAGGGCAGCTCTGCTAACAGACACTGGAGCAGTGCCAGCAGCCAGGATGCAGGCCTGGATCGTCCTTCTGCCACACTAAACATGCCCCTGCCTTCTGCTTGGACATGACAGTGGCCCCAGTTCCCGTGCATGTCTCTGCACATCCAGATGTCACTGCTGTGCTGATGAAGAGCCGAGCTGCTTACTCAGAGGCACACACTCTACCCTGCCCAGCCCGTTCCACTTCTCCTGGGCATTCACTACTCACTTCTGATATCAGTTCACTTCACCCCAGCCAGTGAATGCATTTTCTTAAAATATTGCTTTTGAAAATAATCAGTTTTTAACATCTTGGTTTGCCTCCCTCAAACGCATTGTTTTCGTAAGTGATAACATTTAGCGTTCTTATGGCCTACCTCTGACCTCTTCTGCAATCCTGGAAGGTGAGCAGAGGTGTCTTTAGAATTCCCATTTTCTGTACAAGAGCACCATGTATCAAAGAGTGCTTTGCCTAAGTGGCAGAGCTAGTAAGTGCTGCAAACAGCACTGGAATCCAGGAATTCTGAGTCTTCCTTGTTTCACTATGAAGCATTTTCCATCTTAAAACTTCTCATTCCTACCTGAGAGGCCATCAAAACCCACCCCCTGGGGCAGGCCTGGTGACTTTATCCTCTTTACAGCCCCCCTGCCACATGTCCCAGGACATGTGAAATAACCACTCTGGGGTCGAATGGAATGCCCCACGTCACCGAGTGAGTGAGGGGGCTCTTGGGGCCTGGTTCTCCCTGACATCATTCTATGATAAGATCACAGCCTTCTAAGCTCTCTGCTCTTCATCCTTCAAGCCACTGCCACCAAGGCCCTGGACAAGGCCACTCTCTGCCCAATGGCAAAAGAGGACACACTCAGAATGACTCTCAAAACCTGAGCTTGCCCACATTCTGCCTCTTGTCGTATGACATTAAACTACAGAAAACAATCTATTGTTATTTTTTCTGCTGCAAACCACATTCACTCCTCTCCTTGATATTGTTTTGTGCTAAAATAGCAGGTTTCTAAATAGACTGAAATGATATGAGGCAGAGAACTATAAAAAATATATCACTAAGTAAATAATCACTCCATACTGCTAAATAATTGATTTTTAAAGTTCTGACTCAATTCTTATGGCTCGCAAACTTGAATCACTTATTGTTATCTAATTTGTGGGTAAATCAGTTATGTTTTGGTTTTGCTAAGTTTTTGGACTTAGCAAAGCCCTTGGCTTCAAGGGTTGACCATGTTTTATTGTATTTCTGAGTTGGAGGGGCTGTGAAAAGAGGCGGATGTTTATCATGGTGCTGTCTGATAGCCAGCTGCACACTGACACTTATAGGAAGGCTTTGCTGTACTTAATGTCTGGTGTATTGTCTCATTTTTTAAGTGCCATAAACTATTTAAGGGGTGATCTTGGAAAATTCCTAGAAGATCCAAATATTGCATTTCATACTAAACTAAAAGCATTCTGGGAGGTCAGAGATCAAAGTGTCAAAGGAAGGATTCATGTAGGAAAACAATGCAAAGTGTCTCTGAATATAAATTACAGAAAGAGAAGACTGTGTTTAGCCTTGATTATCATTATATATACACACATGTCAATCTGACCACTACATTTTAAAAAAATTCCTAGGGACTGTCTCCAAAGCATTAGTAACTCCATCAATCTCTCCAAATGAGTTCGGCTGTGAGGGAAGAACAGGAGAAGGAGAGCATTCTCTGAAAACAGCAAGACTTGCTCAAACTCAGATTTCAACTAATCATAAGAAAGGGGAAGGAGGGCCTTGTCCCACTCCAAATATTAGAATCTGACACATTTCAAGGTATAAGGATTGCTCTTCCTCCCAAAAGAGGAAAAAGAGAAAGAAAATAAACACTTTATTTCAAAGGCCTTTTTTGTTGTATGGAAACAACACATCCCTCCTAGAGGTGGGTAATGGCACTTTCCGGGTGCTTCGGCCACAAAGGCACATCAGTCCCTGCCAACCCTCCTACATTCGCACCTGCCATAGAGATGGCCAAAGCCTTTGTCATGCATCCAGGTCCACAGTGCACGGCCACAACTGGGCCTGGCTGCTAAGAATGGTGTGTGGTGGGGAGCAGGATCACAGAGAGGCTGAGATGCCATGAGACTCCCCTAAGAAGCTCCCCAACCGAGGAGGAAGTGGCCAGGAGGGGCATTGGGAAGGGGCTGCTGGGGTGTGAAAATGTTATTCTGAGGACGTTCACCTAATGAAAATTTATTGAGGTATACATTGATGATTTATACCTTTTTCTGCATGTGTGTTACAGCTCAATAAAAAGTTCACTTTAAAAAAAATCAGGAAACAGAGCAACAGAAGTAAATGCAAAAATGTACCCTGTGGCTTTGAAAAAAAAAAATGGACAGATGGGAAGCACTGAACAGATAAGGACAGCCCTGATAATTAGAAAGGAAATGACAAAGAGAACCAGAGAATACTGCTTCTGCACAAAAATAATCTAGAAGCTTAAATTATTTGTTGTCTGAGCCTTGGCAAGTCTGATGAAAAGGGGCGACATTAGACTTGAACATTTTGAGTTGTCCTCCAAAGTCTGAGCAGCAGTCAGTGCCTATACAGAGTTTGTTCAGTGGTTATTTCAAGAAGTGATTCCCCTCCCCGCTCATTTCTTAAAATGTCGTCTGCACACAGGAAGCTCAGGATGAGAGAGTGAGAAGGGAAGGGGCTTGCCTCTAATCCTGATGCTATCTTTACATCCAGTATCATTTGTTTCTGGGGAAAACCTGGGAGGTGCAACAGTGTCCATGGAGCTGAGATGGGCAGGCACTAAGCCAAGGTCAACCTGCCAGACCAGCCTGACAATCTGGTCCTTGCCAGAGCTGGTTGCTGGGTCCATGGTCCACATAATGCCTTTGGTCACTGAGACATTTCACGCCCCATTGCAGCTTTCAAATTCTCCATTTGTTCTTAGGTTTTCTATCAGCACCAGACACCACTTTCAAAAGAGCTAGCCCACCTCTCCCTCTTCAAACCCAACCTTGGAATCCAATATTGTGCTCCTTGGGGATACTGGTCTCTTGCCTACACCCCCAGGCACTTCTCAAGTTCTCAAAATGCACCTGAACAACACATATCCTTCCCATTTTTAATTTAAAAGTAAATACTTGCCTCCCAGAAAGCTCTGACAGGTAGGGTTGAAACATTAAAGAAAAAAGCAAATGGCTATGAGACCTCCAAATGTAAATAGGGACACTCACTGTATCTTGTTTTTGCCTGCCATTTCCAAGGAACATTTTACAGAATGTTTCCTGGTGTTTCCTTCAGCCACTTAGAATCAGCCACCAAGAAAAGATGGCAACTAATTTGGTTTCTAATTGTTTTAACATTGACCCTCAGTCCCTGTATTATTCAAACACACTTTCAGATGCCATTCCTTAGAGAGATGTCCTCCAGATGCTGAGAATGAAAGTGGGTAGATTTGGTCTCTATCCCCAAGTGGCTTCCATAAAAGGGGACATATGGCCACAAAATAAATTATACACACAATATAAGTAATAAGATGATGTTGAGTTCCTAATGACACAAAAGATGCTCAGCTTGTTCCAGAAAACCCTTAACAGGCTTCACGAAGGAGGCAGAGCCCATACAGGGGAAGAAAGAGAAGTGCCGAGGACAGAGTGGGGCAGGGGCAGAGGGGACTTAGGACAAGCCTTTCCTAGCAAGACTGCCCATGTGCAAAATGCCATGAGGATAACTCAACAACAATAAAAACCAAACAATCCAATTTAAAATTGGGCAAAGGACCTAAACATTTCTCCAAAAAAGATATAAAATGACCAACAAGCAGATGATGAAACAATGCTCAATGTTACTAATCATCAGGGAGATGCAAACCAAAATCACAATAAAATATTATCTCACACCCATTAGGAGGGCCACTATTTAAAAAAAAAAAGGAAAACAATAAATGTTGGCAAGGACGTGGAGCCATTGAAACCCTTGTGCACTGTTGGTGAGAACTTAAAATGCTGCAGCCATTTGGGAAAATAGTATGGAGGTTTCTTAAAAATTAAAAATAGAAGTACCATTTGATCCAGTAATCCCACTTCCGGGTGTATACCCCAAAGAACTGAAAACAAGATCTCAAAGAGATATTGGTACACATTTATAGCAGCATTCATCACGGCAGCCAGGAGATAGAACCAACCTAAATGTCCGTCAATAGATGAATAAAGAAAACATGGTGAATTCATACAATGAAATATTATTCTGCCTTTAAAAAGGAAGGAGATCCGGTCACATGCTACAACATGATGAACCTTGAGGACATTATGCTAAATGAAGTAAGTTCGTCACAAAAGGACGAACACCACACTCCACTCACATAAGATCTAAAGTAGTCAAACTCTTAATAGAAATACAATGTTGCCAGGAACCACGGGAAGGAGAAAAAGGAGAGTGTTGTTCAATGGATGTAAGTTTTGCAAGATAAAGTTTAAAGGTTTGTTGTACAACAATGTGCCATACATTTACCACTACTGTACACTCAAAATGGTTAAGGTGGTAAGTTTTATGTCATGTGTTTGGCCACAATTAGAAAAACAAACAAAAGGCACAAGGAAAGCAGATGGTGTCAGATGCTCCTCTTTGCCCAGCACCCATATACAGTGGCTTACTGAGTGGATGATGCAATAACTTCATAAAACATTAAAAAAATAGTCCTGCATGCAATTAATTAGACAGGACTATCCATGGCACCATTATCCACAAATGCTCTAGTGCTGCCTTCTTGGCTCCCTTTGCTAAATCTTCCCTGTGGTCCTCATTGCTGTTCACTGTCCCCAGAAATGACTCCTTTGTGATACTGATCTGTGGTAACACAGAATTCTGTCTTGCCCCTCTGGAAACAAGCCCTCAGCCACAGAGAGGTTATCCTTCCTTGCAGAGAGGAAATATTTTCACAGGAGCAAACTCTGACTCTAGGCTCGATGCCCTTAAGAGCATCTTGTGTTATGCTGCCACGGGGCCACCACCTCCTTTTTGTTCTGAATCAGGACCTTGGGCTACCCTTTGATTTACAGATGAGTCAGCTTCTTCCCTTTCTTTCCCCAGAATGGCAGACAAGGGTTCAGCCCCTCTGGGGCCCATTTGTCCAGTCAGGGTCAGGCCACCATGCCTGGAGGAATGTGGAAGTTTGGAGAGGGTCCAGGGCCAGCCATGACAGTGATGAAAGGACTGGAAACCAAGGCAAACAGCGGGCTCAGGGAGCCTGTGCAGGACCTACAACGGCTTCCAGGAGGGAGGCCCCCACCATGCTGGCGACAGCATCCAGCTGCTTCCTCCTCTCCCAAGGGGCCCGACAAGGGGGAGATGCTTAATTGTGCTGAGGACGGAATTCAGATTAACAGCTTATGCCATGAAGAAGTTTAACACAAAAGTGGGCTCCTTAGAGAGGGGACAAAAACACTTTGCCTAGTGCCTTAAGGAAAACCTGTTTCCCTGGGATAAAATACACACGAAACCCTCAGCTTTGCAGCATGTGACCCAAATGAAGCCCTCCATAAGCGGCAGCTAGTATTACTTTCCCCTCTTGAGCTTACGCTTTTATAACAAAAATCTTCGTACAGCTTCTGATAAAAGTCAAGGGCAAGAGAAAGCCTATGTCAGAATAGTTGTTCACTCACCAAGGGCAGAGGAACTGACTGGGAAAGGGTGCAGGGGTTCTTCCGGAGTACTGGCAATGGGGATGCATAAGTGTACATGCGTGAAAACCCATCGGGCTGTGCACTCACAGCTGGGTGTGTTAAGTGCTTTAGTATTATACCTCATAGAAAAGCTTAAAGGAAAAATTGACAAAAACAAAACCTCTGCAGTGTTAGAAATTCCTTTCGTGTTGAGTCTAATAAAACTTTCTGTGATGATGAAAATATTCTCTCTCTCTGCTTTCCAATAGAGTAGCCAGTAACCATTTGTGATTATTGAGCCACTTAAATGTGGCTAATATGACTAAAAACCTGAATTTCTAGTTTAATTTGGATAAATTTAAGTTTAAATAAGGACACAGGGCTGGTGGCCACCTTACTGCACAGCACAACTCCAGGATCTCAGGAGTCTCAAATGCAAAGACTTTTCTTTCTATCTCCCTCAAAGCACCTACGGATCAAAATACAGCATAGGTGCTTTGGAGGTCCGATAAATAACTAGTTAAAAATAACATTTATTTCATAAAATGTAATATTATGTAGAGATAAACAGGAATGAACTACTGATACGTACAATGGGGATTAATTTCAGAAAATATTATTTTGAGTGAAAGAAGTCTTATATAAAAGAGCACATACTGTAGGATTCCATTTATATGAAATTCTAGAAAAAGCAAAAGTAATGTATTATACAAATCACAGCTGTGGTTTGTCTCAGGTGAGAGGAGTTGGCTGGAAAGGGACATCGGAGACTTTTGGGACGATGGAAATATTCTATATCTCAGTGGGCATATGGTTACACAGGTGTGTACAATTGTGAAAATCAAGACTGTAATCTTAAGATTTGTGTACTGTAAATTATACCTCAATTTAAGACACACACACACAAATACCTATGTAATGAATGAGATGTACAAAGCACTTTTCACATATGTTTTATTTTTCAATAGTCACATCTCAGCACCTTGGGACAGACATTATTCACATTTGACAGATAAAGAAAATAAGAAGATAAGTCATTTGTCTAAGCAGTAGTCCAGAATAAGCAACCTCAAAGCCATGCACTTGTCACCATGCCATCCAGCCTTCCTAACAGATCATTCATTCTCAGAGTGCCACCCCCTTCCCACAGCACCCCCAGGAGGGACTTACCAACACACGGCCATCAGCCTTGGGCTGTCGGGCCAGGCTCACCCCCATCCACTCATCATCGCGGTCTTCCCGGCAGGTCTTTCCGCAGGACGTGCCCCGATTCTTCCCTGGAGAAAGAGGAGAAGAGCCAGACTTGGGTTGAGGAGTGATGTTCTGCTGGCTGCTTTCAAAGGGTGGTCCACAGCCCTATGAGGAAATAAGGAACTTTCCACAAAATGTAAATCAACTCCATCACTATGTACTATACTGTTTAATCCAGACAACTGTTTTTTTACATAGCAAGGCTTTCTTTTTCTTTCTTTTTTTTTTTTTTTTTTTTTTTTTGAGACAGTCTCTCTCTGTCGTCCAGGCTGGAGTGCAGTGGCACGATCTCAGCTCATTGCAACCTCTGCCTCCCAGGTTCAAGCGATTGCCCTGCCTCAGCCTCCCAAGTAGCTGGGATTACAGGTGTGCGCCACCACATCCCACTAATGTTCATATTTTTAGCAGAGATGGGTTTTCACCATGTTGTCCAGGCTGGTCTCAAACTCCTAACCTCAAGTGATCCGCCCACCCCAACCTCCCGAAGTGCTGGGGTTATAGGCATAAGCCACTGCACCCAACCACATGGCAAGACTTTCTCATGGAAAGAGGCAGGGCCTTGATTTATGTTCTGAAGTAAGCTCCTTAATTTGTTATGCACCAGTAACAAACAGTTCACAAACCTCTTTTTCTGCTAAAGAAAATCACAATAACTCTTTATTTAAAAAATAATTAGAAGATCTTGGCCAGGCATGGTGGCTCACACCTGTAATCCCAGCACTTTGGGAGGCTGAGGTGGGCGGTTCACTTGAGGCCAGAAGTTCGAGACCAGCCTGGCCAACATGGCGAAACCCCGTCTCCACTAAAAACACAAAAATTAGCCGAAGATGGTCATACACTGTAATCCCAGCTACTCGGGAGGCTGAGGCAGGAGAATCGCTTGAACCTGGGAGGCAGAGGTTGCAGTGAGCAGAGATTGTACCATTGCACTCTAGCCTGGGTGACACAGCAAGACTCTGTCTCAAAAACAAACAAACAAACAAAAAACAACAAAAAAATTAGAAAATCTTTATGCAAAAAGACTTTGGAGAAAGAAATGCTTGCAGTCATGATTATAACAAAATACCTCCTTTGTACTGATGTGCCAAGCACAGTTCTGTGTACTCACCTGTATTATCTCACTTAATCTTCTCAAGACCATCCTTGCGAGGTAGGTATATTAGTCTTGATCTTGAAGGTGAGGGAACTGAGGCCCAAGAAGCTATAGGACATTCCCAATCAGTCCC
This sequence comes from Homo sapiens, assembly GCF_000001405.40. Lineage (NCBI taxonomy): Eukaryota > Metazoa > Chordata > Mammalia > Primates > Hominidae > Homo > Homo sapiens. The sequence continues at coordinate 41,992 of NW_025791771.1, read as the reverse complement.
AGCTGGGCTTTGAATGCAGTCAGAACCATCTGATTCCAAAGATCTTATATTTTCTGCTAGATCAAAGTGAGCTTTTATTTTATTTTTTTATCTTTTTGGAGACAAGAGTCTCAGTTCTGTCACCCAGGCTGGAGTGCAGTGGCACAATCTCAGCTCACTGCACCCTTGACCTCCTGGGTTCAAGTGATCCTCCTGCCTCGGCCTCCTGAGTAGCTGGGACTACAGGCATGCATCACCACGTTCAGCTAATATTTGTATTTTTAGTAGAGATAGGCTTTCACCATGTTGCACAGGCTGGTCTTGAACTTCTGGGCTCAAGCAATGTGCCCACCTCAGCCTCCCAAAGTGATGGGATTACAGTCATGAGCCACCATGCCCAGCGCAAAGTGAGCTTTTAAAAACATCCATCTGATCATATCTTTCCCTAGTTAAAATGTAATACCCAAAATTGATTTCAGTGGCCTCCCCACTCACACACAGAATAAAATTCCAGCACATTGCCCTGGCCTGCTAGGCCCCACGTGGCCTGGCCCCAGCCTGCCTTGCTGCCCTCCTGTGCTCCACTCTCCTGGCTCCCTCTCCAGCTGCACAACCTCGCTCTGTGCTTCCAAATGGCACCTCTGCTTGAAGGCTGTGCTTCCTGCACCTGCCCAGCTAACGACTACGCATCCTTCTAATCATGTCGAAAGGTCCCAGACCTTTCTTGACCCTCCTATCTAGATTAAATCAAATACTCACCTTCCCTCTGGTCTTTTCTCTCTCAATTACTTGTCTTAATATCTCTTTTGCCCACTAATTTATGGGACTAGGGATGGCAGCATCCTTGTTTTTTTTGTTCACTGGTGTATCCCAGTGCTTAATAACTATTACGTACTCAATACATGCTTGTTGGAGAGAAGGAGGGAGGGAAGGAGGGAAGGATGGATGGGTGAGTGAATGATCAGGCCATCCTGGGAAGAAGAAGAGCAAGGTATAAGGGTACAGAACCCATTTCCACCACAGCAGTAATGGTCACCCACCTCGAGCCATGTCCAGTTCGGTGCATCTCCGGTCAGGGTTGGTGTGAACACGGCACTTAAACACAGCCCCAGGAGACTTCACTGAAGGGCTGTATTTGGAATCTGCCTTTGGTGCGCCCACAAGGACCCTGCAGCAAGAGAAAAAGGCATTCTGTCACAACCTACGATAAGAAAATAGGAGGCAGATGGCTAAGTATTCACCCAACCACGGGTGGGCTCTCTGAGTGCTCACTTTGAAAATCATATTATTATACTTTTCTGTGTGGGCTTGGGGGAGAGGTCCTAAAGTGAAACCTGTTAGATCTTTCCCAGGCATATTAAAGCTTAAGGAGGCTGAATGTGGTGGCTCATGCCTGTAATCCTAGCATTTTGAGAGGCCGAGGCGGGTGGATCGCTTGAGCCCAGGAATTCCAGGCCAGCCTGGGTGACATGGCAAATCCCATCTTCACAAAAAAAAATGGCCAGGCAAGGCAGCGCACGCTTTTAGTCCCACCTACCCAGGAGACTGCGATGGATGGGTGGGAACACGTACAACCAACAAAAGGTTCCTATCCAAAATCTATTTTAAAAACTCCTCATTGATTAATAAGAAAAGACAAGTCAACAGAATAGGCCAAAGACAAGCATAGATACTTCACAAAAGAAGATAGCCAAATGGCCAATAAATGCATGAAAAGGTGCTCAACTATGTTAGTTATCAGAGAAACTCAACTTCATACCAACCAGAAGGCTCAAACCAAAAAGACTGAAAATCCCAAGTGCTGGCAAGGATATAGAGTAACTAGAACCTTCATACACTGCTAGTGGCAGTATAAACCATTAAAACCACTGGGAAAACTATTCAACAGTTCCTAATAAAGCTGAACATGCACCTACCCTTTGACCCAGTAATTCCATTTCTAGGACTATACCTAATAGAGATGCATACATTTCTACCAGGAGACATGCAAAATGTTCAAAGCTGCATATGTAATATCAAAAAAAAAAAAAAAAACAAGAAGAAACCTAAAGGCCCATCAGTGCTAGAGTGGACAGGTAAATCATGGTACAGCAATACAACAGAATTCTATGCAGCACTGGGAGGCCGAGGTGGGCAGACTGCCTGAGCTTAGGAGTTCAAGACCAGTCTGGGCAACATGGTGAAACCCTGTCTCTACTAAAAATACAAAAAATTAGCTGGGCATGGTGGCAGGTGCCTGTAATCCCAGCTGCTTGAGAGGCTGAGGCAGGAGAATCGCTTGAACCCAAGAGGCAGAGGTTACAGTGAGCTGAGATCATGCCACTGCACTCCAGTCTGGGCAACAGAGTGAGACTCTGTCTCAAAAACAAAACAAAACAAAAAAAGAGTTCTATGCAGCAATGAAAACAAATGAACAGCATTCAACTGCAACCACAGAGATGAACTGCACAAATACAATACTGAACAAAAGATGCCAGATACAATAGCATACTCACAGTCTGATTCCATTTATCTAAAGTTCAAAAGCAGGTGAAATTTAACTATAGTGTTAGAAGGCAGGATAATGGTTACCTCTGGAGAGGAGAAAGCAGGGTTGCAATTAGGGAGGGGAATTGCTGGGGGTGCGGATAATGTTGTCATTCAACCTCAGTGACATTATACAAATTTGTGATAACTGTATATGATATGGACACTTTCCTGGATGTGTTACATTTCAGTAACAAATAGAAAATTTAGAAACGCTATTTCTCTTCTGTCTCCCTCTCCTCCTCCTACCACCCACCACACACACAGCATGGACATTTAGGGGCAAATAGGAAAAAAAATAGCAGCAGTGCGGAATTATAAACCGTATCCTCTCTCCCACTGCAAAACAGAAATAGAACAGTTTGCATGCAAACAGGAGCAAGAATGAACCTCTGTATCCTCCATCTTGAACTGAAAAGCTGCCTAGGGTGGGCCATCCCCAGCAGGAGCATCCCCCGGCTACAGGAAAGGGGCAAGACCCACCCAGAAGACAGAAGAGGCAGGTTTGGGCCTGTGTGAGTGCAGAACACGGGGGAAATGGCAGTAAGCTCCCCTCCAGATGTTACAAAAATAATTCTGACCTACAGTTTTATGCATTGTTTCCGGAAAGCAGTCAACAGAAGATCTATAGCAAAGAATACCAAACAACACTAATCAGGCACGGTTTGTGCTGAGCTACGAGCCATTTGGAAAAGGTCTTGGACAATGAGACTTCAAACAAAATCCACACTGATGTTCAAAGAGTAGAAAATGCCAAGCCACTTCTTAGTGAGAACAGGCGTTGTTCCTTATCTCCAGCAGCCTAGAAAAGAGAGGGAATTCACCTCACAAGGGTTTCTTCTGTATCATGAAATAGATCATCTCCCACATGCCTTGGAATAGAGTGCATTACATATTATGTATTTGTGGAAAAGGTGTTTAGCAGAGGTTAGGATGACCCTGGACAGCTTTCCTGGGGATGTAGAAAGCTGACCCAGGCTCCCTTCCCTCTGCCCTGAAAGCCACCTTCATCTTGGGATCTCAGTCATTCACTGCACCCTGGTCTTGGAATGCTGCTGCTCCTCCTGCAACACTCCAGCTAGGCAAAGGGGCAGACAAACAAGGCCTCTACATCATACAACAGAAGTCTGAGGCCCTCAAAGGGGACTCCAGCAAAGGCTGGCAGATATCACAAAGGACATCGTCACTAACCTGGCTCAGAGACATGGTGTTAAGGTTCATGGGAATGTGTGTGGGTCCCATCTTAATTCCCACTGCCCTGAGCTCAACACCTAGAACCTGAAGAATTGGAGGGTACAAAGAGCCAGGGAGACCCACCCCTCACTGGAGTGTCTCCTTCCAGGTCAGTCTTGGAGGGTCTGTATCTGATTCCATGAGGAAGATGCCCTGCTGGGGAGTGAGAGAAGCAAGACTCCCAATGGTGCAGGTACCCAGGCTGCCCTGCGGCTCCTCAATAATGCCCTGGGATGCACCTCCCCAGGTGTTTGCTGGGCACAACTGCAGAATTCCCAAGCAGAAGCAGGGCTGGAACCCACAGCCCTTTGGAAATCAAAGCAAGCACTTTCCCAAACAGATCACATTGCCTCCCTCACCCACACAAGAGCAGTTTGGCTGGCCCTTGTCTGCTGTAACTCAAATGCACAATGACGTACAAAACAAAACTCCAGTGAGAAGAAAGCCACATTAAGGGATCAATTTTCCCCCTTGCTGTAGCGGCTGAGCTTTAGAGCCACTGGGGTAAGTCACATATTGCGCTTCATAAGACCAGCTGTTTTCACAGGTGAGAAGAATTAGCAGTTTGCCCTGTCTAAACTGCTGAAACATCCTCAGCCTTTCCACAGGTCAGGTTCTAAGACCTGGGGAGCATAAAATACCTCTTCCACTCAAAAACCCCAGGGCCACACAGCAGAGTCCAAAAATTCCCACCAACTCCAAATTTACATCAGCACAGTGACTAATTGCCACTTGTAATTTATTTTACAAAAATCACAAAAAAATTCACAAGAGTGAGAATTCATCACGTCCGAGGGAAGGGAAAAGGCTGCAAGAAACAACAGGTTCTTCCTCCACTGTGTCTCCCAAACTGGCATTGGAACCCTGGAAATTTCAGATAATGCCATGGCTCCAAATTCACAGACACAGATTCATAGGTTATCTAAGCAGGAGGGGACCCTGGAGAGCTTATTCCCAGGCACTGCTTCCTCCAGCCTAGAGCCAAGACTGACAGGGACAAAGTTTACACCAAAATCTAAAGTGGAAAGGAACCTGCTGAATTATTATTTCCTTCCAAGCCCAAGGTACTCAATGGTTCTAACAACAATAGCTGATTCAAACCCTGATAACAACCTTTCAGTTCAAAACTTCTGATCAGCTGGTCAGATGAAAGGTTTTTCCCAAATCCTGTGCAATGGAAAATCAGGCTAGAGATAAGGGGGCATGCACACACATGCATGACACTCACGAGGTGGCACGCGGGAATGTGCTTGTATCTATGTGTTTACAGAACATCGTGGCTTCCTCCGCAGCCCAGCACTGCTCTGTACCTAGGCCACCATCCAGCAAGACTACCGCAGGCCAGCCCATGAGTGAGTCTTTTCTGAAGTTAATTCAGCTGGCTGTTTACCAGGCTGATCCCAAGGGATACAGAGATTACCATGGCCCAGAGTTCAGAACAAGCCACTGAAAAGATGCCATCTGCTAAGTTATAAAAAGACATCCTAGCCACTTCAAACATCGCCCCAACTCTCCTGGTACTCTCAACAAGACTATGTTCCTTTCTGCTATGGTTACCACATAAAAGGGCCTGAGTGTCCCCACCAACAGGCTGCCATCAACAAAGCATCAAGCTACTTCTCTGCTTTGCTTGCTACTTCAAGTGTGGTCCTCAGACCAGCAGCATGGGGAACACCTGGCACTTGTCGGAAATGCAGAATCTTAGGCCCCAGCCCATTAAATCAGAATGCATTTTAACAAGCTCTCCAGGTGATTGATAGTTTAAGAAGTACTATGTAACTATCTAAACTGATTACAAATAATTATGTTCATTTGGAGCCAGTAGAAGAGATTGCCCTTGAGAAGCAAGGCTCTCTCCTCCTATCCCATCCCCAGTTAAAGATGCCACAAACTCAAAGGCCCTTTTTTTTTTTTTTTTTTTTTTTTTTTTTTGAGATGGTGTCTTGCTCTGTTACCCAGGCTGGAGTGCAGTGCGGCGATCTCCGCTCACTGCAACCTCCACCTCCCGGGTTCAAGCAATTCTCTTGTCTCAGCCTCCCTAGTAGCTGGGTACCACAGGCACACGCCACCACGCCCCGCTAATTTTTATATTTTTAGTAGAGATGGGGTTTCACCATATTGGTAAGGCCGGTCTTGAACTTCTGACCTCAGGTGATCCACCTGCCTCAGCCTCCCAAAGTGTTGGGATTACAAGCCTGAGCCACTATGCCTGGCCTCATAAGCCTTTTAGGTCCTCTCATCAATGCAGGACTCTAAACTTCTAATTAGGGCAACCAGCATGTAGCAGGCACATAGAGTGTGCAGGTGCTGGGTTAGGCTCATTGCGGGCAGGATCAAATTTACTCTTCACAGCAACCCTACGGGAGGTACTAATATTATCCCCATTTTACAGATAGGGAAGCAGGTGGCCAGAGGAGGTTAAGATGGTTATTCATGTTAAGATGCCAAGCTGTAGCACGCACCCCAGTAGTCAAATACATCACCCGTGCCCTATTCTACCCACCCCACATCAGCCTGAAAGGAGGAAAAGGGAACCAACAGGTACCCAGTGCCCCCTCTGGTGCCAGCTACTCACATATGTAATCCCCACCTGAGCAAGCCCCAGTGAGCCTTTGAGGGCAGCTCTGAAGTGAGAACTCTGATGTGAAAGCTCCGTCATGTCAAAGGGCATGCTGGGGTTTGGAAGAGAAAAGACCTTCCCCTCCCCATCAGGCTCAGGTGACTCAAAAGGTGAACTTCAATCACCTTGCTTTTCCAAAGCATTGACACTGCTGTCATGGTGTTAACCAGAGGTTTGCCTCTCTTAATAAGCAGTGTGGGTGCATCGGTTCATGCACCAACACTGGTTATGCTCACAAGGGTGCTTTCTTGCTCATGGCCATCCTGTCAGGCAGCCTCTCATGTGTTTTCCATTCAGAGATGTTGGGTCACACCACCAGTAAGTGGCAGAGCTGGGATTTGAACCCAGAGTGTCTGTGTCCAATGGCATGCTCTTTCCAGCCTCTCCAAACCCCCTCCTGGTGTGGCAGTTTAAGTGCCCTGCATTTTTCCAACAAAGCTGCTTCCTGAGCTCCCTGTGTGTGGTCAAGCTGTCTGTGAAGGCTCCATTCCAGCCGCCCACCTCGCTCTGAACCTGTCTCATGTTTTGAGGGTAATCTGCAGGTAAATTCTCTGGAGAGCGGGTGACAGAGAAGGACTGAGCCGCAGCTGCCTCCCTGGGCAGGACTGAGAACTGACAGTGTCTCAAAGATTCCCTCCCTCCCCACAAACACCACAGCAGCGATTCCACAGGCAAAATTATAGCCAGATCAAGGACAGCAACTGGGGATTAAAAACTTTAAACCCATTAGGTTTGCTTTCAGCATTTGATCCCAAAGCCAAAGCTTCCCCAGGGACCCACGTTTTGGTTACATGAGTCAAATTCTTCACTGTGTGTCCACCACGGGGAAACCCCAGGAATTGTCCGCATCCCTTACTGGGCAGAAAGCAGCCCAGGCTTGAGTAAAGGAAGAGCTGGTGCCAGGATAGCCACCTCTGACCACACCAAACCCTTCATTTCCAGAGGGAGGGGACTCACTAGGGACCAATGCTTGCCCAATGGAGCCATGGGACCTGAAAGGCCTCATAAGCTCTTCTTATATTTGGGGAAACTGAGGCTCCTGGTATTTAAGCAGTGGATACTGACTGCTTTCTAGGGTTTTAAGCCAGTAGTTCTACCTGGCTTCTAAGCTTTATGGGAAAGTTATGCATGGTGATAAAGTGTAAGAAGCACAGGCAGTAACATAGGGTTTAAGTCCTGCCTCTACTGCTGACAAGCTGTGTCTCTTAGACAAGTGTCTTAAACACTCCAAGCCTCAGTTTTCCTCTTCTGTAAAACAGGAGGAATAAAAGTGTACCTAAGAAGGTTTCTTGTAAGGTTTAAGCAAAAGAATGTTTATAAAACACCCATCATAGTGCCTGCTACAAAGTAGGTGTTCAAAGAAATGTTAGACTGCTGGGCAGTAGTAGGTCAAACACCTTGACACTCAACTCATCCCAGTTCTAACTCCTGGCAGCACCCAAGAGCTCATAGATCCTTAGAATTGCAAAAGTTGTCAGAATCAAAATGGAGTCACTTATGTTTAAAAAAAAAAAAAAAACCCTGACAAATAGAGCTGTGGGACGCCATGAAGGAAAGGTTTTCATGCATAAACAACTGATAACAAGAACTAGCACAAAAAAATCTGCAAAAACACAATCTTGCACAAAGGCCATCACAACCTTACACACACACACACACACACACACACACACACACACTCACACCTTCTGTGAGGAAATCTACCTAGCAACTCTCTATCCAACCTCAAACTGGTGCCACCCTTGTCACTGATCCTTGTATCCAAAGATAATTATCTCAAAACAATTAAGTAATCCTCATTTTTCCTTTAAAAGCCTTTGTTTTCCTTTACCTCCCTGAATATTCATGCAGATTACTGTGACACATGTATTCCCACTGCAATGCCCTATTCCTGAGTAAACATTTTCTTTTAGAGAGCCTCTCTCTGTGTTTGCTATTTAGGTTAATAGAACCTTGTTCCCTTTTCTGGTGCGCTGGGCAGGAATTTATTCAGACTGTCACAGTAATTCAGGGACAGCCAGGATGCTTTCACCACCAGTAATATATTACAAAGTGGCCACAATTCCCCATCCTTCCTGTATCCCTGCTCTTTTCAGTGTGACTTTGCAGCTTCTCTTGTCAAGAGATGAAATGTGTTTCTGCCTCCTCTTGATGTAGTCTGGACCTGTGACTTACATTGGCCAAAAGAATGTGGCAGAGGGGCATGGTTTGACTTCTGAGCTTAGGCTTCAAGAAATCATGCAAGCCTCTGATTGTTCTGTTGGTACCCTACCCAACCACCATGTGTACAAGCCCAGGCTAGCCTGCAAGAGGATGAAATACATATGGAGCAAAAATAAGCCCTCCCAGCTGAAGCCATCCTTTGCCAGCCAGCCAACCAGCTAACCCAGAAGTTGACCACAGATGCATGAGTGAGTCCTGGAGAGAACAGAAGAACCACCCAGCTGAACCCAACCTAAGCTGCCAACCAGAGAATAAGCTACAGGTGGTGGTTGATTTAAGCCACTAAGTTTTGGGGTGGTTTGTTAGGGATGCAGCAATATTGTGGTGATAGAAAACAGATACGTCATCAAGCTAAGGCATGCCACTTCTGACGGAATCTGGACCGTGGTAATTCCATCGCCCACTAATTCCCGCTAAGTCCAAACCAATTATCCAACTATGCAGCTGACAACTATTGCTATGGCTCCTCTAGCTACCTGGTCTCCTTTCCCTCCCTCAAAGGAATCTCATCACCAACCAGGACCACAGACTTTTACTGAAGGCCCTGAGATGGGACAGGCATGGTGGAGTAGTAGAATAGGCCCTAAAGAGTGTATCCGAAGTCACACCCAGGAGTGTGCCAGCTACAGCTATGTGACTTTAGACAAGTCCCCTGGCCACTCTGACCCTTCCTTTCCTTTTCTGTAAAACAAGGATAATAACAAATGCATGATCCCCCTCCCAAGGCAGTGATGAGGCACAAAAGGAAAAGGCAGATGAAAGTGTTTGGGGGACCATGCACCCCAGGATGGCCTGATTTGCAAGAGTAGATTATGGTATTTTATCTGCAAGGCCAAGAGCAGACACAAATGCCCTCCGAAGAAGCCCTTTTCCTTTCAGGGCCCTTCTCCTTTTTCCTTAGAAACCTGATACCTTGGACAGGGCCTTGATGGAGGTGGAGGTAGGGAGGGTAGCATGGCTAACCCTGAGAACAGTCAGTTTAGCATTAAATCAGTCCCACCTTGGTTCAAAGCACAACTCTGTAATTTACTTACTTGCTGGGTAACCTTGGACAAGTGACTTGGCTTCTCTGTGCTTCGGGAGTGGTAGCCTGCTCTGCATAAAGGGAACTATGAACACAGTGGTTCTGGCATATAGAAAGTATTCATAAAAGGTTGGCAATAATAATTTTTATCCTGGAGAGCCTAGGTTACAGTAAATGGAGGGAGAGCAGTACAATCCACACCACATAACGCTAAGTCAGAGAATGAAATTGGTGGAGTCCATGCCCAACTGGGAAAAGCAGAGGCACGGGGGCAGGGTCCAACCTTGGAGTGACATTGGTCCCCAGCTTGTGTGTTAGGGAGTGAAAGGTCAGAGGCTGCTGCCCTGGCCTGGGGCTCAGGTCTTGGCAGACACACTGAGGGGAGGCAACTGGAGAAGGAGGCAAGGCAAAAGGACTGAGGTTTTCCTTCCACATCTGAAAGCAGCAAGTGAACACTAAAATCCAAGGGATAGAGCAAATTACAGACTTCTGGCAGATCTAAGAAAAAGCCTTGATATCTTCTTGTTGGTTTCTTGTGATAATTTTTTTTCAAGAGAAATATGGCAATACATTTACATTTACTTTTTAAAAAAGTATCCCATCCTGGAACTGTAGATCTACCTCCCAGACTTATCTGGAGCCTGGGGTGGGAGCTGGAGCTCCCCATAACAAGGGTGGCCTCCCATCTGCTCCTTGGCTTTCCAAGAGCACAGAGAAGAAACAGGCAGGCAAAATTCTAGGATTTACAATCCCAAAGATCTCCATTTAAAGTAGCCATCTCAGATCCTTTTTGGAAGCAGACAGGGTGTAAATGAATGCACAAAAATGCAGATTTATGTAGAGCATAACAAAAATGTTAGAGGCCACACATAATGAAGAGTGTGTCTATGTTAGAATATCTCATTCATTTCAGTGTTGAGTGTCAACACTCAAAGTCTGATGAATAAATGAATGAATCAACAAAAATACTGAAAGAAAACTCAGCATCTCAAGTCAGGATGAAAAAGACCATTGGTTTCATAAATCAGATCAAGTAACAAGAGAAATAACTACGAGCATCTATCAAGGGCTTACTGTGTGCCGTGTTGTGCTCTGGGCTTTGCAGATATCATCTCATTTAATGCCCCCACCAACCTAATGAGGGATGTACCCTTATTACTCTTTACAGAAAAGGAAACTGAGGTTCAAACAGCTGAAGTAATTGGTCAAGATCACACAGCTCCTAAGCAGAGAGCTGAGTAAGGCAGGCTGAGGGCAGGGCTAATGCTGGAGCCCACTCTCTTGGCCACCAGGCACTTGTGCATCTCAGCAGTGCCCCCTTTTATGGCACAAAAATCGTGGATCTGGTTGTTGCTGTGGAACCAGGGATTCAATGAAGGTAGAGACAGGAACACTACTCAGCTGAATCTGGAACATCCACCCTCTAGGACCCATCCTGGTGCAAAAGAGGTGCCAAGACCCTCTGCAATGCTGCCTACTGGTGTGTACTGCACAACACCAAGTTTACTCTGGGATCCACATACATCACAGCACTTGGACACTAGATAGGAAGGGGTAGGAAAGGCCATCTCCCAGGTGGCCTTAACACACCAACAGATCAGCTAAGATGGAGGAAATTTGTTCCGTGATTTTTTATTTTTCTTAAAAATTTGGGCACATAGTCCGGGTGCGGTGGCTCACGCCTGTAATCCCAGCACTTCGGGAGGCCAAAGTGGGCAGATCACGAGGTCAGGAGATCGAGACTATTCTGCCCAACACAGTGAAACCCACTCTCTACTAAAAATACAAAAAATTAGCCGGGTGTGGTGGGGGGCACCTGTAGTCCCAGCTACTCGGGAGGCTGAGGCAGGAGAATGGCGTGAACCCAGAAGGTGGAGCTCGCAGTGAGCCGAGATCGCACCACTGCACTCCAGCCTGGGTGACAGAGCAAGACTCCATCTCAAAAAAAAAAAAAAAAAAAAGATTTGGGCACACAGTAGGTACATATTTATGAGGTACATGAGATATTTTGTTACAGGCATGTAATATGTAATAACCACAGCAGGGTAAATGGGGTATCCATCACCTGAAGCGTTTATCCTTTATGTTACAAGTGATTCAATTATACTCTTTTAGTTATTTTTAAACTACAATCAAATTATTGTTGACTATTGTCATTTTGTTGTGCTATCAAATACTAGTTCTTACTCATTCTTACTCATTCTTTCTAATTTTTTGTACCCATTCATGCCTTTTATTAAGTGTTCAAATATTTGAGGATACAAATCATCCTCTCACATATTGTTGGTCACTGGTGCAGAAGTTTGACTCTGTGTGGGTTTCTTTAATAAAGTTACAAACCCAGGAGTGATTCTGAAACACTGGCCACCATGGCTACCTTCCCCAATTCAGAGATTCCTAAATAAGTGGTGGGAGCCAGTAGAACTCAGAGTGGATGGGGGGATAGTAACAAAGCAGCCCCAGGAGGTTAGAGGGATACATGGAATATTGCAGAGTACTCCATCTTTCCTGGGACACTTCTGTCTTAATGCTAGACAGCCTTGGTGTGAGAAGAGGCCCTTCAAATGTCCCTGGCAGAATCATTGGGTCCCTGTTCACTCAGTGATCAAACATCTCCAGAAAACAGAACCCTAGCATCCCCCCAAGAGTAGCCAGTGGGTCATGAATAAGCATCCCCAAAGGGTGCCGCAGAGAAGCTACTGCTATTGCAATTCAATAACTTTTCCAGGAAAGCAGGCAGAACAGAACTTCACAAGACAGATGTTTGAGCGCCCTGAAGCCCCCAAACTCGGATTCTTGACTTCCTGACAGGCAGTCAGCCTGGGTGGGCAAAGGCACAGGCCTGTGCTCGACAACTCATTAGCCATGTAACTTGGGCAATAATGCCTCTGTACCTCAGCTTCCCCTCCATGAATGGGGATAAAATGATAGCCAGCTGCTACAGACTGAATGCTTGTGTTCCCTCAAAATGTATATGTTGAAATCTTCACCCCAAGGTAATGTTATTTGGAGGTGGGGACTTTGGGAGGTGATTAGGTCATGAGGATATAACCTATGAATGAGTTAGTGCCCTTATAAATGTGGCCCCAGAGAGCTCCCTCATCCCTTTCACTGTGTGAGCTTAGAGTGAGAACACCACTATCTATGAACCAAGAAACAGGTGCTTACCAGACAGCAAATCTGCTGGGGCCCTGATCTTGGACTTCCAAGGCTCTAGATCTGTGAGAAATAAATTCTGTCATTTATAAGCAACCCAACCTATAACAGTTTGTTATGGCAGCCCAAATGGCTACCAGCTGAAAGGACTGTTGGGAACATTAAATGAGCTGGTATGAGTACCAATGTAGATAGCACTTGACATCTACTGAATATTCAGATACACTGTTGCTGCTTTTGGTGTTATTGTTGCTACTGTTGCTAATTTAAACTCAACACAGAAGTCCTTTTTGGTCAGAACAGACATTGGTGGACCAAGTGAGCCCGTGGTTTCAAAGACTGTAGATTTTTCCCAATCTTGGACTTACATCGGCTTCCTAGGACTCCTTCTGGCAAAAAGGAAGGTTGGGATAAAACATTTTATTCTGCTTTGGTTGATCGCCAAATCCACTTGGCTAAAAGGATTTGCAGTTCAGAGAACTCGGTGGCTCAGCGTAAAGCAGAGCTCCTTTCTTCTGAAATCCATCACCTGTGACTTCTCTGACATCAGAAAGAGGCACCTTGTGAGTCAGCTGGTGGCAAGATTGCTCAGGATTCTGTTTCTGGGCCAGTCCCAATGGCCCTACTGTCAGTCCTGACGCTCCACACACTGATTACAGAGGTATGAGCAAAGATGATCCCCAGCCACACTGCAGGCCAAGGAGCACATCTCACACCCTCCCAACACAGTGATTCACGCGTGGCAGGCTCCAGGGCAGCCACAGAGGTGTGGGTCACTTCATGCTGTTCAGCTGCAAGGCGGAATGTCAGCTGACAGCCTCCAGCTGCAGCTTTCTTGGGATCTGCTGCAGGATTCCAGCTGAGGCTGTGCTCTTCCCAGACAGCTCCAGCCAATACCTGACCCTGGCAGAGGACAGCTATTTCTGCCCAGTGATCTCTGTTGAGTTGACTGAGACTTTAATCAGATCTGCATAGAGTCAGAGGCTCTCTCTGTCCCATCCAACTTCCCCATTTGTCTTTCACAGGCAATACCCGCCCCCAACAATTCTCTCACACTCCTATCTCTGTCCTAGCATCTGCTTCCTAAAGGATGCAAACTGACACAAGCCCCCAGTGAATGTGCATTGATCTCTCAGGCTGGGGTGGGCCTTGAACAAGGCGTGTAACTCTGTAAGCCTCAGTTCCCCAAATAGCAAACTGGAAACCACTCACCAGGATGTTACAAAGACTCAACTAAAGAATATTATGCCTGTGAAAGCATCTGACTTCTTGTAGATACTATCTGACGAAATTCATTTTGGTTGTTAAAATTCCATGCAACCCCTTGAAAGCAAGGAATTTCAGAGAACACCATGGCTGCTTTTAACAAATGTAAAAACAACATTTTCCCTGAACAAATCACAATAGAAGTTATCAGGAGACCATTTCCTGAACAGCAGCATGTCACCAGGGAATCAGAGCTGGCTGGGGCCCGGCCCTTCACACTCTCACACTCAGGGCCGTTAATGACTGGTTGAGACAAGACTGTCTTCTTGCCCTGGAAGGTTCTCCACTGGGCAAGACAGCTGTCTCTGCCCCCAGCCAGCATTCAGCACTAGCTCAGAAAACAGCACCCTTGCCAGCTTCTCCAGATCTTCAGAGAAATTTCCCAGAAACCCCGAGAAGATGCTTTTTGGATCCCCTTGGAACTCAGGCCTCATATATGTGTTGTTCCTTCTTGAGAGCTTGAGAAAGCAGGCTCTGTAGGGTGAGTGAGGACCAGGAACAATGTCTGAAAATGCCATTTCCCTAGAAAAATTCAAATGAGGAAGCGGACCTACACCTTCCCCTAGAGTCTGGCACAGGACAGAGGAACTCTGCAAAGATGCTCACCACTGAGGTTATGAGAAGGCAGGGCTCCCACCACCATTTCTGGGTGTTTCCTCAGCAAGACGGGCAGGGCCAGGGGCAGCAGGTCCTATGATCCCAGGGCTCCCCTTCTAAATGTTTTCCCTTCACAGGAGTTTCTCTTCTGCCCCTCTGAACAACTCATGCCTGCCTGAGGACAAGCCTCTCCCCCATCAGAGCCTAGATCTTAAATTTCATTTGAGACACACAACTAGAACCCCACAATTTTCTCACCTGTCAGATTGTGAGCAAAAAGTTTTCATTGTTGAACCCCCAGCCCTAAATATAGATCAGGCCCTGCGGTGTTTTATGAGTAGAAAGACAATTCAACCTCTTCAGCAGGCAATAATTTTTAGTTAGATGTAAGCACCCGTTTCGGTTTTAGTACTCACATATGCTATGGGTTGATTTTTTTTCTTTTTCTTTTTCTTACCTCTCCTTTTGATCCTTGTCTAGCCCTTTAAGACTTACATCATTGCTCTAAACCCACACTGCCCAGTAGAACTTTCCGTGATGATGAAAATGTTCTCTCTGTGTTGTGTCCAATGCAGTAGCTACTAGCCCCATGTGGCTACTGAGTACTTGAAATGTGGCAAGTGCAACTGAGAAGCTGCATTTTAAATTTTATTTTTAGTTAATTTACATACCAATATATCTGGCTAGTGGTGACTACATCAGACAGCTCACCAGAACTATCTAGCTTGTTCTTTTAATTCTCAACCTTCATGCAAATCAAGGATATGTTCTCCTTGGCTTGGAATTGCCTCCTATTCCTCACTGAACAACACTCTGACAACTTTAACAAAGCAAAAAGCCCAGCACATCTTCCATTTCCGAGCACTCGCTCTGTGCCTAAGCACAGCCGTCTTGATGTGTCCCAGGAGAGGGAGCAGGAAGCACGTCTCCAGAAAGGAAGCCAGTGCACCCAACCACTTTGGACTCCAGGGCGTCTGGGGCAGAGAAGGAGGAGGGGACGGGGTGGGGTGTGAAAGACGTCCGCTCTGGAGGCTGCACGCCAGCCAGGCAGCATTTATTTATATCACAGGGTGTTACAGTTGTCAGCCCTGCAGCTGAGTAACCGGTCCATGTCTAAAGGAAGGGGACAGAAATCGGCTTTGTCCATGTTCCCTGGCACTTACTGTTGTTGTTCAAAGGACGCCAGAAGACTCAGGGAGTGGGAGCTATAGGAGAGGAAGCTGGCTCTGGGCAGGCAGACACTCTGGGTGTTATTAGAAAAAAAGAAAATTGAGTCCCTTGCATGTTTGTATCCTAGCTGATACAAACGTCATCTGGAACATTGTCCAGGATATTCTGGTCCATCTAGCCATGGGGACAGTTCTCACTGCCCAGAGCACAGTGACAGCGGGACCACTCAAGCAAGTACTCTGAGAGAAGCTGGGTCTGGGGCTCTGTGCTCAGTGTGATATGGCTACAGAGCTGGGTTCAGTCACCAGGGCTGGGAAAAGCAAGATCACCCCCACACTTACACAGGGATCTAGGATCCTCCGATTAGTGACAATTTTGGTCTACAAAATAATTGAGAGAAATGCTCAGTTATGGGATTAGAGAAGTGCTAGTTCCACCAACAGAGCACATTCACATGCTTTGAGATGTACACCCGCAGGTCCCTCAACATGGGAACGCTCTACTCTGCCGCCTGCAGAGTCCGTGCTGACTTTGGGGTCTGTGCTCTCCCCCTACCACTTCCAGCACATTCTTCTCCCTCCCTTTCCCTAGAGACAACACATCTTTTCACCTGTAAAACAGGTAGTTAATTAGCATGAAGCAAATATCTTAGACTGCAAAATATTGAATTAAGTAACAAAGAATAATTTCTTCGAGAAGAGAGACGTAAGATACAAGGCTTAATTAACATGTCTTCTTTTCCTTTCAAAGTTTTGCTATACTGCTTTTCCCTTTCATGTCTATATTTTACCTTCCTCACTCATTTTGACGAGTATTTGTGATCCTTTTAAGTCACCCCCATGTAGGTTCTATACTCTTTCAGTGCACTAGAGCAGCCCTTTGCAAAACTACTCCCAAGCCTCCAGTGTCTGAATAAATTAATGTATTTTTCTAAAGTACACACACTTCACTGGCACTTTGGTAATACATAAAGAATGCCTTGAAGCTTCCATCCTCTCTGACCCAGCAATTCTAAGCCCAGGAATTTATTCAAAGGAAATAATTAAGATTGTCCTCAAGGGTTTCGTTAAAGGTTGTTTACCCCTGCTGCTGTTTGCAATCACGAATAATTGAAAATGACTGACATGTCCCTCAAGCAGGACTAGAAGATCCAGGGCTCAGGTACTGCTTAGGAGTAAGCGACCAACAATCAGTTACCAAGTCAATCAACCAACCCCACAGTTGAAGTTAAGGTACAGACTTAGGACAGATCCAGAATTCACAGGACCTGATCTTACAAATTTAGGGTGACTAACTTTAAGAAAATTAACATAAAATTATAAAATTGGGGACAAGGCATTAATAGGGGCCTATGCAAGCAAGAATCCTTTGGCTTAAGTTTCAGCAGCCTTGCACAATAAGTCTAGCCTCTAGAGGAAAGAAAAAGGAGAAAGAAGATGTTGGAAGTCACTTGCTCCAAAGGCCATAGTTTACCAAGCCTGGGTAAAAAACACATTCAAGCATACATACAGCAAAAAATACATTCAAGGTCTAAGACAAAGAATACTGGGAAAAAGGGAAAGAGAAAAAAGGATGGGGAGGAAAATACTTGAAAACAACAGCATGAGAACAGAAATCAAGGGGAGAACACAATCTAAGAAAAAATTAAGTCAATATGGTGGGTGAGGGAGGAAAAAGAAGCATTATTTTAAAAAGATTTCAGTAGAGTTAAGTTGGTGCCTGAACAGCTATGGGGACAAGCACTCCAATACAAAGAGTAGCCAGCTTGTATCAGAACAAGAGAGGGCACTTTTGAGCTCAGCAGCCCAGACACATGGGTTCCCATGGACCCCTGAAATACCAGTCCCACATCTCAACTGGCAACAAGAATATGCACAGCATTACTGCTCCACACCCACTCCCTACCATTTACCCTGGGTACCAAGCTGAAGGCCAGACTGTCTTTTCCCACACTGGCCAAATCTGCTCATGTCACACAGCTTTTCTTCATCCCCGTTTTAAATCCAAGTAGGCTGAACACCTTTTCTCTGTCAGATCTGCTCTCGTCTCTACCCATTCCTTTCCCAGGCAGTGTGGCTTTGACCTGTGGCCCATGCAAATCCACAGTGACAGTGGCCTGGCCTCTCTCCCTCTAGCTGTCAAAGAGCTCCAAGGCAGTTGAGCCAGCCTCAGCCTGCAGATCACACACAATGCTCCGGCTGGCTTGGCTGCCTGCTCAGCTGCCCGCCCTTTCTCAGCAGCCCGCTGTCCACAGCAGCCCTCCCATTTTTGACAGTGCTTCCCGCGTGCCTGGTGCCTAGTGTGGGGATCTGGGATGTGTTCTTCAACCTCAGACCCTGAGTCTGCAGGACACAGAAAAATGTTCAGCCTGCTCCGCTTTAAAAGGGGAATTTGACAAGTGTTAAGAACAGACACACTCGGTCTTATACCCAGCAACTGGAGTAAGTGAGAGAGGGAGATGTGGAGCTGGGCGAGAGCTATGTGAGGGCTTTGAAAACTGGTTCTCTTGAAGGCTGATCTCCTGAACAGCATGATTCTTAGTGGGCTGGTCTCAGAGTCCCCTTTTCCAGGAATGCTTGAGTACTGCGATCCACAAACCACCCTTTTCCATCAGCCTCTGTCCAATACAGAGCAGTGACTCTCCTGCATAACTACATGCTGAGAGCACCAGCATCAGTGACCTCGACCTCCCTGCCTGCCACCCCTAAGGACGCTCAGGCTGGTGAATACACAATAAAATCAACCCCGGCCTGGCTGTCACCTGGGCCCCCATGAGGCACGACCTTGAACGGGGGAACTTCCCGCAGCCTAACTCTCTCTCCTATCAAGAAGTGACCACTGTGTGGCTGTTTATACCCTCTGGTCCAGAGGATGTGGCCAAGGAGGGCACCAACCCCCCCTTAGTGCTTCTCTGCTGGGGTTGGGCACAAGCTCTGTACCACTCGGCTTATGGTGCTTAATGGGGGAGAGCTGCCCCCTTCTTAGGCCCACCCCTCCGGACTCAGGGGACAACTGGACCCCTTGGCCACTATAGAAACACGTCTCTCTCTTAAGGCTTCTGGTGAAGGTCTCCGGGTCGAATGGCCCATATGAGATGAGACTCAGGCTCTCCCAAGAGATAACTACCTGCCCCACCGGCGGTGTCACTGGGAAGTGCTCCCTCACCTTCCTCTTCCCTATATCCTAGGAGCTTCTCCGCTCCACTTCCACCCAGGGTCTTGTAGGAGCTGGGGGGGGGGGGGGGCGCCGGGGCTCTGGGCTCCAGTGCGCCCCAGTGGATCCCAGACACCCTGCCCCTGGGGAGCCCCACCCCGCGCAGCGGCGCTGGAGAGGCTATACTCCTTCCTCAGGGGTTCCCCAAAACCGGGGAGGGGTGCAGCTCCAGTGCCCCGACTCCTCCAGGCCCTGCGAGGTTCAGGAGGCTCGCTGGGCCAGCGGCGGCCGCCCGGAGGCAGAGGAGCCAAGTTACTTTTCGATTCAGAGAGTGAAGCCGAGTCTAGCTGGGCGGCGGAGGAGACAACTCTAGCGGCTCTCCCCCCACGCTCTGGGCTGGGACCCCAGGGAGGCACCCGGACGCCCCCGCCCGCCTCCAGGCGCCGACCCCGACCTTAGCGGGCCCCGGACGGCGTCCTCCCTTCTCCCGCCGTCCCCCGGCGGCCGAGCCGCGCGCAACGGAGACATTTAAATCGCCCCCTCGGGACGGCGGCGTGGAAGAGACCGGAAAGGCGGCGGCGGCGCTGGCCTGGGGGCCGGGGCGGTGGCCGCGCGGGCCAGGGTCGCGGAGTCGGGCGGGCACTCACCAGCGCGTGTTGTCGTGGAAATGCTCCAGAACTGCGTAGCCGAAGAACGAGTCAGCGGGGCCCTGGAAGTGCACGGGGCGCTGCGGGTCGAGGTTGTAGGCGCCCGCGGGGATCCCCGCGACCACCAGCGCCAGCAGCAGCGCGCGGAGCCTCCCGGCGCCCCTCGGCGCAGCCGGGCCGCCCATCCCCAGCCGGCCGCCGCCTTCCCCTCTGCCCGGCGAGCAGGGCGCCGAGCGCGCGGGCCGCGGGGCCCGCCGACGGCCAGGAAGCTCCCCGGGGCGGGAGCTCTGCGCCTGGACACGGGCGGAATGCGGGCGTCGGGCCCGCCACCGGGGCGCGGACGGCGGGCTGAGCGGGCGCTGAAGGCGAGCACAGGGGCGGCCCCGAGCGGCGGCGTCCTCAGTCCGCCCGAGAAGTCTGCGCGAGCGGGTCCCGGGCCGGGCGGCGCTGGTCTGCGGAGGGGCGCGCCCGCGAGGTGGGCGGCCCGGGCGGCGGCGGCTGGACGGCGCGGCAGCGCCCCCTGCGGGCCGTGAGCCCTGCGCGCACTTCCCGGGCGGGAGTCAGCCCCTGGGACCCGCCGGGGCGCCCCGAACTGCCCCCTCCCCGCCGCGCACGGGGCGCTCGGGTTCCCGGAGATAAGGCTGCTCCCCTCCGTCACTACAGGCTCTGCCGGCCCTGCTGGGCCTGTCTCCCTGCCTTTGTCTCTCTTTCCCTCCCTGTCTCACAACCAGTAAGATCCAGAGCAACCCGGGTGAAGGACGAGTTTAGACTCCAGGTTCTAGCCCTGCGCATCCTCTGCTCCTTCACCCAGTTGTGAGATAAGCTGTAGGAGCAGTGCTCAGTAAACGCCGGCTGTTGTTGTTCATAACAATAGTAGCCACGTGGAAGCGAGCAGAGCACCCCTCCATATTCTAGTCACTTGGTCTCGTACACCAGTGATTCCCGAAGTGTGGTCTCCGGACCAGCAGCATCAACGTCATCTGGGAACTTGTCAGAAAATGCAAATCCTCAGGTCCCACTCAGCCCTGCTAAATCGGAAGCTCTGAAGGTTGGAGTCCAGCAGGGTTTGCGTGCACTGAAGGGTGTGTGTGTGTGTGTGTGTGTAATTGTAAATATGCATAACAGAAAGTTTACCATCTTAACCATTTGTAACTGTGCAGTTCGGGGGATTAAGTATATGCATGTTATGCAACCTTCACCACCATCCATCTCCACAACTCTTCATCTTGGAAAACAAACTTTATACCCTAAACAATAACTCCTCTTTCCCCCTAACCCTACCCCCATCCCCACCCCCAGCCTCTGGCAACCACCTTCCTACCTTCTGTCTCTATGAACTTGACTACTCAAATTCAAGATTCCTACTGAATTGACTGCTATCATGTTGAAGTCTGACCACACTATTATGGTTTCCCTGCCTGTGTTCTCTTCTTTCCACTTTTTAATTCTACAACAGAGTTTGGATAATGGTTGAAAACTTCCCGTTGCCCCCCACCACCTACTCCTGCCTATAGGATGGAGCCCGATCTCCTTAGCATAACTTCACATGGAGGCTCCATCTCTCTTTCCAGCCCCATTTTATGCCCCTTTCCTGACTCACTTCCCACAAACCCTACAATGTATCCACACACAACTTCTAGCTGTCCCCTGAACGTGTCCAACAGGGGTTTTCACACACATCTGTGCCTTCTCCAACGCTGTTCTTTCTTCCTGAAATGTGCCTACCCCTCTTCAACTGGCAAAATCCTATCCATCCTAGACTTCCAGGCCAGTTCTTGCCTCACCCTTTCTGTGCCATTTCCTCTTCCCCTTTCTTTTCTGGGCTGCCAAAGAGTGTTCACATGCCTCTATCTCAACACTTAGAACATGTTCATCATTTTGGGGGCTCTCTGTCCCTCTCCATAGACGGTATAGCTCTCTAAGGAGAAAAAAGTCTTAGATATCTTTGTAGCCCCCAAGGCCCAGCTCAGTGCCAGGCTTAGGTAGATGCTTAAACATTGTTGAAAGAATGAACTGGCTGGGCGCAGTGGCTCACTCCTGTAATCACAGCACTTTGGGGAGGCTGAGGTGGGTGGATTGAGGTCAGGAGTTCAAGACCAGCCTGGCCAACACAGTGAAACCTTGTTTCTACTAAAAATACAAAAAATTAGCCAAGCATGGTGGCACATGCCTGTAATTCCAGCTACTTGGGAGGCTGAGGCAGGAGAATCGCTTGAAGCTGAGGGGTCGAGCTTGCAGTGAGCCGACAGTGCGCCACTGCATTCCAACCTGGGTGACTGAGCAAGACTCCATCTGAAAAAAAAAAAAAAAAGAAAAGAAAGAAAAAGAATAGCTGGGCACGGTGGCTCATGCCTTTAATCCCAGCACTTTGGGAGGCCAAAGCGGGCAGATCACCTGAGGTCAGGAGTTCGAGACCAGCCTGGCCAACCATGGTCAACATGGTGAAACCCCATCTCTATTAAAAATAAGAAGATTAGCCAGACGAGATGCCGCACGCCTGTTATCTCAGCTACTTGGGAGGTTGAGGCAGGAGAACTGCTTTTACCTGTGAGGCGGAGGTTACAGTGAGCCGAGATCGTGCCACTGCACTCCAGCCTGGGTGACAGAGTAAGAATCCATCTCAAGAAAAATGAAAAAAAAAAAGAATGACCTGCTTAAAGAAAAGCAAGCTTAGTAAGAGGATGAGGCACTATGGGGGAGATTTTGAAGGAGACTTTTAACTTTCTTCATGTTTTGGTTGTGTGAGAGTGAAAAATGATCAATTCTCGTTGTAGAACACAAAACACAAGGTTTTCTTTTGTTTTTCTTTTTTTGGTTTTGTTGTTGTTTTTGAGACAGTGTCTCGCTCCTGTCCCCCAGGTTGGAGTGCAGTGGTGCAATCACTGTTCACTGCAGCCTCGACCTCCCAGGCTCCAGCAATCCTCCCACCTCAGCCTCCCAAGTAGCTGGGACCACAGACATGTACCACCATGCCCGGCTAATTTTTATACTTTTGGTAGAAACGAGGTTTTGCCATGTTGTCTAGGCTGGTGTCAAACTCCTGAGCTCAAGTGATCCACCTGCCTTGGCCTCCCAAAGTGCTGGGATTACAGCCATGAGCCACTGTGCCTGGCTGAAGTTTTCATCTGTGGTAGAGAGCACTAGTATCTTCCCAATATTTATACTTCCCATTTTCCTTACTAACAAAGCCCAGAGTTAGTGGAGTGTTAATATGCCTAGCTTTAAAAATAAATAAAACTATGTTTCCCAGTCTCTTTTGCAGACAGAGTGGCCATGTGCAGTGTCTGGCCAATGAGATATGAGCATGTTATTTGGGTGGTAGGCTTCTCAGGAGGTTTCTTAAAGGAGAGGCAACTCAGCTGACTTATGGCTTTTGTCCTGTGCCCTTGCCCCTCTTGCATGAAGCACAGAGGTCATGGCTGGAGATGCAGCAGCTGTTTTGAGGGCCACCTCAAAGGAAAGGCCAGGAGAATTGCAGAGACTTCAGCTGTCACATGCTAGAACTGCTGCACCTGACATGGGATGCCTTCCTGGGGACTTCTTACTACCTGAAAAAAAGTAAACACCTAATTTATAAGAGCCACTGCTTTTAGGGATTCTGTTATTTGTAGGCAAGCAGAATTTCTTGTTGATTTAACATCTAGAATGAATGGAATCTAGAACAGATGCTCCTAACCTAGAGTTCACTCATTTTCCATGTTGCTTCAGAGGTCCTAAGATCCCCTGTGGTTGGTAGACTAATAGTCCCCCTCCTAATCCCTGGAACCTGTGAATATGTCACCTTATATGGCAAAAAAGGACTGAAAATGTGATTAAGGTTAAGGGTCTTGAGATGGAAAGATTTTCCAGGATTATCTGGCTGGGCACAGTCTAATTATGTGAATCCTTAAAAGCAGAGAACCTTTCCTTGGCTGTAGCACGAGAAAGAGATGTGAAGTGGAAGTGGGGTCAGAGAGATGCCACATTGTTGGCTTTGGAGATAAAAGAAGGGACCCATGAGCCAAGTAATACAGGCAGCTTCTAGAAGATGGAAGAGACAATAAAATGGATTATCTCCTAGAGCCTCCAGAAAGGCAACACCTTGAGTTTAATCCAGTGAGACTCCTGTCCCACTTCTGACATCCAGAACTGTAAGATAATAAATGTTGTTGTTTTAAGCCGCTATGCTTGTGACCATTTGTTATAGCAGAAGCAGGAAACTAATATAGCCCTCTAGAATTATATATAAAAGTGTGTATGTGTGTGTTTGTGTGTTTCTTAGGGAAAGATCCACAGATTTCAACAGATTCTTTAAAGGTAAGGTAGGTTTTAGAAGACAGGAAACCACTGATCTAAAACACACTGATTTCCAACTTTGGAAACCAAACCCTAAAAATGATATCGGTTAAAAATTATAGCATTGGTGTTTGATTTAACTAAACAGTAGCTGTCAATCCTGACTGTATATTAGACCACCAGGCAACTATTTAAAAATACAGATTTACTAATAACACTCTAGGTCAGAATCTAGGGGCAAGGCCCAGGAATCTGCATTTCCAACACCTCTTGGGAGATTTGTCAAGTAGCCAGGCTTGGGAAGCACTGTCCTACAGGAGAGAGATTCAGAACCCTGCACTGTATTCCTTAACCTGTGGCACCATGATGTGGTAAGAAAAACGTAGGATTTGGCATCTGGTGAAGAGAATTTAACTCCCAGGCCCGAACAACTGTGTAATTTTAGTAAATCAATAAAACAAGGATACCAATAACTAATAAACCTATTGATGAGCTTCTCAGGACAGCATTTCCTAACCATAAAACGCTAAACATGTATTAGTTATTCGTATAATCTGAGCTCAAGAGTGAGCTCAATTTCCTAGTTGCCAGAATAAGCTGTTTTACAGAGACTTGACCTGAAGGGCGTGTCTCCAGGGTCACCAGCTGGAGGGGAGAGGCATACTATTTCAAACCTGGCCATGCAAAATGTAGATTTGCTTTATGGAATGGAGACTTTTGAAAAACTGAACCTCTTGTCCAATTTCCCAACGGAAATGGCAACCAAATGCCCTCCATTCCTTTATGCTCTCACTTCAAGAAGGAATCTGAAGGTTTTCCATTAGCCTTAGTGGCTGCAAACTGAACAGCATGCTCTATCAGCTCACCTAGCATTGGCGTTTTCTATAAGCTGTGCAAAATTGCTCTCCACAGTTACTTTGTTAAACAGTTACATTGTTAAACAATTAAACAGTTACATACATACTTTGTTGAATTGTTACTGCTACTGTAACAATGCAAAAGAAGTGATGGTTATACTGCTCTGCTCCCTCCTGCCTCACTGCAGAGAGGAATATTGGAATGATTAAATGTTGGGGTGAAAACAACATTGGCTTTTCAGAAGCCTCAAAAAAGTCTTGGAGGCCAGACACAGTTGCTCATGCCTGTAATCCCAACTTCTGGAAAGCCAAGATGGGAAGATTGCTTGAGGCCAGAGTTTGAGACAACATAGTGAGACCTCATCTCTAGGGCGAAAAAAGTGACCGGACATGGTGGTATGCACCTGTAGTCCTAACTTCTTGGGAGGCTGAGATGGGAGGATCACTTGAGCCCAGGAGATGGAGGCTACAGTGAGCTATGATTCCACCACTATGCTCTAGCCTGGATGACACAGTGAGACCTTGTCTCTAGAAAGAAAAGAAAAAGGAAAAACTCTTAAGATTAATTAGTCTTTTTAATCCTTCCTTTCTCTAATATCTTTTTTTTTCTTTTTGCTTATACATTTGTAGATTTTTATCTGCCTCTCATTATTTCCTAAATGCTTAACTACTAGGTCAAAGCTAGGTAGATATCTAAGGCTCTTAATACAAGCCAATTGGCTTAGTAATCTTTAGGTTTAGAATACAATTTTTCATTACAAATACTATGCTATATTACTATAGCAGGAAATACACATAGTTCCTCCAGGTGAGTATTTCTGGACCCTGTATTGAGCCATACTTTTTCCTGTGCTCTTTTTTCTAGAGTGCCCTTCCCATGGTCTCCGATGGGAAATGCTAATTTCTCCCTGACAAAGCTTCCCAACCATAACTCTCTAACATCCTCCTTGTCTCCCCCAAGGGACTGCTTGCATTTCTGGGGTCTGTGTGAGTGTACCGTAGGAGGACCCTAAATGGAGGTTTAGACACTCCCCACTGATTATGAGAGCCCGGTTTGCAGAGACCTGACGGGTACAGACACTCGAGCAGAGCAGATGCTGCTGTAAGGTGATAGGACTGCTAGCAGCAAGGAAGGCTCACTCACTATGTGTCTCACACTGCACTAAGCATGTTATAGATCACTTTATCTTATGTAAACCTCACAGTGATCCAGTTGGGAAGATGCAGTCTGAGATTTTATCTCAGTTACCATAGAACCATGTGAAATGAGGACTGACCATATGATGGGTTCACAATCCTTGTCCAAAACTCTTAGGGCCAAATGTGTTTCTGCAATCAAGTTTTTTCAGTTTAGAAGAGAAGACAGCATCACACCCCATATATTACAAGATAATATACCGTTTATTACATAACCAGCCCATGAACACTGCACTCCCCCCAAAAGTGATCTCTGTAGTTCTAATCCCTCCAAAAGAGCAAGGCCCATAAAGTCAGTTCATCCTCTCTCATTCTTGGGGCACATGGCATCTAATGCCAACTGTCGGGTTTTCTTTGGAGTTAGCCCTAAAGAACTTAGCCACTTGGTTCTTAACAATGCACAATCCAGCCTATACTATCCACTATTTGGTTGAATCAGCACCTTACACAGCCTGTTACAAAAGGTTGGCATGCAACTTTACACACTGACAAGGAACAATCCCTGCAGCATAACAAGGGTAATAACTCAAGTTCCTTAAGGACATGCCTACTATAATCTGGTATATGTAAATTTCTATGCATCTGTATGTATATATGCACAAAGAAAGAGATTTGGAAGTTTACCCTAAATGTTAATAATGATTATGGTTGAGATTATGGGCTATTCTTGCCTATCTATCTATCTATCTATCTATCTATCTATCTATCTATCTATCTATCGTCTATCTATCACTCCTTTAGTACTGCTTGAATTGTCTACAGAGACACAGTGGATGTCTACATCCAGCAGTGGATGTAGAAGATGCTACCTCCGTAAAGCCAAAGTCACTAATCAAAGTTAGAAATAGGGAAGTGGATCAAGAGCTGTGCACACACAGCTATCTGATCTCCAAATGAGGAGACAACTTGACCTTCACACAACAGAGAAAGAAAGAGGAGCCAAGGGCAGCTCTCATTCCCATCTATTAACAAGCCCTGCCCTCTGGCCCTGGCCTCTGTTGAGGGGACTTTGCCAACTGAGGTAGGTAGACCAGCCATCATGTGGAAGGAAGAAGTGGTCAATAGCCAGATGGCTCCTCACAGTATTTTCAAAAGAGGCAGAAAAAAATAAAAAGGGTTTGGATCATTCACATACCAGATAATCGTTGTCTAAATGATTGACACAGCTAAATGCACCTCTTAACGGCAATTCTTCAAAAGTTGCCTTGCCCTGTTTTTCATACATAAGACAAGCTATACTTCCACGTGGCTTTGATATCCAGAAAGTTCAGAGGAAGGGCAAATACTATCGCCAAGCCTTCAACTATAATAGCAGGCAGAGATTTGAGCAAATACTTTCCCACTGAAGTATTTCATAAGCCAAAAGTTAAACTGTTATTATTGGGTGCAATATTTCCAACCTGTTTCCATGCTCAAACAAATTTTTTTCCAGAGATCTAAATTTAGTGAAACGGCTTTAAGCAACAACCATCAGTGTTAGAATACAGCTGTACAACATAATGCCAAGTTTTAAAAACACTTCTCACTTCAATTGAAATATTAAAGCTAGCCTATGGCTTAGCAAAACATAAAATATTAAAATGATGATATTTGTTGGAGGCAGTTTAGGGTGATGAGTAACAGTGAGGGCTGTGGTGCTCGTAATCCCAATGTAGTGGCTTGTCAGATATATTAGTCTTCTAGGGCTGCCATAAAAAAATACCACAGACTGGGTGGCTTAAATAACATAAATTTATTTTCTCACAGTTCTGGAGACTGAAAGTCCAAGATCAAGGGCAGCAGAGTTGGTGTCTGGTGAGGGCTCTTCCTTTGGGTTGCAGATGGTCCCCTTCTTGCTATGGACTCACATGACCTCTTCGTGCTTGCAGAGAGGCGGAGGGAGGGGAGAGCGAGAGCAAGAGAGAGGACACTAATTCTATCAGATCAGAACCCCACCCTTATGACCTCAATTACTTTCATATTCCAAATACAGGCGAATTGGGGGTTAGGGCTTCAACATAAGAATTTTGGAGGATACATGCATTCAGTCCACAGCATCAGGTATGTGGCCCTGAGAAGTTATTTGAGCTCTCCCCATTTGTTACAGGGAATCATACCCAAAGGTTTGTTGTGAGGATTAAATGTAATGAGCCACTCTGCACATCGCAGCATGAGGGAAGCAACTGGTACATGTTAGCAATTTAGTGCCATTATTATTATGTCATTTATTCCACTCTTTTAAAATAGCTATTTTTATTTGGAGTAAAAGAAAAACTCAAAACACTTTTCTCAAGGTGTCTGCATGTTTCAGTGGGCCATTTTAGAGCCTTCCTTTGTCTAAGTGTTCAAGCCCTCAAACCCCCAGGTGCTTCAGGTGCCCTGTGAAGGGCTGGAGAGGTGAGTCACAACCCAAGCACCCATGACCTCACTCTCACATCAGCGGCCGGCTAGCCAGCTCCTTTTTCAGGGCCCTCTCTACCTTAGCTTTCGTAAATTGTCAAATCCACATCTCTCCAGGGCTTCCCAGATGTGGGCCATCAGAGGGAGACTCCTGAAACATCTTTGGTGATTTCCTCAAGGTCCCACCCACTCATGGTTTAAATGCAGTGGGATTTTAAGGTGTTGACCTTGGGTGCATGTGTGTGTGTGTATGTGTACATGTGCGTGTGTGCATGTGTATGCACATGCGTGCGTGTGTGCATGTGCGTGTGTGTGCGCATGTGCATGTGAGCGCACGTGTGTGTGTGTGCGTGCGTGTGTGTGCGTGTGTGTGTGCACACACATGCAGGTAAGAGAAGTTCACTTCAATATCATTCAGATGCAATGGAACATTCACCAAAAAATGAGTACCTGGAATTGAATGTATCAGAAGTTGTCTGCCATAGAGGAGTGTGTCTAAAGGAGAGTTACGAGTAGGGGAGTGGGGCAGGAGATGAAATTTTGCAGGAAATGGAAGGGCAGTTCTAGCTTCTTCCCTGTCTTCTTTCAGGCAGCCTCAGTGTACTCCAAACTCTAAGCAAATGTCTTTAGGGAAGGGTAAACACTAAACACGTTTTGGGACCCCTTCTGCTGCTTAACACGCTCCCACAAGAA
Organism: Homo sapiens; assembly: GCF_000001405.40. Classification (NCBI taxonomy): domain Eukaryota; kingdom Metazoa; phylum Chordata; class Mammalia; order Primates; family Hominidae; genus Homo; species Homo sapiens. Next base: position 12,997 of record NW_025791771.1, on the reverse strand, counting down.
AAGCCTTCTTATGCCTTCCCCCAGAAAGTTTTTAAGTTGAAGCCTAGGACCTCTTGTACTTGAAGCTGCAAGATATACATGTTATACCTTCTGGGTGCATCAATTTTATTCAAAGACATGAAGGGGGGAATAAATAATATGTTGTGAGATTGGGATGACTCCGAATCAAATCCAGTGACAGGGAAGGCCCCAAGGTCCCTGACATAAAAAACAGGTGAACTAGCTCCTGCAGGAAGTTGGGGTTGAGGAGGTAATAGTGATTCTGAGTCCAGGAGCTGAGACAGCCAGCCTGGGTGCAGTCATCCTTCCTGAAGGCAGGCTTGCACCCTGGGCAAGGGCTGGGTGCGTGTGTCTGAGTCAGTGATACTGGAAGGTGGCCACATCTGCTGAGTGCAATGGGGAGTCGAAGATGGGTCCTCCCTCCACATGCCCCAGGGTCTGCTGCAACTATGAAAAGGTCTGTGCCAGCAGTTGCGGAGGTGGCAGAAGCAGGACACTAAGCCCTGATCACACTGCCTGGGATGCCAGTGGGGTAGATAGAGTGCACATGACATTGGGGCATCCTCTGGCCTTGGGTGGAGGTTCTGACTGCAAAGGCAAGGTGGAAAGGACAGGGATTGACATTTTGGATATGACTAAGCATCCTGGGGGTCTTTCCTTGGAGGAAGGCCTGAGGCGTTTCTCAAGGTGATAAGGGGAGGGCTCAAGCTGTTTTACTGAGACATTAAAAGATATGACCTTGTTTTTTTTGTGTGCCTCAAGACAGAAAAGTGACTACATAAGTATGTTAAGAATGGACTGCCTTCCTGCCCCGCCTCCCTCTCAGAGTCCTGTGCTGGACTCAGCCCACTGTCCATGATCTCTAATGACAGGTTGACTTTTCTTTTCCCAGAATCCTCTTCTGACCTAATCTGCCTGTGGGATCCACACACAGGGTCTCACACATGGGAAACGACACAGAATACTCACAGCCCTGGCGGGGCAAGAAGGGGTGAGGGGAGCCCCAATGCTATGCTGGGATGTGTACGCAAATGGCAGGAAATGTCACCCTGTGGTGGTTTTAAAATATATCCACACATTCTCTTGACACTCCTTCCTCCAAAAGGTGAAGACTAATTCCCCTTCCCTCAAACAGGAGCTGATCTTAGTGCCTTCCTTCTAACAAATAGGATATTGTGGGACTGCTGTGATAGGCCACGAAAAGCATTGTCCCTTCCACCTTACTGTCTCGGGTTGCTCAATCCCGGGAAAGCCACACCAGCCGCCATGTCGTGAGGACACTCAAGCAGCCTGTGGAGAGGCCCATGTGGAGAGGAAGTAAAGCCTCCTGCTAACCTCAAGCACCAATTTGCCAGCCATGTCAGGAGCCGCCTCAGAGGCGGACCCTACAGGTCCAGTCAAACCTTCAGCCTCAGCCAATAGCTTAACTGCCATTTATGAGAGACCCTGAGCCAGAAGCACCCAGATAAGCCACTTCGGGATTCCTGACTAACAAAAACTGTAGTATAATTGATATTGTTTTAAGCCGTTATGCTTTGAGGTAATTTGTTACATAGCAATAGAAAACCAGTACAAATTTGGGGGTAATTTATGACCCAGTAATAGATAACAAACACATACCTCTTCGCCTCAGTGGTGAGCTGATGGGGATGGTAGTTAGAGCCACATAACAGATCCGCATTGCCACAGCTGCCTTTCTGAGTCAGGACACAAGGAAATCCTGCCTAGTGTGGGATGGCTCTGTGGTGGAACAATTGACCTAGCTATGGTCCGAGACTTAAGACCTGAGTCCAAATCTTGATCTGCCACTTACCAGCTGCCAGACACAGGGTTAGTTGCTACACCTTATAGGGACTCCATATCTCATCTGATAATAGTATCCACCTAGTAAGGAGGACAGATTAAATGGAAATAAGTGCACCAAAGTAACAACCAGATGGGGGGTCAGTTGAACCCAGTGGAAGTTATTCAGTCATGCGTCACATAGTGATGGGAATACATTCTGAGAATGTATTGTTAGGGCCGGGCGCGGTGGCTCAGGCCTGTAATCTCAGCACTTTGAGAGGCTGAGGCACCCTGAGGTCAGGAGTTCGAGACCAGCCTGGCCAATATGGCAAAACCCTGTCTCCACTAAAAATACAAAAATTCACCGGGCATGGTGGCATGCACCTGTAATACCAGCTGCTCAGGAGGCTGAGGCAGGAGAATCACCTGAACCTGGGAGGCAGAGGTTGCCGTGAGCTGAGATCATGCCACTGCACTTCAGCCTGGGCGACAAGTGAGACTCCGTCAATGTGTTGTTAGGCAATATTGTTGTGCAAACCTCTTGGAACATACTTACACAAACCTAGATGGTATAGACTACTATATGCCCAGGCTACACGGTGTAGCCTATTGCTCCTAAGCTACAAACCTGCATAGCACATTACTGTACTGAATACTGTAGGCAATTGTAACACAAAGGTAAGGTAAGCAATTGTAACACAAAGATTTAGATACACAAAGATACTTTTGTATCTAAACAAAGAAAACGTACAGTAAAATATATACTATAAAAGATTAAAAATGGTACACCAGTGTGGGGCACTTACCATGAATGGAGCTTGTAGGCCTGGAAGATTGCTCTGGGTGAGTCAGTGAGTAAGTGAATGTGAAGGCCTAGGACATTCGTGTACACTAATGTAGACTTTATAAACACGGAAAACTTAGGCTACACTAAATTTTTTTTCTTTAATTTTCTTTCTTCAGCAATAAACTAAGCTTACTATAACTTTTTTATTTTGCAAATGTTTAAATTTTTCTAACTTTTTGGCTCTTCTATAATAACAGCTTAAAACACAAACATGTTATATAGCTGTAGAAATATTTTCTTTCTTTATAGCCTTATTCTGCACGTTTTTTTCTATTAAAATTTATTTTTACTTTTTAAACATTTTGTTAAAAGTGAAGACATAAACACACACATTAGCATAGGCCGACACAGGCTCAGGGCCATCAATATCAGTCTTCCACCTCCACATCTTGTCCCACTGATAGTCTTCAGAGCAGTAACGCATATGGAGCTGTCATCTCTGATGATAACAATGTCTTCTTCTGGAACACCTCCTAGAGGACCTGCCTGAGGCTGTTCTACAGTCAACTTTTTTTAATAAGTAGAAGTACACTCTAAAATATGAATAAAAATATAGTATAGTAAACACATAAACCAATAACATAGTCATTTATTATCATTATCAAGTATTATGTTCAGCACATAATTGTATATACTATGCTTTTTTATGTGGCAGCATAGTAAGTTGGATTTTTTTGTTATTTTGTAGAGACCGGGTCTCATTGTGTTGCCCAGGCTGGTCTCCAACTCCTGGCCTCAAGCAACCTACCACCTCAGCCTCCCAAAGTGCTGGGATTACAGACAAGAGCCACCTTTCCCAGCCTCACACATGAGCATCACCACAAACATGTGAGTAACATGTTATGCTACAACATTATGACAGCTACGTCACTAGGCAATGGGAATTTTTCAGCTCCGTTATGATCTATGGGACCAGCATCTTATCATCCATCATTGACAAAAATGTTATTATGTGGTGCATGACTGCATTTTAAAAGACATTTTATTTTTACTTTTATTTTTTGAGACAGGGTATCACTCTGTTGCTCAGGCTGGAGTGCAGTGACATGATCTCGGCTCACTGCAACCTCCATTTCCAGGGCTCAAGAGAACCTCCAACCTCAGTCTCCAGAGTAATTGGGACTACAGGTGTGTGCCACCACTTCCAGCTCATTTTTTTGGTTTTTGGGTTTTTTCGTTTTTGTTTTTGTTTTTTTGCAGAGACAGGGTTTCGCCATGTTGCCCAGGCTGGTCTCAAAGTCCTAGGATCAACCAATCCACCTGCTTCAGCATCTCAAAGTGCTGGGACTACAGGCGTTAGCCACTGCACCCAGTCTAAAATGACATTTTAAACATGAATAGCTGGCACTATAGCTATGTGTCCAATCTGCTGCCCAATTCAACCTCATACCATCAGGAGTCATTAAATCGGACCCACACAGGCCTGACAGACAAGGCAATGCGGTCTTCTCTTTTGGTTCTCAGCTTATCTAAATTACATTCTAGATTGTGACATTCTAAGATTATTTACATATTCCAAATGTGCTTAAGAGACAAACTTGGAATTAACGTGGAACTGAAAGCATTTTGTGGGAAGTATCTAGATAGGCCAATTCATTTTGTTTTTCTGTCTGAGCCTGTGAGCATCCATTCCTTCCCACAATCATAACAATTCATCAGGCTCCAGCTCTTTAACATAGACCTCTCCTCAAACCAATTAACAGAGAGGAGGGAGAGTGGAGAGTCAGTGGATTCAGTGTCCTTGACTGTCCTGAGGCAGCCTCCAACAAGTCTGACTCCCTGGGTTGGGTCCCTGTTCCAACAGTCCCCACCTGCCCTCCTTTCCTTCCCCTCTTCCCCCAAACCTCCTATTCTCTAAAAGCTCTGTCCCCTACAAAGTACGTGAGCAAGAGCAGACATTACCCATACCAGAGGTGACAGAGCAGAAGGAAAGAACACAGCAGGAGCTGGGCCATCAGACCACTTGGGTTCAAATCCTAGTTCTGCTCTTGACCAGTTGTGGAACATGCGGCATTTCTCTACCTCCTTGAGGCTCTGTTTCCTCATCTTTAAAACAACCTATTGTGGTGGGTGTTTGATAGTCTTGTTGGCTGTCCGAACCACTCCTCACTTAAGTCCACCCACTCGTAAATGGGATTAGTGCCCTTATGAAAGAAGCCCAAGGGAGCTTGTTTGCCCCTTCCAACACGTGAAGACACAGCAAGAAGGCACCATTTACGAACCAGAAAGTGAGCCCTCACCAGACACTGAATCTGTCAGCACCTTGATCTTGGACTTCCCAGCCTCCAGAACTGAGAGATAAATTTCCGCTGTTTCTAAGCTACCTGGTCTGTGGCAATTTGCTGTGGCAGCCCAAAGGGATTAAGATACAGATGATGTAAAACTTGAGGCATGTTTTCAAACAACTGCAATACATCATGCATCAGCACTTATTTTTCCCTAGGAAAACAACAGTACAGTGAATTTAGTGACTAACAGGTTAGCTTCCTGAGTAACTAGGACCTAATGGCCAGGTGTCCCAGTTGGAGGCTCATCACAAAAGGTGGCAAATGACCATAGGCAACACCAAGTAGCCACTCCCTCAGTGCATTGTAGGCCGTCACAGTATTTACATGGGCAACCCCAAGGGTTCAGGGCTTTCTGTTCTGGTTTCCATCCATCTCACTATATAAGAGGGAATATATTTTTACCTCTCTCTCAAATTTGGATGCTGTTAAAATAGTATGTATTTTGCCGCTGAAGTTATTTTTTAAAAACCAGGTATGTTATCTTATTCTGTGTGTGGTATGGATATTAAGCAATTTGATATATTTTGACTATAAACATGGATACCTAAACAGAATATAAATGAGATCAGTCGTCTATGATCACCTAAGATCAAGTGAAACTCTTTGCTTACCTTGCAGTCTCCACGCACTGATTAGAAGGCAGGCAAATTTCATGAGCTGTGCAAAGAAGGAAAGAAACTTGTAGCAGATGCTGTGGATGCTCCACGCAGATGCCACCAGCATGTGATATTTCTGTGCATGTGGCCTGACTTCCAACAGCCAGCATCTAAGACTCTTTGTCGAAGGCTTCCTGATTACTGGAGCCCTCTCTGCCCACACACATGGCAGGCCAGAAATGCTAGAGAATGAACACTTCCCTGGAGCAACACTCAACCAATGACTCCCTTTGCTCCAATGAAAAAACTCTGAGCTGTATATTCTACACTGGCTCCCAGAGTTCCCCAGAGGCATTGAGCTCCAGTTGCCCACAGTGGTAACTTGCTCAATAACGCACTCTCCATTGGCTTCCTTCCTTCCCTGTCTTACTTCTCCAGTCCCTGAATGGTGATCCCTGAATGACTGTTTCTCAATTAAGCCACTTGCACTTGAATCCTTGTCTCAGGTACTGCTTCTGGAGGATGCAAACTAAGACAGCGATGTGTGAAATTCAAATATCAAAAGGTCATTGAAAAAGCAAAGAAATAAATCAACATGGACCTTTAGTAGTTGTGGACAATGCTATCCTGATTCCTCATTTCCTGGTACCTAGTCCTTTTACTTCTGACATCCCTCTCACCAGACTTTTGCCATCTTCCACCAACATGACATTTTGGACCTTGGCCATGAAGGTTTGTCATTCTCAAGTCCACTTATTAATTAGCCCAGCTTACCCAAGTTGAAGTACAAAGGAAACTCACTAATTGAGCAGCCGTTGGGAGCTGTCCCCTAGTTTCATCCAGGGCCAGATCTCCCGGCTCTGTGTGACATGCAAACTTCAGTCTCCTCAGAGGACCAGGCTTTCAGGGGACAGAGTCAGTCTACCCAAGAACCAAGAGGAAGAAGGCCCAGGCAGATGCACAGGGACAGTGGGAAGTGCAGCCTGCACAGGACACAACTTTCCCGGTGAGGGAGCCATGCCTAAGACTAACTTGCAGCTCAGGAAGTTGCTTATTTAAAAAGAAAAGAACATTTCCGAGCAAACATCTCACTGCAAACCAAGTTTGCTGTAGTTGCTGTTTAATGGTCAGCACATTCACCTCTTTCATGAAAACCCTGGTTCAAAACAGGGCGGCGAGCCAGGCGTGGTAGCTCACACTTGTAATCCCAGCACTTTGGGAGGCCAAGGCAGGTGGATCACCTGAGGTCAGGAGTTCGACACCAGCCTGGCCAACATGGTGAAACCCCGCCTCTACTAAAAATACAAAAATTAGCCAGGCGTGGTGGCATGCACCTGTAATCCCAGCTACTCGAGAGGCTGAGACAGGAGAATCGCTTGAACCCAGGAGGCAGTTGCAGTGAGCCGAGAGCCCACCACTGCACTCCAGCCTGGGCAACAAAGCAAGACCCCATCTCAAAAAATAAAATAAAATACAAAACAGGGCAGGGGCACACACCTCTATGCACTGCATGCTCCTTTAGGCGAGATCATCTGTATCCTCTTAAATATGTTTGGTTAAAAAATGTATACATATATTTAGGTATCAGATGACATGTATAAAATAATCAGAAGTCCCTCTAACTCAGCTGACTCTGAACAATGAAGCAGAAGAGTTTACTAGAAGGATACTGGGTGGTTCACAGAATGTGAGAGGGAAGCTCCAGGCCAGGCTTCCAAGAGTAAGACCCCAAAGTTGACCAGTGTGCTGGTGTGTTTGAAGCTGCCTCTGCCACCGTTAAGCACTACAGTACATAACCACTGCATGCTACAGTAGGAAACAGCACCACTTCTGTCAGGAACTTGACCTTGCAGCCCCCTCTGCCAGATAGAGGAAACGCCCTGTCCCCTCCCACCCAAGGTGATTTAACAGTCTTTGTCATGGCCTGTGCTGCAAAGGAGGCAGGAAAGTAAGTACAGCAGTCTCAGATCTGAGAGGCGGGGGTCTCTGGCCCCCATCCAAATTGAATGGCCAAAGTCTGCCTCAAGCCCCAACTCTCCTCCCCGGATGTAACCAGTATTAAGACTGTGGATGTATCCTTCCAGCCCTTTTACACACACAGTTTTAGAAAACGGTTTTTGTAAGAATGAAATTATACTATAAATATCGTTCTGCAACTTAATTTTTCTACTTAAGTCATGTACACCTTTCCATGTTCACACATATAGATCTAACTTGTTCTTTTTGACTACAAAAAAAGATTCTGCAGAATGAAGTGCCATCATTTAGCCAGTCCTCTGTTGATGATATATAAGCTGTAGCCGCTATCTTACTATAACAAACCACAGAGGGAAAGCATCCCAGGGTATGTTTGTCATTGTTGCTGTTTGCACACGCATGTTGTCATTTCTGTAGGAATGGGTTCCTAGAAATGGGCAGCTGGGTCATACAGGCCATAGGGTCTGTGGTCTTTATCCTCATTGCAATATAAGGATGTTGGATTGAACTGAACTTCTCCACTCTGGGGACATTTCTATCCCAGGAACCAAGATAATTCTAGAATCAGGATGGCCCCCGGCCCAGCCAGTGCCAGAGCAATGCTGACCCAGGGCTCTCCTAATTTTGTTTTCCAGGCATCCCCACGCACCAGGTGTGCTGCTCCATTGCAGCCTCTTCCTCTTTTCAGTCCATCCAATGCTGTGATTCCACGTGAGAAGAGACACCTGTGTGGAGCAATGGAAGGCTGGTTTGCAGTCCCAGATCTGCCAGCAGCTGGGATTGAGTCAGTCCCCTCCCTTTTCTGAACTTCAGTTTTCTTACCTTTAAAATAACAGACATGGGCTAAATTAATGGTTTTCTAACTGTGTTCTGCCAAGACCAGCATTCCACAGAGGCATCAGGAACTGCTTCAGAACTTGGGGGATGGAGGGCAAGAGAGCAGGTCCTGGTCCTCGTGAGCTCTGCTATTAACATTGCTGTGTAATGGGATTCTGTGTGAACATTCATTTGAAAAAGGCGTTTTGCTCCTAAAGGGAAATTGAAAACTATTCAGTGTGAGTGGACAGTTTATGCTCCACATCACAGAAATCCCACTCCATAGTGGTTTGAGGGGAAAAAATAAGGGGGAGGATGGTTATTGGTTCACATAATTGAAATCCAGGGGATACTGACTTCAGGCACAGCTCAATCCAGGGGGCTCAAATATTATCAGAACCCACTCTTGTTTCTTCTCATTACGTTGCTATTCACAATGTTGGCTTCATTCTCAGGCTCAGTGTGGCGCCAAAATGGCTGCCAACAGAGTCAGGCCTATATCCTCCCAGGTTCAGGTCCAGCAGAAAACGCCATGTGCCTCTGTTGTGACAGTCACAGCAAAAGACTCACCACATCTTATTGGCTTGGGCTGAGTCATGTTCCATCCCCAGGCCAACCACTGTAGCCAAGTGAATGTAATAACTTGATTGGCCTGGCTGAACTCATGCGGTCAGTGGAGCTAGGTGTGAAATAAACCTTACCCAACATACATTGACTAAATGTGGGACAGGGATGATTCTCCAGAAAATTGTATTATTATTTCCCAATGCTGAGTAGCCAAAAATCAATGCATATAAAACCATGCACATGTGTTTATTCAATGACCAATTAAGATACTGATAAGACAGGATCTGCACCATACACTGGAGATGCAATGATAAATTAATTACAGTCCCCATGCATCTTGTGATGGGCCAGGACCACTGCAGGTCAACAAGGTCATCAGCCAGGAGGAATACCAGGCCACAGAGAGGAGGACAGCAAGGATAAATGGAACCCGCCAGCACCTCTGCATCTGTCTGTCACATCCAACCCTGAGAATCTTCAGAGAATAATGGTGGCTGCTTCACTTCTACCTTCCAAACGTTGTGCAAATTATTCTCTGGACCAATTCTAACTTGAGACCACTCAGAGAAGGGGATTCTGGGAAACATAACTCCAGCCTAAGCAAGTTGATGTAGTTCAAACCACAACAGAATCCATTTGCTGCTATCGCCAGAGTTGAACCATCCAATACTCTGAATAAAGTATGTTTGTCAACTTAGCATCTGGCAAACACTTAATGTTTTGTATGAAATCACAACATAATTTTAGGGTCCTCTTCTATCTAAATACTCAGAATAATTTTAGATAGCCACCAAACACTTGTTGTCATTTGCAACCACCTGTAATTATGAATTAGGATCTACAAAAATAAAAAGTGTGAAAACCACTTAAAAATGACTTGTTGTGAAACAGATGTATCCAATAGACCCAGATATAGAAGTTGTAAATGATTAACTTCAAATAATATTTTCTCATTACTGATATTAAAATGATTAATAAGTTTAAGATATTATGCTTTATTTTTATTTCTAAAAATTTGATAAGTCTTTTGAAACATGTACCTAAAATTGGCTATCTTCTTGCCCACCTAACATCCATTCAGTTGCCTGTGGATGCTGAACTCAAGAAATACTAGTCTAAAGTTCCTATAAAAGACTCAAGAAACGTGGCCACATCTTTGTTCCAGAATTCTAAGATGTAGGCAAACTGTTTGTCTTCCAGCAACTTGCCATCCTTCTTCTGTATATAATTGTTTTTTGTATTTTCTTTCCTTTCTTTCTTTCTTCTATTTCCTTTGGCTGTGGTTGTTTACCATGGTTTGACTTTGTAATGGAATGTCTCCTTTTGCCCTATTCCATTACAGCTCTCTGATTCAGACGGGGTCAATCCCATCAGGAGCCTCAGCTCTCCATCCATGAAGCCACGAGAACCGAAACTTCAGGAACGCATGATCTGCTATGATGCCGTACGACTGCTTGGAATACACCTCTCCCCGCCCAGTGCTGATTTTTCACTGTAGGATGCTGTGGGTGTCTTTCATGAGCAAAGGTGATAAGGAGGGATAGTGTGTTTGGTATAATAAAGAAGATGCATTTTGAACCCAGGACATCCATGCGGGGAGCTGGAGGCACTTCTAGGCCACAAGACACCAACAGTCACATTTAGGAAAGAGAGCATAGGGAAGCAGGGCAAATTGCATATACAAAGCTCATTCATTGTTAAAAAGCAATAAAGGACAATGTGTTTCAAAGCCCAAAGCCAATACCAGAGGTGAAATGTTTCCCAAAAGGGCTTCATTGACCCAGGAGTCAGCTTCCTGGGTTTGAACCTCAGCTCCAATATTGACCAGTAGTAAAACAAAACAAAACAACTTACTTAACCTCTCCAAGATTGTTTCCTCAACCGTAGGATGGGGATAAGAATACCTACTCATATGATGAGTTAATGGGTGCAGCACACCAACATGGCACATGTATACATATGTAACAAACCTGCACGTTGTGCACATGTACCCTAAAACTTAAAGTATAATAATAAAAAAAAAGAATACCTATTCATAGAGTTATTGGCAAGATTCAAGTAACGTGACTAGAACAATTTGTGGCATATAGAAAGCTTTAACCAATGGTGGTGGTGGTAGTATCAGAAAATGTTGTTGTTGTTTTTGTTGTTGTCAGCCAATGAGGAAGGAGAGTTGCAAAGATCTGTGTGCCAGTACCCAAGAGGGCTAACTGCTTGATCTATTGTAACGAATATGGCATGCCCTTGCAGAGGGCAGTCTAGCAATGGAAGCTGATGATTAACCAGTTAATCACAGTATGAAAGGGGTTGAAATGGGGAAGAGGGTCAGTAAGAGTGCTGTAAGACTATAGAGGAAGGGTACTGTGTAGGGTGGTAGGAGGTCTCTAAAGACTTCCTTGGGCTGGGCGCGATGGCTCACACCTGTAATCCCAGCACTTTGGGAGGCCGAGGCAGGTGGATCATTTGAGGTCAGAAGTTCAAGACCAGCCTGGCCAACATGGTGAAACCCTGTCTTTACTAAAAATATAAAAATTAGCAGGGCATGGTGGCACACGCCTGTAATCCCAGCTACTCAGGAGGCTGAGGCAGGAGAATTGCTTGAGCCTGGGAGGTGGAGGTTGCGATGAGCTGAGATCGGGCCACTGCACTCCAGTCTGAGCGAGAGAGTGAGATGCTGTCTCCAAAAAAAAAAAAAAAAAGACTTCCTTGAAGTGGCAACATCTCAGCTGAGCCCTGAAGGGTTAAGAGTTTGCCAGTTAGGGAGGCTTCTAAGATGGCCAAATAGGAACAGCTCTGGTCTGCAGCTCCCAGCAAGATCGACGCAGAAGATGGGTGATTTCTGCATTTCCAACTGAGGTATCTGGTTCATCTCATTGGGACTGGTTGGACAGTGGGTGCAGCCCACAGAGGGCGAGCCGAAGCAGGGCAGGGCATTGCCTCACCCAGGAAGCGCAAAGGGTCAGGGGATTTCCCTTTCCTAGCCAAGGGAAGCCGTGACAGTCTGTACCTGGAGGAACAGTACACTCCTGCTCAAATACTGTGCTTTTCCCATGGTCTTCACAACTGGCAGAACCAGGAAATTCCCTCCTGTGCCTGGCTTGGTGGGTCCCATGCCCACAGAGCCTTGCTCATTGCTAGCACAGCAGTCTGAGATCGACTTGAGATGCTGCAGCTTGGCGGGGGGTGGGGTGTCACCATTGCTAAGGCTTAAGTAGGTGGCTTTGTGCTCACAGTGTAACCAAAGAGGCCAGGAAGCTCGAACTGGGCGGAGCCCACTGCAGCTCAGCAAGGCCTACTGCCTCTCTAGATTCCACCTCTGTGGGCAGGGCATATCAGAACAAAAGGCAGCAGACAGCTTCGGCAGACCTAGACATCCCTGTCTGACAGCTCTGAAGAGAGCAGTAGTTCTTCCAGCATGGCATTTGAGCTCTGAGAATGGACAGACTGCTTCCTCAAGTGGGTCCCTGACCCCCGTGTAGCCTGACTGGGAGACACCTCCCAGTAGGGGCCGACAGACACCTCATACAGGCAGGAGGCCCCTCTGGGATGAAGCTTCCAAAAGAAGGATCAGGCAGCAATATTTGCTGTTCTGTAGCCTCCGCTGGTGATACCCAGGCAGACAGGGTCTGGAGTAGACCTCCAGCAAACTCCAACAGACCTGCAGCTGAGGGGCCCGACTGTTAGAAGGAAAACTAACAAACAGAAAGAAATAGCATCAACATCAACAAAAAGCACATCCACACCAAAACCCCATCTGTAGGTCACCAACAATGAAGACCAAAGGTAGATAAAACCACAAAGATGGAGAAAAACCAGAGCAGAAAAGCTGAAAATTCCAAAAACCAAAGCACTTCTCCTCCAAAGGATCACAGCTCCTCAGCAGCAATGAAACAAAACTGGTCAGAGAATGAGTTTGACAAGTTGACAGAAGTAGGCTTCAGAAAGTCAGTAATAACAAACTTCTTCGAGCTAAAGGAGCATGTTCTAACCCATTGCAAGGAAGCTAAAAACCTTGAAAAAAGGTTAGACAAATGGCTAACTAGAATAAACAGTGTAGAGAAGACCTTAAATGACCCGATGGAGCTGAAAACCACAGCATGAGAACTTCGTGACACATGAGC